>NC_000014.9:100217713-100520713 GCF_000001405.40 Homo sapiens
CATCACAAAACTGCACTAGGACCTGTAGGGAGAAGGAACGGTCATGGTCAGGCTGGGGCACAGCCTCTGGGATGCTGGCTGTGTTTATATCTTTACCTGGGTGCTGGTTCATGATACAATTATTCTCTAACTTCTTTGCACAGTTTTTGTATACACTTCTGTATGTATACCTTTCTCACCAAATTGAAAGCAAAGGAATAAAATGTAGAGACTATCAGAAAAAGGACAGCATTTAGTGACTCAATGTGAAAGCAAGAGGGGCTTGAGGAGTCAAAGATAACTGTGTAATAGAGGGCCATTTTATTTCTGGACTCAGAACTAAGGTTGAGTCTCCCCCGCTTGCCCATGCTTCCAGGAGCACACTCTCCTGACTTGATGCAGCCGGCAGGGCTCTGGCCACCAGCCTTAGTGCTTTGGAAACAGGTCCCCCCACTTCTGCCCTTCTCAGTGACTTATCTCTACCTCTTGCCTCGTGCACCCCAGCGCTGTTCTACTGGCCAGCCCGTGCCCCTTCTGCTTGCCAAGTGCCAACCTCTGAGCCCCATCCTGAACACCTGTTGCAGCCCAGCAAAGCCCCCTGTGCCAGCTTCGATGCCTCATTGGAACAGGAATGGCACTGGTCAACAGCACAGCACCTGCTCACAGAACCTGCTGGGCCTGGGCTAGAAGCCTGGCTTCAGTGCCCACCCGCTGCCACTCATGTCTGTTTGTATCAACCGCTGTTTTCCTAGCCCCGGCTGATTCTAGCAAGGCACAGGGTAAAAGAGAGGTGGCCCTGTCTGCTGGTGCTCACAAGCTTCTGGGCAAACTGATGATGGCCTGACTGATGGCGTCTTCAGTGAGCGAGGTCCTGCAGGACAGCACGTGGGAGGCCCTGCCTGGTCCTGCCGTGGCCTGCTCCACAGGCTTCAGTCTCCCCACCCTGGTCCTGGGCGCACCCAGTGAGCTCCTGTAAACTATTATAAAAGCCCACGTGGAAGCTGGCAGAAATGGGCCCTTTTTGTTGTGACTTTGTTTTTTTGAGACGGAGTCTCACTCTGTCGCCCAGGCTGGGGTGCAGTGGTGTGATCTTGGCTCACCGCAACCTCTGCCTTCTAGGTTCAAGCAATTCTCCCACCTCAGCCGCCCGGAGTAGCTGGGATTACAGGTGTGCGCCACTAAGCCCCAGCTAATTATTTTTGTATTTTTAGTAGAGATGGGGTTTTACCATGTTGGCCAGGCTGGTCATGAACTCCTGACCTCAAGTGATCTGTCCACCTTGGCCTCCCAAAGTGCTGGGATTACAGGCGTGAGCCACCACACCCAGCCCAGTTGTGACTTTTTAGGGCACTTTTCATACATACAAATCTATTTCAACCCAGAGGGGATGTACCCAAGGTCACACTGCATTGGTAGCATGGTGAGTAGAATTCGGGTCTCCTGATTTTTGGCCAGTGCTCACCCCTCCTCTGCTCTGTGCTTCCATAGCAACGTCCCAGTGCTCTTCATGGAAACACACTTAGGATATACCAGGAAGAAGGCACCAAGCTAAGTTTCTTTATATGTACCACCTAACTTCATTCTCACAATCACCTTGAAAGCCAGGCCTGCTTCTCTGCTGGGGCTCAGAGAGGTTAGGTCACTTGTCCAAGGTCACACAGCTAGTAAGAGTGAGGACTGAAGCAGGAGCAGTTCTGTGTTCTTTCTATTCATTTCCAGCTCGGACATCATTTCAGATGCAGTAACTGAAGCAAGGAATTTGAGCTGAAGGGGGCAGGTGCTGGGAAGACACAAGGGGCACCACTGTTGCCAGTTTGTTAAAATGTCAAAGCACCGCCAGATTCAGAGCTCTCACTCCCCCAAAGGTGAAGTCATCTCAGGCTCTAGGCACAGGGCCCAATGCTATGCAAGGCCATGAGCTAATACAAGCCCAGACTGCTGGGCCTTGTGTTCTCTTCTCCTTGTGGTATCAGTTTCCTTTTCTTCATACCTCTTTGTCCCAGTTAACTCCTGTGTTTTGCGAAGTCTAAGGTCATTTTAAAGGCAGACACAGGGCTGGGCATGATAGCTCACTCCTGTTATCCAAGCACTTTGGGAAGCCTAAGTGGGAGGATCCCTTGAGCCCAGGAGTTTGAGACTACCCTGGGCAATACAGCAGGATCCTGCCTTTTTTTTTTTCTTTTTTTTTTTTTTGAGATGGAGTCTCGCTCTGTCGCCCAGGCTGGTGCGATCTCTTGCAGTGGTGCAATCTCGGCTCACTGCAACCTCCACCTCCCGGGTTCAAGCAATTCTCCTGCTGGAGACTCTGGAGTAGCTGGGACTACAGGCGCCCACGACCATGCCCAGCTAATTGCTGTATTTTTAGTAGAGACAGGGTTTCACCATGTTGGCCAGGCTGGTCTCAAACTCCTGACCTTGTGATTCACCCACCTCGGCATCCCAAAGTGCTGGGATTACAGGCATGAGCCACCGTGTCCGGCCAGGATCCTGCCTCTTAAAAAAAAATGTATATGTATATTTTCAAATCACGGTCTCACTCTTGTCACCCAGGCTGGAGAGCAGTGGCACAATCATGGCATATCTGTATTTATTTATTTATTTATTTATTTATTTATTTAGAGAAAGAGTCTTGCTCTGTTGCCCAGGCTGGAGTGCGGTGGCGTGATCTCGGCTGACTGCAACCTCCACCTCCCAGGTTCAAGTGATTCTCATGCCTCAGCCTCCCGAGTAGCTGGAATCACAGACATGTGCCACCACTCCTGGCTAATTTTTGTACTTTTAGTAGAGATGGGATTTCGCTATGTTGGCCAGGATGCTCTCAAACTCCTGACCTCAAGCCACCTCGGCTTCCCAAAGGGCTGGGATTATAGGCGTGAGCCACCATGCCCGGCCTACAGAAATATTTAAAAAAAAAAATTAGCCAGGCATGGTGGTGGTGTGCACCTGTTGTCCCAGCTGCTAAAGAGGCTGAGGTGGGAGGATCACTTGAACCCAGGAGTACTAGGCTGCAGTAAGCCATGATTGTGCCACTGCGCTCCAGCCTGGGAGACAGAGTGAGACCATGACTGTTGAGAAATAAAAAATAGGCCGGGCGCAGTGGCTCACGCCTGTAATCCCAGCACTTTGGGAGGCTGAGGTGGGCGGATCACGAGGTCAGGATATCGAGACCATCCTGGCTAATACGGTGAAACCCCGTCTCTACTAAAAATATAAACAAACAAACAAACAAACAAAACAGCTGGGCATGGTGGCGGGCACCTGTGGTCCCAGCTACTCAGGAGGCTGAGGCAGGAGAATGGTGTGAACCCGGGAAGCAGAGCTTGCAGTGAGCCAAGATCGCACCACTGCACTCCAGCCTGGGCGACAGAGCAAGACTCCGTCTCAAAAATAAATAAATAAATAAATAATAAAATACAGGCAGACACAGGATAGCTGACACTCGAGGCTGCTGCCCAGTAGGTGCCCCAGGAAGTTGGCTCCCTCACATCTGCCCTGACCTCTTCCAGCTCGTCCAAGCGGCTCACCATCACCATGGAGCTTCCGAGAAAGTCGCCCACTCCAGAAGCAGCCTTACTGCTTTCACAGCTTTTATGATTTAAGGCTGAGTTGTTACTTTGCCCCCAAGGTAGGCCCATAAATCTGCCCTTAGGACAGAGTTACATCCATGACCCAGGCCCCATTCTGCTAAGGAGTTCTTTTGGTTGTTTGTAGGACCTGACCCTTGTAACTTGGTTTAAAGCAGGCTGGACAGTTTAAACCAAGCCCAAGCATATGCAATGTGTAAAATACAGGCTGAATTTACAGCAGGAAGTTGGTTCTCCTCTCGGGACAACCAGGGCCCTTGAGTTTTGGGAACTGGAACAACAGAGGCTCCCAGAGGGGAAGTGACTTTCAATCCAGTTCAGATATTGAGCACCTCTCTGTGTAAGGCTTGCGATACTAGCTCTTTGCTAACAACCGCAGCCCCAAAGGCTGCTCTTAACTGGGCGTGGCCTCACTGCCTCGGCAGGCTTTCACTTCAGGAGCATTGATTGAGCCGCTCTTTGTAAGCAGCAGTGGAATCAAGTAGCAACCGACACAATCAACAGGGAGAGATAACCAAGCACCCAAACCAGCACAGAACTGCAAACTGCGCTGCTATGAAAACACAGATGGGGTGAGGGAGAAGGAATATTGGGGAGGGTGGAGCTGCCCGGCTCGCGGTAAGCAGAGGATCTTTGCAGCGGAGATATTTAAGCTGAGACCTGGAGAAGAGGAACTAGCAGAGCAAAGAAACAGGAGAGCAAGGGAAAAGCATTCCAGGCAGAGGGAACCACATGTGCTAAGGCAATGAGGAAGGAGGAGTGTGGTGTGTTTGAGGAATCTGGCCTGTGCGAGGGGCATACGACAGGAGTTGAAGCAGGCAGGGGAGGAGCTACGCCTTAAGCCTTGGTCGGGGGTTTGCATTTCCTTTTCAGTAAAACTGTCTTTTGAAGGGTTCTCAGCAAGGGAATTCCATGATTAGATTTGTCTTTAAAATGCCATGGGCTGTGGGGGTGAGTGATGAGCGGAAGCTGGAAGGCCACAGGGGAGCCCCAGGGGTGGGGCTTGGGGTGCAGGTCTGATGTGGGAAGTGTAGGAAATTACTCTCAGTATTTAAACTGACAAGGGTTAATACAGGGAATTAGGAGCTTATGGGATAGGCTGAAAACAATGGGCTGGGGATCCGGGAATGGCTGACCCACCAAAAAGAGCCAAGTCAGGAAGGTGGGATCAGGGGGCCTCCACTAGCATTACTGAGTTCAAGAGTGTGCAGCTGCGGGGTGACCAGGGGTTCAGAAAACAATGTGACCACTCCTGCAACAACTTCCTCCTGGCGCCCACAAACCGAGGCGCAGACACGGAATGAGCTCCGTCTCCATGAACTTGCCAGAAAACAAAATAGGGGGAAGACTATTAATCCACCTGACTTCAGCCTTCCCAAACGGAACATCTGATTGAAGAAGCCCAGTCTTCTTCCAGGACCCCAGTTCCCAGAGAGTTTGAGAAACAGTTTTTACCTTGCCAGTCTGCAGACCCAGAGGAAATGCCAAAGAGGAGGCCTAGCCCATCCCATTCCCAGCACCCAAGAGGGGAGAAGGAGAAACACCGGGGAGACCTGGCTTGTCGGTGGAGTAGGTGTGGAGACGCAGGCTGGCCCCCAGGGCTCTGATTTATACAGTGGGTGGATGGGGGGAGGGAAGGAAGGAAGGAAGACAGGATGCGAGGGCAGGCTAGGGGTCCAGCTGTGGGGGCCCATGCAGAGCTCCAGAGGCTCTGGCCTTTTCCAGCCCTGTGGTTCAAGGGGACCGGGGGGCAGTGCTTCTCTATAGATCACTGACCCACAGGGAGAGAAATCAATTAAAGCCTGTTTACTCACTGAAAAATAACTTAGGCTGGAATTTTTCAAGGGGGAAAAGAAAGCCCCAAAGCACAATGCATCTGCTGGCCACTGGCTCTATTAATAACATAGAAAGCCATCGCCAATAAACAGAACAAGTGTGAAATACACACAGTGCCTCTATTAAAAGGGAGGAGGGGGTGGGAAGACAGACATACCAGGGACGGGAAAAGAAAAAACTGACACACCAGGAGGAGGACAGGAAGAGACTGCGAGAGACAAGATGGGAGAGCTGGGTCACAGGCAGGATGAGAACTAGTGAATAGGCAGCTGCAGTCAAAGACACAGATGCGAGGAGGTGCGAGGAGTGATTTTGCTCTTTGTCCCCTAAGTAGGAGCTCTGTTTGATTCACTGTAAAGGCTATCCCATGCTTCTGAAAGCAGTCTCTAAATCCTCAGCTGAGTTGCTGACGTGACCTGTACCAGCTGGAACAGCCTAGATGCACTTCTCAATCTGCTTCCCAGTGACCCACATGTGGCCATGTCTCATAGCTTTGAATAGTGAGCTCTTATTGCACACACTTGCTGGGAGGTCAGTGGATGAGTTTCATCTTTAATTCTTTATTCTCTCCCCTGCCTTGCCTAAGGTAACCATTATTAACTAATGAGTGTGTATCTCCCATTCCTTTCTTTGTGCTCACGTAACATATCAACACAGCTAGCTGGACTGATAGGAGGAGTGGCAGGTTTCAACAGAGACATACAAGTACAGTTCAAAGCCCAAAGCCATGTGTAACACACATACCATGCTGATCAGGGGAATATGGTCGCTCAAGAGGGAGGGCTTATGTCGGGCTGGAATGCTGGGAAAGTGGCATCTCAGGCGGAAGTTGAAGGATTAAGTGTCCAGAGGCAGAGTGTGGGGAGGAATACATTCCAGGTAGAAGGCAAAGCAAGGAGACAGCTGGGACATGGCAGATAACATGGTGTAACTGCCAGGAAGATATATGCAGAAGGGTGGTGGCTTTTGAGTAGAGGAAGATCAGGGCCAGAGAGCCAACTTAAGAAAATCAGCGTTCGTTACAGCGCACTGAGCAACCAGGATGAAAGCAGAAAAACTCTAGCAGTTCAACAGCCGATCTCAGGACCGTGCTTACAGATCAAGTAACTGGACTAAATCAGCTCCAGGGTCTCTTTTCACTCAAATTCTATGATGCCCACCAAATCAGTAAATCTAAATACCACCTCTTCCCACCTTAAAAAAGAGATGTTCCATGAAGAGTGTCTTGGTACCCAGTTGGCTCATCATTACTGAGCTCTGGGTGCCCAGTGGTGGCTGCCACATGGGAGCACTTGATATTTAGTGAACTGAATTAGTTGCTTTTTTGGTCTCCTATATAGTTCACTGTGGAAACAGACTGATGATTCCGTTACAACATAGTCAGTACAATGAAGGAACACCCAGACTATGGGCACACAGTGACTCTCCAGGGAACAGTTTCAGAGACAAAGAGACAAAGAAGGTCAAAATTTTTTAGAGAATTATACAGGCGGTGAGAAGTTAAACTTTTTAGCTATGAGGGAGGGAGGGAGGAAAGGAAGTAGGAAGCAGGTAGAGCTCTTGAATTCAGTTAACCACAAAACACAGTTAACCATGTCACTACACTATTATGTTTTAAACAGGGAGACCAGCTTTCCACTTTAATTTTTCCTTCTGGTGGGGAAATGTTACAGTTGGCTAAAGCAGCCGAAAGACCGGCTCCAAAATGAGAAATCAGGGGAAAAGCATAAACTCAAAATAGATGATTTGGCTTCAACAGCTTTTCTTTTTTTAGTTAATTTTTTTTTTTTTTGAGAGACAGGGTCTCACTCTGCCCCCTAGACTGGAGTGCAGCAGCGCAATCACAGCTCACTGCAGCCTTGACCTCTTGGGCTCAAGGGATCCCTACCTCAGCCTCCCAAGTAGCTGGGACCATAGGCACATGCTATCATGTCTGTCTGATTTTTGTATTTTTTTGTAGACACGGGGTCTCACTATGTTGCCCAGGCTGGTCTTGAACTCCTGGACTTAAATAATTATCTTGCCTCAGCCTCCCAAAGTGCTGTGATTACAGGCATGAACCACCGTGCACAGCTGGCTTTCACAGCTTAAATTTTTTTTTCTTAATATAAAACATAAAAACTGTGTATGTATAGACCCACGTTCATAACAGCATTATTCACAATAGCTAAAACATATAAGCAACCCAAGTGTCCAATGACAGATGAATAAGCAAAATGTGGTAGATACATACAATGAAATATTACTCAGCCTGAAAAAGGAAGGAAATTCTGACACATGCTACAACATGGATGACCTTTAGGACATTATGCTAAGTTCTAATAAGAGAGTCGCAAAAAGACAAATACTGTATGAGCCGACCAATATAAATGAGGTACCCAGGGTAGTCAAAATCATAGAGATAAGAATCAGAATGGTGGTTACCAGGGCTGGGAGAAGGAGGGAATGGGGAGTTATTGTTTAATGGGTATACAGTTTCAGTTTTGCAAGATGAAGAGTTCTGGAGATGGATGGTGATGATGGCTGCACAACAATATGAATGTACTCAATTCATATTGTATTGAACTGTACATTTTAAAAATGGTTAAGATGGCCAGGCCTGGTGGCTTACGCCTGTAATCTCCCAGCACTTTGGGAGGCTGAGGTGGGCAGATCACTTGAGGTCAGGAGTTCGAGACCAGCCTGGCCAACATGGTGAAACCCCATCTCTACTAAAAATAACAAACATTAGTTGGGCGTGATGGTGTACGCCTGTAATCCCAGCTACTCAGGAGGCTGAGGCACAAGAATCGCTTGAACCCAGGAGGCGGAGGTTGCGGTGAGCCGAGATTGCGCCGCTGCACTGCAGCTTGGGTGACAGAGTGAGAATCTGTCTAAAAAAAAATAGGCTGGGCACGATGGCTCGTGCCTGTAATCCCAGCACTTTGGGAGGCCGAGGTGGGCGGATCGCCTGACACCAGGAGTTCGAGACCAGCCTGGCCAACGTAGTGAAACCCCATCTCTACTAAAAATACAAAAATTAGCTGGGTGTGGTGGTGTGTGCCTGTTCCAGCTACTTGGGAAGCTGAGACAGGAGAATCGCTTGAACCCCAGGAGGCGGAAGTTGCAGTGAGCCAAGATTGTGCCACTGCACTCCAGCCTGGGCGACAGAGCAAGACTTCGCCTCAAAAAACAAAATTAAAAAAAAAAATACATACAATGGTTAAGATGGTAAATTTTGTTATGTGCATTTTGTAACAAAAATTTTTAAATGCATGTTTGATTACTACACACATACAAAGTAAAAAATAAAACCAATAGATGCAGTGTCTCACATCTGTAATCTTAGCACTTTGGGAGGCTGAGGCAGGAGGACTGCTTGAGCCCACCAGCCTGGGCAATATAGGGAGACCCCGTTTCTACAAAAGAAATTTAAAAATTAGCTGGGCACGGTGGCTCATGCCTTGAATCCCAGGAATTTGGGAGGGTGAGGCGTGAGGATCTCTTGAGCCCAGGAGTCCAAGACCAGCCCTGGCAACATAGCGAGACCCTGTCTCTAGAAAAAATACAAAAATTAGCTGGGCATGGTGGTGTGTGCCTGTGGTTCCAGCAACTCAGGGGGCTGAGGTGGGAGGATCGCTTGAGCAAGAAAGGTCAATGTCGCAGTGAGCTATGAAAACGCGACTGCACTCCAGCTTGGCTGACAGAGTGATAACCCAATCTCAAAAAAAAAAAAAATTAGCTGGGCACGGTGGTGTGTACCTGTGCTTCCAGCTACTCAGGAGGCTGGATTGCTTGAGGCAGGAGGATCCCGTGAGCCTGGGAAGTCAAGGCTACAGAGAGCTGTGTTCAAGTCAGCCTGGGTAACAGAGTGAGACCCTATCCCCAAAAAATAAAAATACAAAATAAACCCAATCACCCAAATCCTAGTTTGCAGAGGCAAACTACATTACATTTGTGCTCATTTTATCACAGTCCCTCTTCATGTTAAAACCATTTATAAAATCTATGGTTTTATATCTGGTGGATTGCACATAGGTAGCCCATAAAACTCCCAAGAGGAGACTCTTTTGCCATACAGAAGAGTTAGCTCCCCTTACAATGCCCCACCCATTTCCGCAGGGAACTACTGACAGTCTGATGTGCATCACTATCAGTTGGGAATAGGTCCATTTCGAGTTACCAACATCCCTGTACAGTGGCTCACATGTGCAGCCCAGTGGTAGTGAGTTCATGATTGATAGTGCCTGACCAATGACTGTAATTCTCTTAGCCTTTTCTTTAGGTGGTGGCCGCCGCCCTGGCCATCACACAGGTTTTCAGGCAGGCAAAAGGAGGGCTGTATTCTGAAGTTCTATCTTTTTATTAGGGAAGAGAAGCTTCTCTAGTAACACATTTCCCTTTACATTTCACTGGCCAGAACTGGGTCGCATTCCCCCAACTCTGCAGATCCACCACTGGCCGAAGGGAGTAAGATTGCCTTGGTTGTTCAACCAATCAGGATTCACTTCTCAAGCTAAGGTAGATTCTTTCCCTCTCCTCAAGGCATCAGAAGATTTCTACTCTATATCTGAAAAGAAAAAAACTGAGGCTCTGTAAGGAAAGAACATTGGTTGTTGAAAGAGTAGTTGGGGTTGGGTATGGTGGTTCACGCCTGTAATCCCAGCACTTTGGGAGGCTGAGGTGGGTGGATCACTTGAGGTCAGGAGTTAGAGACCAGCCTGGCCAACATGGTGAAACCCTTTCTCTACTAAAAATACAAAAATTAGCCAGGCGTGGTGGCACACGCCTCTAGTCCCAGCTCCTTGGGGGGCTGAGGCAGGAGAATCACTTGAACCTGGCGGTATAGGTTGCAGTAAGCAGAGATCTTGCCACTGCACTCCAGCCTGGGTGACAGAGGGAGACACCATCTCAAAAAAAAAACGAATAGTTGGGTAGGCAACAAAGTGACTGCCACAGGGAATGCACACACACGCACATGATATACAATAGTGTATCCAACTATTTCCCCTAGGTGGTTTCTAGAAGGTACTTATGACACATAACCCAGATTTTACTAAGTTTAATGTTGAAAAAGCACCCCATAAAGTGTATATTGATCACACATCTGAATATCTCTAAACCATAAAATGGAGTTAACAGTACCTACACCTCACGGCTGTGCCAACTGAATGAGTTAATATGTGTGCTTAGAACAATGCCTGGCACATGGTAAGGGCTACATGAGAGTTAGCTGTTATTATTAATATCAAGCTGGCAGGTAACAAATATGTTGAATGAGAGTCAAGACACGCCCCCCCCAACATCAGTAGGTTCATATGACAGATATATCTAATAAGATGAAAATGTACACATTACATTTATTATGTAATAAGTAAGCTACTAAATTTGGACCCTAAAAGAACAATAGTCCAAATATAGGATGAGGAGATGTGACTTAAGAGCTATACATGTGTGAGGGCAGTGGCTAGTTTGTGACTCTGAACACTGGAAGAGATGGGTACTAATGAATCTTTTCAGCATGAACTCACTGCTGGAAATGGCTACTTACTGGAGGCCATGGGTAGAAGCCACTTCTACCACTTCTGGTAGACGCCAGAAGTGGAACAGTTCTATTCTCCATCTAGGAAGCTTTGCATCTAGAGTTTAAAGGTTTGAAGAAAAAAAGGGATAAGCAGAGTCCAAGGGAAATTACTACTTAATGGCTAGAAGAGGTATGTGTGAGCACGTCTATAAAACATCCCTAACTACCTGTAACACAGATTGCACACTGTTCCCTGCTAACGACTGGCTTAATACATCAATCAATAAGACTGGAAATCGTTGTTTTCTATGGACGCTGAATCTGAGCTTGTCGAAATGATTTTCCCAAAACACAGTCTACTTCAAGGATTTCCGCAGCACTAACTCCTTTTGGAATATCCCTTTGAGAACATAATTAGAAATATATATCACTTTCATGTAGTTTGGGGCAAGCAATTTCCTTACCTTCATCACATTATAAACGAAGTCCAAGACTGATTTTTCATTGTGTTTGAAATGGATTTTCTAGAATTATGTCTAATTGCCAGATATCATAGAGATTAATAACACTCAAAAGTCTTAAGGACAAGTAAGCTAAAACTGAGTTCCCAGAGAGTCTGATTCCTTTAAGACTGTGAAGACACTGTTTAGCCAGGTTGAGAAGCATCTTCCCATCATCCCCAACTCTCCGGGCTACAGTGAACAACCATTTATTTAACACTTCACATGTTCCAGACCCAGAGTGCTCAGAACCACAGTGAGCTACAAAAATGCAGAAGAAACATCCTTTCCCCCAGAAGCTTCCAACCCAGTTAACTATCTTCAAGTGATTAAAATAAGACAGCTGACTATTAAGTTAGAAATATTACATGCTATAGGGAAATAGAGCAGGAAAGGAATGAGAAGAAATTCCTTTTAACTGCAGGATCTGGGCAAGCCTTTAGTTCAGGCAGGATCTGAACAGAGTAGAGAGGCAGGTGGATGTGAAGAAGGCATCCCTTAGTGGAGGGATGAAAAATGGAGGGATGTATTCACCAACAACGAAGCGTCTGTGACTTCAGTGTGTGCGTGTGTGTGTGTGTGTGTGTGTGTGGCAGGTGGAGGCTGCTCAGAATAGTGCAGGGGGGAGGGAGAAAAACAGTAAGAGATGAGGAAATGTATTTAGCACCTATTACATGCCAGGAGTGTTGTACGTTATTTCAATCACACTTTATAACAATATTGAACAGTAATATTCCTTTTTTACAGATGAAGAAATTGGCCCAGAGAGATTCAGAAACTCCTCTAAGATCATTTAGCTAGTCAATGGACTAAATAGTCAATAAATATTCAAATCAGGTCTTTTTTCTTTGCCATACCATGTTTGCTTAAAGCCCAGCTAAGGATTCTGGACTACCCTACAGGCAATAGGTGGTGAAGGAGGGCAGAGGCAGTAGCATCAGCAGGTATCTCTGTTCACATAGGGCCCACCGTGTGTCCAGACTGGGCTGACTCTTTTCCCTCTGGAAATAAGAGGCAAATGAGACACCCATCCCTGCCCTCGAAGAACCTCGTGTGCTTTTGTGGGAAAATAAAAACATTAACGGACACATGTATTAAAATGTAAGGACACACGTATTATAATGTAAGTACAATGACAACAATTTGGGGAGAGTGCTATGGAAACACCCTTCCAAGGAAAGTGTCCTAGAGAGGTCATCCAGGCTGTCCTGGAAGAAGTATAAAGTTGAAGAAGGTGGGAAAGGATATTTTAGGCAGAGGAAAAGATCGCTCTGAAAACAAAGATAGGAACTGTCATGGTCCACACACCTCGAGGTAATAGGAAGGACGGGGAATAAGGCTGGAAGGCTTGGGAATGCCTTGCTGAGGAGCTGAAGCCCTGGGAAGCCCCTGAAGACTTTGATCAGGGCAGTGATACGGTTACATGCTAATGCTAGGAAAATCCAGGAGTGCCTTGGGGAAGGAAGACTGGAGGCAGTTAGAGCAGCTGGTCAGCAGAGGTGAGGGGAGAGAGCCAGAGCCCGTGTGAGGACAGCAGTCACAGGCATGGAGAAGAGTTGGGTTTGAGAGATACCTAGGAGGCAAACACATCAGGTTCTGGAGGCTCAGATTTTAAAAGCTTATCACTAATATACCAAATCTCTTAAAAAAAAAAAAAGAAGAAGAAGAAGAAGAAGAAAAAAAAAAGGTCTGGCTAGCAATGTGTCCTCATCTACCCTAAGAAACTAAGTGAACACTGGGTCCTGTCTATAAGCATTAGTCCTGAAGTCAGCAGTGCCTAAATGCAAAGAACAAACACAGATGCTAAGATGTGAGTGGGCAGGCCAGTTCACCTATGAACAAGGGTAAGAAGGAAACAGAACCAGTCCTGGAGAGTACAAACACTGTGCCCTCTTCCTTAATTTGCACACCTGATTCAAGTATTTTACTTACCCTTACAGATTTCTATAACTCCTGAAGACTGATATTTTTATTCGTTTTATTTATTTATTTTTGAGACAGGGTCTCATTCTGTCGCCCAGGCTGGAATGCAGGGGCGTGATTTTGGCTCACCACAACCTCTATCTCTCGGGTATGAGCGATTCTCCTGCCTCAGCCTCCCAAGTAGCTGGGACTACAGGCATGTGTCACCACGCCCAGCTAATTTTTTTGTATTTTTAGTAGAGACGGGGTTTCGCCATGTTGGCCAGACTTGTCTCAATCTTCTGGCCTCAAGTGATCCACCCACCTTGGCCTCCCAAAGAGCTGGGATTACAGGTGTGAGCCACTGCACCCGGCTTATTCCTGTTTTACAGCTGAAAAAATGACAAGTTGATTAGTTACAAGTTTTTCTGATAGTTACACAGGTGATAAATGGCAGAACCAGGACCTGAACCCAAATTTGTATGACTCCACGTTCTGTTCTTCCCATTTACCAGTTTTGCAGCTAAGAACCTTTCTAATTCCCTTGGCAGCTGGTCTACCTTCCAAGGCCCAGAACTCCAAAACAATTTCCACTATCAACCCCCAAGTTCAATGGGAACTTGGAAGAAATGGCTTATAAAAAACAAGTAAAAATTAAAAAGTAGGACCTAATCTTAATCAAGTGCCTAATGTTAATCAACAGCCATCCTCAGCAGCAGTTTCAGTGAACTAATTTGTTGATTTTCCAAGGCTAAATACAGCCCTTTTATACTGAGCGCTCTGAGTTTATTCAAAATATTTACAGATCTATCACCTGATTTATTTTATCTACTCCTGTTTCACACAGATATTAACACTAAAAAAAAAGCCAAACACTGGGATGGGCACTTCTTGTTGTGTTCAACTTTCAAGTCACAGTTGAAATGTCCCTTTCTCATGAAGGCCTTTACCTTGCGAGGCTAGGCTAGATTCTCTGTCCCCAAACTCTCACTTCTTTGTAGGACTTCTATAAATGAATATTAGGTATGGGCTGGGCGCGGTGGCTCATGCCTGTAATCCTAGCACTTTGGGAGGCCGAGGCAGGTTGATCACTTGAGGTCAGGAGTTCCAGACCGGCCTGGCCAACATGGTGAAACCCCATCTCTACTAAAAATACAAAAAAATTAGCCGAGTGTGGTGGCGTATGACTGTAGTTCCAGCTACTCAGCAGGCTGAGGCAGGAGAATCGCTTGAACCCGGGAGGCAGAGGTTGCAGTGAGCTGAGATTGTGCCACAGCACTCCAGCCTAGGCGACAGAGAGAGACTCTGTCTCAAAAGAAAAAGAAATTTTTTAGATATGTATTTTTGAACTATCTGTTCACAGCCGAAGTCCCTCTGGCCTGTAGACTCTGTGAAGCCAGGCTTGCTTGTCTTGTTCTTGTTCACAGCTATATCTATCCTTTGGGCCTTGCACTGCAAGTGCGAGGTAAATGGTGACTGAACAGCTGGTCTCACCTAACTCCCTGTGGGGCGTCACTCCTTTCTGACAAACAGAAAAAAATTCCTATCAGAAAGGTTACTGCCCAGTTTCACAGAGAGGACAAGTTAACTCCCAAATCACATAAGCTCTTCCCACTCCACCACGCTCACCTGCCTCACACACACAAATACCTGAATCGACTTCCTGTATTTTCCACACTGCAATAAATGTGCTTCTGTGAAAACCAGTGTGGCTATGAAAGTTATCGTGGATTGGCCGGGCACGGTGGCTCACGCCTGTAATTCCAGCACTTTGGGAGGCCGAGGCGGGTGGATCATGAGGTCAGGAGATCGAGACCACCCTGGCTAACACGGTGAAACCCCGTCTCTGCTAAAAATACAAAAAATTAGCCAAGTGCAGTGGCGGGCTCCTGTAGTCCCAGCTACTCGGAAGGCTGAGGCAGGAGAATGGCGTGAACCCGGGAGGTGGAGCTTGCTGTGAGCTGAGATCGCGCCACTGCACTCTAGCCTGGGCGACAGAGCAAAACTCTGTCTCAGAAAAAAAAAAAAAAAAAAAAAAAAGGACGTTACCATGGATTAAAGAATTTCTGGCCAGGCTCACGCCTGTAATCCCAGCACTCTAGGAGGCTGATACGAGCAGATCCCTCGAGCTCAGGAGTTCAAGACCAGCCTGGGCAATTTGGCAAAACCCTGTCTCTACAAAAAATAGCTGGGTGTGATGATGCATGCCTGTAGTCCAAACTACTTGGAGGGCTGAGGAGGGAGGATCTCTTGAGCTGGGGAGGTTGACGCTACAGTGAACTGAGATCCTGCCACTGCACTCCAGCCTGGGCAATGAGTGAGACCCTGTCTCAAAAAAAAAAAAAAAAATTCCATTCTGTTTAATTGTGCATTCCATATTTGTTGGGATGGGTGGGCAGTAGGAGCAACTTCAGTACAATTAAGTTGATTTAGCTTCTTCTTTGGAGGGACGTTATACTAGCAAAGCAGAGAAAAACAGAGGCTAATCTATTACTAAAGATTTCAACTTTCTTTATATTTATGGGCAATAATCAGGTTCAATCATTGTAATAAACCACTTGGCCTAAGAAAAAGAATTTAATTAAGGTCTTATAAAAGGACATAAAATACTACATAAAGGGTGCCAGCTTTATAGACGTGAGATTTCACCTATTAACATATAGTTAGGAGGCTGGGTGCGGTGGATGGTGCCTGTAATCCCAGCACTTTGGGAGGCCAAGGCCGGTGGATCACTTGACATCAGGAGTTCAAGACCAGCCTGGCCAACATGATGAAAGCCTGTCTCTACTAAAAATAAAAACGAAATAGCAGGGCGTGGTGGTGCGTGCCTGTAATCCCAGCTACTTGGGAGGCTGAGGCAGGAGAATTGCTTGAACCCGGGAGGCGGAGGTTGCAGTGAACCAAGATTGTGCCACTGTACTCCAGCCTGGGTGGCAGAGTGAGATTTCATCTCAAAAAAACAACAAAAAAACCCCATATAAACATATATAGTATATAGTTAGGGGTCGGGTACAATGGCTTATGCCTGTAATCCCAGCACTTTGGGAGGCCAAGGCAGGTGGATTGCTTGAGCTTAGGAGTTTGAGACCAGCCTGGGCAACATGGTGAAACCCCGTCTCTACTAAAAATAAGAAAATTATCAGGGCATGGTGGTATGCACCTATAATCCTAGCTACTCAGGAGGCTGAGTCAGGAGAATCACTTGAGCCCAGAAGACAGAGGTTGCAGCAAGCAGAGATCACACCACTGCATTCCAGCATGGGTGACACAGTGAGACCCTGTCTAAAAAAAAAAAAACAAACAAACACAGGGTATTTCACCATAATTTAAACTCCAAATCTAATATATGCATTGATTTGGTGGGAAAGTATCCCTTTAATAGCTCAGGTTTCAAAGACTCCACAACCAAGAAGGTATCTATAGTTTAGACAGTTAAGAACATGTACATACCTAGTTTTTCATTTAACTTGGATCCAAACTAGGGGTAACTAATTTGGATGCATGCACAAAAATTTTCATTCTGATTTTTGTAAACATTTCATTGAAAACTGGGCGTGGATGTGAATTGGAACAGGATCACACTACTGAAACTTACATAGGTTTTGCAGTCTCACAAAAGGCAGGAAAGTCAAGCTCTCGCTTTTCACCTCAATCACTACCTTTTTACCACACCGCCATGTGACGTTGAGCACATCTCCTAGGTAGTTTCCTTGTCTGCAAAATGAAATGTGGACTAGATGCCCCATCTGGCTCTAACAGTCTCAATACTGTAACTGATGCAGAGCACCTATTTCCTTCCTACTTGAAGGAACTGCAAAAGAACTAAACATTAGAACCACAAAGCAATTTCATGAGGCAGCCAAATTAGTTCTGATAAGGAAAATTATTTAGCATGAGTTCATGACTTGAATCAATCCCAATCTGTTAGAGATATAGCTGAATCAGATTTAATAGCCTCCCTGTAATCAATAAAGGAGAACACACTGTCTGGACTAGGCAAGGAAGGAGAGGTATCAGCATCTCTTAATAGCCTTTATTCTTCTGCTTACTCTCACTCCTCACCCTCCTTCCTTGAACCCAAGTTTGAGTATTTAATGAAAGTTTCAGAAAATGAATGAATGGGAAATGAGGGAGGTGAGGAGATGGCAAAGGAGTTGTCAGCTGACAGTCCACATCTTTGTCCTGCTGCTGTGCTGAGAAGGTAGTCAAAGGAATATTACTTGTAGAATATTTGTCACTGCATCTCCTCAGCCATTAGTGAGCTCTGATTTCTTGGAGATTCTAGAAAGCTCTGCACAACTGTTGTGATGTATCTAATATTATTTCTTCTATAGTTGCTGATGTTCAATTTTTTTTTTTTGAGATGGAGTTTTGCTCTTGTTCCCCAGGCTGGAGTGCAATGGCATGATCTCGGCTCACCGCAGTGAGAATCGCTTGAGCCCAGAAGACGGAGGTTGTAGTGACTAAGAAATGGTCAAGCAACATCACACAGAATTCCCCTCTGCCATGGTACTTTAAACTTCACGTTTTTGCATGAATCAAAAAGCAAGTGATCGCCAGGCGCGGTGGCTCACTCCTGTAATCCCAGCATTTTGGGAGGCCGAGGTGGGTGGATCATTTGAGGTCAGGAGTTCAAGACCAGCCTGGCCACCCATGGCAATACCCCATCTCTAATAAAAATACAAAAATTAGCCAGGTGTGGTGGTGCGGGCCTATGGTCCCAGCTACTCGGGAGACTGAGGCAGGAGAATCGCTTGAACCCGGGAGGCGGAGGTTGCAATGAGCCAAGATTGCGCCACCGCACTCCAGTCTGGGTGACAGAGCGAGGCTCCATCTCAAAAAAAAAAAAAAAAAAAAAAAAAGCAAGCTTCACGTACAAGGCATCACTTCATGCACAAGGCACTGAGCTGACAAAGCCATGGCCTTTGCTCAGATAGGGTTGAGAGACAATAATCAATTATTGCCAAAATAAAAGGACTCTAGGAATTCAGAGGGAATCCCAATGCATTTTGTACAAACAGAACAGAATAAAAGTAGGGAGGCTAGGTGCACTCCAGCACTTTGGGAGGCCAAGGCAGGAGACCAGACTGGGCAACAGAGCCCTTAAAACCTCATATCCAAAAAAAAAATTTTTTAATTAGCTGGGCATGTGGTGGGGCACCTGTAGTCCTTAGCTCTTTGGGAGGCTGAGATGGGAGGACTGCTTGAATCCAGAAGTTCAAGGCTGCAGTAAGCTATGATTGTGCCACTGCACTCTAGCCTGGGAGACAAAGCTAGACCCTGCCTCAGAAAAACAAAAACAAAAAAACCCACAGCAGTTAAATTTATCCTCACTTTTATTACTATTTTTTAGAGACAGAGTGTCACTCTGTCACCCAGCCTGGAGTGCAGTGGCGCGATCTCGGCTCGTTGCAACCTCCGCCTCCTGGTTTCCATTAACTCACCTGCCTCAGTCTCCTAAGTAGCTGGGTCTACAGGCGTGCACCACCACGCCCAGCTTATTTTTGTATTTTCAGTAGAGACGGGGTTTCACCATGTTGGCCAGGCTAGTCTGGAACTCCTGACCTCAGGTGATCCACCTACCTCAGCCTCCCAAAGTGCTGGGATTATGGGTGTGAGCCACCACGCCCAGCCTATCCTCACTTTTAGAATCCCATGATTCTGAAACTGCAATTTGACCTGTCCTTTTAAAATAATTTTTACCTTTAGCAAGTGCAAGCAAGCGAGAGCCACACGACACATTATCTTTGCATGTCTAGTCATAAGATACTCCACCGTTAAACAGTAGAAAACAAGAATATCTCCCACTAGAAAAACTTAAGGCCTAACAGGTCACCTCCTATGGGGCAAGTTTAAAAAGCTATTTTCTGGAGCAGGTACTAGGATGGCCTTCAGGAGCATTTTAGTGCTTTCTGACCTACTACCTTTCCTCAAAGCTTTCAATCCTTTTGGGCTTTCTCCACTTGAATGTGAACACCTACAGATCTACAGCTCAGAAACCAGGATGCTTAATGGGTAATTCCCTCATTTCTCTTGCTCTCACAATTGGTGTTTATGGGGAAGTATCAACTACTTGCAGTGCCATTTCCCCATCAATTACTAGAGAGTGGGGAAAGTGAAATTTAAAAAGCATTAAGACATGTAAAAGTTCTCCCACAACTGGTTTCCATTCATGAAATATTTATGCAGAGTTTATAAGCTATAAAGCCAGAGATGACTTAATTCAACAGATTTGACTTTTCCAAACTGAGTGGGTGCAGTACTCCAAGGGGAATTATTCAGGTTTCAAAGCTCAGATTCAAAGAGAAAACGATCTAATTTGTCACTCCTTACACTAATATTCTCAAAAGTCAAGTCCAATGCGATTTAGCAATAAGAAGGGACTAGGATTTATAAAGTTGCCTTTTAATGAGAATGTATAGTCTACTTGTTTTAACAAGTTGAGCCTAAGATTAATGTATTGCGTACAGTTCAGAAAATCATGGGCCTCAACTGCATGAACACTATTACAAAACAGTAAATGTTGATAATATTTAAGTTGAACAAATTCACAGAGGCGTTAAATCGGCCAAACGAGTACAACAAAGACACACCTTTCCAACTCTTCAATTTGTCATAGTTTCCTTAAAAATCAGGAAATCTTTGTTTTGCTTTAAGGCAAATTGTCAGGTCGACCAAAAGGACAGATAAGAGCAGAAACACTTCGCTGCAATGTAACTCATTCAGGAAGGTTTAACTTGCCGCTAATCCGTGCCACAAAAAAAAATCTAGGCTCTGTTGCAGGTACAATGGAGGACACGGCTGAAAAAATTTGGAATTTTAAATGAGACAAATGCAAAACCTGGTGGGCGTAAAAAGGAGCACCTATGAAAGTGACAAATAGGGGGAAAGGGTGGGCAAGGGAAACAATGGCTGACTGGAGAGCAAAGAAGGGGAAGCTCAGGAGAAAATTTTAGAAAGCCGCCAGGACCCTGTAGTTCTAAGATCTACGGGGAAACAGGCACCCAACGGCTGCGTCTCAGGTTTCCGCGGGTCACTAAAGAATAACGGACATCCTCCCAACGGTGGCCCTGGGGCTCCGCGGGCGCTTCCGCCGAGCTCGCGCCGACCCCGCGCTCGGCCCCGCACCCCGCCGGGCGCTCGCGGCGAGATACCGGACGCTGCCCGCGTCGCCCGATTTTGTCCGTTCGGTCCTCCACACTCACCCCGCGGCCATCGCTCGCCCGAAGCCAGGCGACAAGAACAAACACCTCCCGACGCGAAAAAGGAAGCACAGGCGATTCTCGTCAAAGCAGACTTTATTGGGGCGACAGGGCCGCCCCGCACGCGCCAGCCGCTCCCCGCGCGGCCCCCGGGCCGCCCACCCGCCTCAACCCCGCTCCCGGCCGGCCCCTCCCTCCCTTCTCCTCAGGCTCCCGCCCCCGTGGTGCCCGGGGCCGCGCGGACCGCTCACCGGCTCCCAAGGCAGCGGCTGTAGCGGCGACGCCCCGTTCCCGAGTGCGGCCCCGGCCCGAGGCGGCGGGTTTTGTGGCTGTTGCACCGCGAAGGGCGGCAGCCGCGCGACACCGGGAAGCGGGAGGCGGTGGCGGCGGCGGCGGCGCGCTGACGTCACGCGCCGCGGGCCAGCCAGGGCGCGTGCGAGCCGCCCCGCCCCCGGTCCCATCGGCCCCAATCCGGGAGGAGCCCGGCGAGTGGGCGGGGCCGCGGAGGCCAGCGGACAGATCGATTGGCCGAGAGGAGAATCGAGAGGGCGAACGGGCGAGTGGCAGCGAGGCGGGGCGGGCTGAGGCCAGCGCGGAAGTCTCGCGAGGCCGGGCCCGAGCAGAGTGTGGCGGCGGCGGCGAGATCTGGGCTCGGGTTGAGGAGTTGGTATTTGTGTGGAAGGAGGCGGAGGCGCAGGAGGAAGGGGGAAGCGGAGCGCCGGCCCGGAGGGCGGGAGGAGGCGCGGCCAGGGCGGGCGGTTGCGGCGAGGCGAGGCGAGGCGGGGAGCCGAGACGAGCAGCGGCCGAGCGAGCGCGGGCGCGGGCGCACCGAGGCGAGGGAGGCGGGGAAGCCCCGCCGCCGCCGCGGCGCCCGCCCCTTCCCCCGCCGCCCGCCCCCTCTCCCCCCGCCCGCTCGCCGCCTTCCTCCCTCTGCCTTCCTTCCCCACGGCCGGCCGCCTCCTCGCCCGCCCGCCCGCAGCCGAGGAGCCGAGGCCGCCGCGGCCGTGGCGGCGGAGCCCTCAGCCATGGCCTCGGGCGACACCCTCTACATCGCCACGGACGGCTCGGAGATGCCGGCCGAGATCGTGGAGCTGCACGAGATCGAGGTGGAGACCATCCCGGTGGAGACCATCGAGACCACAGTGGTGGGCGAGGAGGAGGAGGAGGACGACGACGACGAGGACGGCGGCGGTGGCGACCACGGCGGCGGGGGCGGCCACGGGCACGCCGGCCACCACCACCACCACCATCACCACCACCACCACCCGCCCATGATCGCTCTGCAGCCGCTGGTCACCGACGACCCGACCCAGGTGCACCACCACCAGGAGGTGATCCTGGTGCAGACGCGCGAGGAGGTGGTGGGCGGCGACGACTCGGACGGGCTGCGCGCCGAGGACGGCTTCGAGGATCAGATTCTCATCCCGGTGCCCGCGCCGGCCGGCGGCGACGACGACTACATTGAACAAACGCTGGTCACCGTGGCGGCGGCCGGCAAGAGCGGCGGCGGCGGCTCGTCGTCGTCGGGAGGCGGCCGCGTCAAGAAGGGCGGCGGCAAGAAGAGCGGCAAGAAGAGTTACCTCAGCGGCGGGGCCGGCGCGGCGGGCGGCGGCGGCGCCGACCCGGGCAACAAGAAGTGGGAGCAGAAGCAGGTGCAGATCAAGACCCTGGAGGGCGAGTTCTCGGTCACCATGTGGTCCTCAGGTGAGCGCCGGCCGCGCGCCCCGGCCCCGGGATGTTTTTGTTTTGAAGGGAAGCCATGTTTTATGTGTGTGATGGGCGCCGCCATCTTCTTCGCCAGGGCAAGTATGGCGGCCCCAAAAGATGGCGGGCCGTGCGGCGGCGGGGGCGCGGCGGCGGCGGCGGGCGGCGGGCCGCGAAGATGGCGGCAGGCCGCGGGGGGGAGGGGCCGGCGCCGCCCGGCTAGGCCGCAATGGCGTAGTTTCTCCGAGAGGGGGAAGCGCCGCGCGGGGCGGAGACGGCCGGGGGAGGGGCCGGCGCGCTCGCTCCCCGACGCCCTCGCTCCCCGCGCCCGCATCAACGGGCGCGCCCGCCGGCCCGTTGTGGCGGCAGCTGCGCGCCCCCGGCCCGGGCGGGACGCGGGAGGTCGTTGGCGGGGCTGCGCCGCGGCCTCGCGGGCCAGGGATTGCTGCCTCCGGGACGCGCGCCCCCGCCCCCGCCCGGCGCTGCCGTTACCCCATCGGCCGCTGGAGGGCGCCGCGGGCGCTTGCCCCGCCCGCCCCCAACTTCCCCGGACTCCCAACTGCTCCCCGGTGGCACCTTCCAGAAGGAGGGGGCTTGGCACTCGTGGGCGCCCTCCGGCCTCCTTGCTCCCCGCCCACCCAGCGCCGGGCTGGACCCTGCCCCGGCGGTCACGCTCGCCCAAGTCGTCGTTTGCTGCGGGGCGGGACTTGGGGCTGCACGTAGGGCTCGCGTGTGCGGGCTCCGAGCGTCAGTCGGAGCCTGTCACCGCCGTTGCCAGCGAATTCCTGGCCTTTTCGCCTTCCTGCGGTACCTAGTGGAAAGGGCCTGTGAATGTTAGCGAATAATTCTTAGTCACTTACGTTTTGGGAAAGCTTTTTTTTTTTCCCTCAAGTATTTAGCTCTTCTGAATAGGTTGGGTTAGTTTACTCAACTGTGGACATTTGCCAGTAAATAAAATCGGGTAGTTTAATTTTAAGCCTTTATGGTTTTTACTTTGTAGAAAGGTATCTATTTTCCCCATGAAAAGAACGATAATAGAAAGCGGGTTTTTTTGAGTTTTGTTTTACTGTTTTAATACTACTTTTAACGAAGGCCTGAAAACCATCTAGAGCAAAAGGATCTTATCTGCCTGTGTAAAATCTGTTTTTACTTCAAAGGCAATTATTAATTCAATGCTGGTTTTTTAGGTCAGTATCCTATTAGTATATTCATATGCTACCTAGCTAAATTGCTGAGATACTAAATAGACTGAGAATAA
Source organism: Homo sapiens (assembly GCF_000001405.40). Classification (NCBI taxonomy): domain Eukaryota; kingdom Metazoa; phylum Chordata; class Mammalia; order Primates; family Hominidae; genus Homo; species Homo sapiens. Next base: position 100,241,182 of record NC_000014.9, read on the forward strand.
TCCTGCCATCGTAGTTAATCTAATGCCTGTGATGATTACGTTTAGTACTCCATATAAGCGGTGGAACCTCTTCCCTATAAGTACTTTAAAGCTTCATAAATTCTCAGAACTGAATGGAGACTCAAAATATGGTGACCTTTGAGTATTAAAAGATCGTTAAAATTCGGAGGAATGAATGAAACAGAAATGAAAAGGCTGGACTGAAAAAGCTAGTTTGTATCTGGTGAAAGCCTCAAGATGAGACAACTACAGCTGGGTGGATCTGTGATTGAAAGAGGCCTGAGCAAAGGGATCTAGGAGCTGTCAAAATCTAATAGGAAGGTGCTAACAGGCGCTGTCCTGCATCCAGGGTGCCTTGTAGAATTCATAGCAGTTTGAGTTTAGCAGAAACTATGTTTAAATGAAACATGAATACTTTAGTACTTAATGGTTATCAAAAGATAATTTCCATGTATTTTGGTAGCTCAAGAGATTACATACTGATCATGTTGGAACTAAAAGTCATGGTTTTGGCCGGGCGCGGTGGCTCACGCCTGTAATCCCAGCAGTTTGGGAGGCTGAGGCCGGTGGATCACTTGAAGTCTGGAGTTCGAGACCAGCTGGCCATCATAGTGAAACCCCATCTCTACTAAAAATATAAAAATTAGCCAGGCGTGATGGCGGGAGCCCGTAATCCCAGCTACTCGGGAGGCTGAGGCAGGAGAATCGCTTGAACCCAGGAGGCAGAGGTTAACAGTGAGCCGAGATTGCACCACTACACTCCAGCCTGGGTGACAGAGCGAGACTCTGTCTCAAAAGGGGGGGGGGGGCATTTTTTTTTGTTAATACCAATGAGTAAGGGATGGGGGTTTTAGTTATTGATGAATTTGCAGAATTCAGAATACGATTTGAAATAAGATATTTAGGTAAAGATACATTAACCACAAAAGTAAATTTACTTTTTCTCATAGTGTGTGGAATTAGAGGAATTTAGAAAACCGACATATTTTTACATGATCTGCATTTTATCTTAACAAATTGCTGGTCCACTTTTCCACATCCAGAGAAGCTGGTAGTGTACGGCTTTGCTTGCTGAAGTGGTATGTATGGAGTCAGCCAGTTAGGGGAGAAAGTCTGAGGGGCTTGACTGATGGAAGTCAATTTACAATTAAGTGAGCATTTACAAGTGTGCAAGTGGCTGTTTTGTTTTGTTTTTTGTTTTTTTTTTTTTTTTTTTTTTTTTTTTGAGATGGAGTCTCGCTCTGTCGCCCAGGCTGGTGTGCAGTGGCATGATCTCGGCTCACGGCAAGCTCCGCCTCCCGAGTTTACGCCATTCTCCTGCCTCACCCTCCCGAGTAGCTGGGACTACAGGCGCCCACCACCACGCCCGGCTAATTTTTTGTGTTTTTAGTAGAGACAGGGTTTCACCATGTTAGCCAGGATGGTCTTGATCTCCTAACCTCGTGATCCGCCTGCCTCGGCCTCCCAAAGTGCTGGGATTACAGGTGTGAGCCACCGCGCCCAGCCAAGTGGCTGCTTTTAAGGTGGCACAGTTTGGGGTTGTTTTCACGTCCGTTTCTTTTCTTCTCTTTTCTTTTTTTAATTTGAGACAGAGTCTTGCTCTGTTGCCCAGGCTGGAGTGCAGTGTCACGATCTTGGCTCACTGCAACCTTCACCTCCCGGATTCAAGGGATTCTCATGTCTCAGCCTCCCAAGTAGCTGGGATTGCAGGCATCCACCACCACCCCTGGCTATAATGTCCATTTCTTTAAAGCGCTGGTTGTCTAGCTAGTGTGGTAGAGTACGCTGTGCATAAGGGTAGTTATAAATATTTGATGGCAGTAACATAGGATGGCCTGTTTCTCGGACATGTGTTTTGTGGTAAACTATCCCCCTTACTTTTCCTTGTGATTTGGAATTATTACTAAAGAGAAGCTAAAGAGCTTATGGATAACTCTGCATTTCCCAAGCTGAAATTCTGAAGGTGATTTCATCTTCAGAACTGAAATGACGTGATATACTCAGTATAATTCCATAACAAGTGGAGAAATGAAAGTGGGTTAATTGTTGGGTAAATCTGTATGTATGTGTACATATGGGTTGAGCATGGTGGGCAGCATTACTGCTTTCGTGTACTTGATCTCATTTGATCCTAGGCATGAAGGTTTTAACTACACTTTAGTTTCACTAAAATAGCCCCTTAGTTTGGAATGAACTGTGAAGTAACAGTTTTGCATAAGCCCCAAGCTGAGTTACTTGAAGTCCTTATAAAAATAGTTGTACATACAGGGTATTCCCCGAGGGTCTAGTTACTTCTTAGACCCTCTTGGTTTAAAAAGCAAAAAGATCAGGCTGGGTGCAGTGGCTCACACCTGTAGTCCCAGAACTTTGGGAGGCCAAGGCAGGAGGATCGCTTAAGCCCAGGAGTTCGAGATGAACCTTGGCAATATAGTGAGACCCCGTCTCTGCAAAAAAACAAAAAACCCCACAAAAATTAGCCAGTCATGGTAGCACATGCCTGTAGTCACTCTCAGCTACTTGGTAGATTGAGGTGGGAGGATCTCCTGAGCCTGGGAAATCGAGGCTGCAAGTCAGCGGTGATTACACCACTGTACTCCAGCCTAGGTGACAGTGAGACACTGTCAAAAAAAAAAAAAAAAATTGGCCGGGCGCGGTGGCTGACGCCTGTAATCCCAGCACTTTGGGAGGCCGAGGCGGGTGGGTCACGAGCTCAGGAGATCGAGACCATCCTGCCTAACACGGTAAAACCCTGTCTCTACTAAAAATACAAAAAGAAATTAGCCGGGCGCTGTGGCGGGTGCCTGTAGTGCCAGCTACTCAGGAGGCTGAGGCAGGAGAATGGCGTGAACACGGGAGGCGGAGCTTGCCGTGAGCCGAGATAGCGCCACTGCACTCCAGCCTGGGCGACAGAGCAAGACTCCGTCTCCAAAAAAAAAAAAAAAATTAGTGGGAGTCATCATATTTCTGGAAACCAAATGGGTTTCTTTTGCGCACATGCCATGTTCCTTTAATTTCCCACAGTAAGAGCACTCTGGTGGGCATCTTTTGAATGTAATATCAGTATAGGAATCTAATAGTTTTTTAGTAGTTTTAGGCCTTATAGGATCCTTAGAGATTGGCTTTTTTTTTCCTTTTTTACTTTTTTTTTTTTTTTTTTTTTTTGAGACAGGGGTCTCACTCTGGCACCCAGGTTTGAGTGCAGTGTGAGATCTCGGCTCACTGCAACCTCCACCTTCCGAGTAGCACGTGCCACCATGCCTGGCTAATTTTGTTGTATTTTTGGTAGAGACGAAGTTTCGCCATGTTGCCCAGGCTTGTCTTGAACTCCTGATCTCAGGTGATTCACCCACCTCGGCCTCCCAAAGTGTTGGGATTACCAACCTGCCCGCCCCACTCCCCACCCCTTACTTTTTTTTTTTGAGGCAGGGTCTCATTCTGTCACCCAGGCTAGAGTGCAGTGAGACAGTCACGGCTCACGGCAGCCTCAACCTCCCGGGCTGAAGCGATCCTCCCACCTCAGCCTTCCAAGCAGCTGGGACCACAGGCTAATGTTTTAATTTTTTAGGCATGGGGTCTCCTTATGTTGCCCAGGCTGGTGTCAAACTCCTGGGCTCCAGCAATCCTTCCTCAGCCTTCCAGAGTGATGGGATTATGGGTGTGAGCCACTGTGCCTGACCTCTTTATTTTTTCCTAAATTTTTAATTGTCATACACATGTTTAGTTTCTTCTGTATTTATTTTTATTTATTTATTTTTTATTTCTTATTTTTTTTTGAGACAGAATCTCGCTCTGTCACCCAGGCTAGAGTGCAGTGGCACGATCTCGGCTCACTGCAAGCTCCACCTCCCGGGTTCACACCATTCTCCTGCCTCAGCCTCCAGAGTAGCTGGAACTACAGGCGCCCGCTGCCACACCCGGCTAATTTTTTGTATTTTTAGTAGAGATGGGGTTTCACCATGTTAGCCAGGATGGTCTCGATCTCCTGACCTCGTGATCCGCCTGCCTCGGCCTCCCAAAGTGCTGGGATTACAGGCGTGAGCCACTGCGCCTGTCCTGTTTCTTCTGTATTTAACCTGAATATACTTAACTGTTTAGTGTGTCAGAGAACTCTGTGCATCTGGAGTTTTTTAGTTGTTGCTTTTTAAATTAGAGATGGGGTCTTGCCTTGTTGCCTAGGCTGGCCTTGAATTCCTGGGTTCAGAGTATCTTCCTGCCTCAAATTCCTGAGTAACTGGGACTACAGACACCCAGCTTCAACTATGTTTTGAATAATCTTAATCAATTGCTTTAATGCCAGTGTTTACTTTGGCCTTTTTCACTATATATGATTAATAAACATTTCAGTGTTGATAGATTGGGGCACAGTACTATATATTTTTTCCCTAGATACTAATGCTGTTACATAGGAGTAACAGTTGTTGTGGGGTTTTTTGGGTTTTTTTTGAAACGGAGTCTCGCTTTGTTGCCCAGGCTGGAGTGCAGTGGCGCGATCTCGGCTCACTGCAAGCTCCACCTCCCGGGTTCACGACATTCTCCTGCCTCAGCCTCCCGAGTAACTGGGATTACAGACGTGTGCCACCATGCCCGGCTAATTTTTGTATTTTTAATAGAGTCTGGGTTTCTCCATGTTGGCCAGGCTGGTCTCAAACTCCTGACTTCAGGTGATCCACCCACCCCAGCCTCCCAAAGTGCTGGGATTACAGACGTGAGCCACCGCGCCCAGCCAGGAGTAACTGTTTTATAACTTAGTTAATTATAAACTAAGCCACTTAACCATTGCATTTAATAGGGAAGATAATGATAAAAACTGAGAATTTAAAACATTTAGTTCAGAGAGAAATTTAGGTGATTTTAAAATCTTGAGATTTCAGGTGGTGACAAACTGTGACCCTCTCTAAGGCTGTTGATATTTTAATTCGGAGCAGAAGTTGCATTGCCATGTGCATAAACTGCCGCATAGATGCCTGGAACCCTGGAAACAAGCCAGCATGTCCATGGTCACCCCCACCCCGTTTCCATTTCCATACATGGGTTTTGTGAGGTGAGGCCATCATGTGCATACTGCCTGCCCATGGCTAATGAGGATAGCACAGGTGCGGGGCCAGTGTCCCCCCCATTCTGTCCCGTGCCAGTCAGCACAGCTTGGGTTGTGGGGGACATGTGCCTTCTCAAAGTGCTGGCAGCTGAGTGGCACCTCCTTCACGCCTAGGAGTCGATGGTCCCTCCCCTGGTGTGCCCAGGTTGGCCTCATGCTCCGGGTAGAGAACCCTTGTTTGGACCTTGTGGGGATGTGGGGTGGTGAGACCCCACCTGAGCTGTGACCTTCTGAGAGGAGACAAATTAAACTGCTGAAGGAGAGGCAAAAATAATAATCATTATTCTGTTACACTGAATAGAGAAGCGGCTTGTGCTGGATTAAGCAAAACCTGTAAGACCAGAAAACCATTGATACAAAATCAGTAAATGCAAGGAAGTTGAAATGCATTGAATTTTTCCCAATTTTATAAGTTCAGAAGATGCAGGTTTGCCAAAAATCACTAGTCATGACCGTTTGCCATTCCTCTGTGGGTTTTTCACACCCTCCCTCCCCAGTAGAAACTGCGCTGTTTATCACTAAGATGCTATAAACATGAATTTCCATGGAGCCAAGCTCAAAAAGCCCTCCAAAGTAATCACTTCACCCCCATGACCTACATAGGGTAGCCTAAGTCATAGATCTCGAATCCTGATCTGGTAGCTCTGAAAGGTTTAGCTTCCTAATAAAGCCTCTTGTGCTGTCAGACTCTCCCCTCCAGGTTATTAACCTTGCCTTTTCCCTCCCACTATCAACAACTGACTCCCCCTAGTGGGAAAAGAAAAATCCGTATCAGGAAAAGGTCAGGGTTCCTGTCCTATCTACAGTTAGTATTTTATAGGCTTTTGGAAGAGGGTAAATTTTTTAAAACATCCATGTTGGACTCCTAGGTGGATATTTACAAAAGGCATTTCTATTTTGTTTTTGAAACCTGCTTAACAAGGTCAGTCTGTTTTAAGGCTGGGAAACTTAGGTTATATTAGCAAAGCAGTTATTGCAATGAATGTTACTTAGTATTTGCATTCTTTTATTTAACTCTTGATCTGCTCAGGTGACCATTTTTATTCTCTCTGTGCTCTTACTACTTCCAATAGGAAGAGTAAGCAAAAATGAATTTTTCTTTTTTTCTTTTTTTTTTTTTTTCGAGACAGGGTCTCACTTTGTCACCCAGTCGGGAGTACAGTGGCACAATCTCAGCTCATTGCAGCCTCGACCTCCTGGGCTCAAGCAGTCCTCCTGCCTCAGTGCCCCAAGAGCTGGGACTACAGGCACGCACCACCAGGCATGGCTAATTTTTTGTAGAGACAGGGTTATCAGAATCATGACTTGGATGCAGAAGATAACATTCATGTAATTACTGCAGAGTATTAGGAAGAGCCAAGGGAGATGTTAGAAGTTAGCTGATTGTTGGGGGGCTTGCACCTTTTCATGTGTGATGGACTTTCATAACAGCACGTAAGGGGAGCCAAGCCATTTCCTCGTTCTAAGTATCTTCTCAGTAGGTTCCATTCTGTTTAACTTCATGAATAATTATCAAGAACAGAAAGCCAGCAGCATCATATTTCCTCTCTAGAGGGGACTGACCTTGAGATCTTTCTAAAATGAGTTGGGGTAGCGGTATCCTTAAAGTCACTTTGAATCTTTATAGCAGGAAATTCTATTCCTTTACAAACAGAACAATATACTCAATTTCTTTCTTTCTTTCTTTTTTACAGAGTCTTACTCTGTTGCCCAGGCTGGAGTGCAGTGGTTTGATCTGGCTCACTGCAACCTCTGCCTCCCGAGTTCAAACAATTTTCCTGCCTCAGCCTCCTGAGTAGCTGGGATTACAGGTGTGCACCACCACGCCCGGCTAATTTTTTTTTCTTTTTTTTTTTTTTGAGACAGTCTCGCTCTGTCACCCAGGCTGGAGTGCAGTGGCGCGATCTCGGCTCACTGCAAGCTCCGCTTCCCGGGTTCATACCATTCTCCTGCCTCAGCCTCCCAGGTAGCTGGGACTACAGGCGCCCACCACCACGCCTGGCTAATTTTTTTTCTTTGTATTTTTTAGTAGAGATGGGGTTTCACCGTATTAACCAGGATGGTCTCAATCTCCTGACCTCGTGATCCGCCCGCCTTGGCCTCCCAAAGTGCTGGGATTATAGGCATGAGCTACTGTACCCAGCCTACTCAATTTCTTAAAGCAAGAGTCTTCCATTTTAACATGACCTGGCAAATGAGATATTAGGAACTCTTGAGAAAAAAAAATTTTTTTGAGACGGGTTTTTGCTATGTTGTTGAAACTGGAGTGCACTGGCTATTCACAGGTGTGATCATTGTGCGCTACAGCCTTGAACTCCTGGGCTCAAGCGGTTCTCTGGCCTTAGCCTCCCTAGTAGCTGGGACTAGAGGTGTGTGCCATTCCACCCAGCTTGAGTAAAATTCTTTTTTTTTTTTTTTTTTTTTTTATTGAAACGGTGTCTCGCTCTGTCACCCAGGCTGGAGTGCACTGGCGCGATCTCGGCTCACTGCAAGCTCTGCCTCCCGGGTTCACACCATTCTCCTTCCTCAGCCTCCCGAGTAGCTGGGACTACAGGCGCCCACCACCATACCTGGCTAATTTTTTTGTATTTTTGGTAGAGACGGGTTTCACCGTGTTAGCCAGGATGGTCTTGATCTCCTGACCTCATGATCGGCCCGCCTTGGTCTCCCAAAGTGCTAGGATTACAGGCGTTAGCCATCACGCCCAGCCAAGTAAAATTCTTAATAGCCATTCAGTTACTTTGGTTTTACACAGTGGTTTCAAATGTGGTTTAGCATTAAAACAATATAAATGGTTGTTTGTGATGGACTCTTTCTCGTGTAATTTTTTTTTTTTTTTTTTTTTTTTTTTTTTTTTTTGGGAGACAGAGTTTTGCTCTGTTGCCCAGGCTGGAGTTCAGTGGCACGATCTCGGCTCACCTGCAACCTTCACCTCCTGGGTTCAAGCGATTCTCCTGCCTCAGCCTCCTGAGTAACTGGGATTACAGGCTTGCACTACTACACCCAGCTAATTTTTGTACTTTTAGTAGAGATGGGGTTGCACCATGTTGGCCAGGCTGGTCTTGAACTCCTGACCTCAAGTGATCTGCCTGCCTCAGCCTCCAAAGTTCTGGGATTACAGGCGTGAGACACCGTGCCTGGCTTTCTTGTGTAAATTAATTCCCCTTCTCAAATAGAAGATCTGTGAGTCAGGGAAAGGGGCTGCCATTGCTGTGCAAGAAGCTGTTCTGTTGGTGTCAGGACCTGTCTTTTCAGGAGAGTATTGAACTTTGAATATTGAGTGAATGAATGGCTGGAATTTGTGCTGTAAGGCAGAATCAGGGCTTATACCAAAATACTATTTTGGTCTATTCCTGTATAGGTGGAAAAGAAGTATTAGGGATAGAGAGAAGGTGCAGAAGGTTCTGTTTTAGAAGCAGCATGGGCTTTTAGAGTCAATTCTCAATTCAAATCTCAGATTTGCTACTTACCGTTTTTTTTTTTGTTTGTTTTTGTTTTTGTTTTTGTTTTTTTTTGAGACAGAGTCTTGCTCTGTCGCCCAGACTGGAGTGCAGTGGCGTGATCTCAGCTCACTGCAACCTCCGCCTCCCAGGTTCAAGCAATTCTCCTACTTCAGGTTCCTGAGTAGCTGAGACTGCAGGTGCCTGCCACCACACCTAGCTAATTTTGTATTTTTAGTAGAGATGGGGTTTCTGCATGTTGGTCAGGCTGGTCTCGAACTCCCGACCTCAGGTGATCTGTCCGCTTCAGCCTTCCAAAGTGCTGGGATTACAGGCGTGAGCCACTGCACCCGGCCTACTTACTGCTCTTTAGATACATTGCTTGTCATTTCTGAGGTCAGTTTCTTCAGCCAAAAACATAGGGTTTAATACCTTAAAGATATTGTTTGGATTGAGAAATGTGACAAGTTGCCAGAATGAGACAGGTACTTAATAAAGGATAGTATCCTTTCTTAAGGTCTTTATTAGTGGGAAAAACTGGGAAACAACCTATGTCTGATTTTTGCCTGTTGCTAAGCAGTGAATCGCAAATGTTTAGCTCTCCCCTGTTTCAGTGAAAGGTTGGGTGATGGCAGCGGTGACTCTTTTTTGTCTTTTTTTGCCAGAAGTAACCTGGAGTGGCCTAAGATAGAAGGTGTGGAGAAACAAAATCTAGCCAAACATATACATGCATACATACATAGGTAAATATCTCAGTTGGTGAAGGTGAATATAGAAAATCGGGATCACAGGAAAAATTACCATCAACCCTAATGAGGTTACTGGCAGTCAAAATTAAAAAAAAAGGAACTTATACTACCTTCATCTGATATTAATTCTGAGGAAATAAAATGTTTCTTAGGAATGAATTCCTTTGTGTATGAAGGGGACCACTGAGTGGTAGTACTGGCATTTTTCAGCCAATGTGACAAATTTCACAGTGCTGTCTTAGAGATGCCTAAAAAATGTATTAAGGAACGTGGCTGGGTATGGTGCACTTTTGGAGACTGAGGTGGGAGGATCTGAGGCCAGGAGTTTGAGACCAACCTGGGCAACATAGTGAGACCTTGTCTCCACAGAAAATTAAAAAAAAAAAAAAAAAGGCCAGGCATGGTGGCATGTGCTTTTGTAGCCCCAGCTACCCAGGAGGCTGACGTGGGAGAATCACCTGAGCCCAGGAGGTCAAGGCTGCAGTGAGCTCCACTCCAGCCTGGATGACATAATGAGATTCTGTCTCAAATGAAAAGAGAGAGAGAGAAATAATATATAAGGCCTTTGATTTTTCTGATTAACATATTGACTAACTGGTTGACTGGTTGACTGAATAATGACTCCCAATATAGCCAGATCCTAATTCTTGGAACCTGTGGGTGTTAACCTTATTTGCAAGTGTGATTAAACCAGGGCTCTTGGAATAGGGAGAGTATCCTGGTTTATCCAGGTGGGTACCAAATGTAATCACACAAGTGTCCTTGTATTCACAGGAAGGCAGTGGGAGATTGACTGCCAAAGAGGAAGTAGGAGAGGTGTGAGAGGTTGGAGTCCAGTGAAGAGAAGGGGTCAAGGAATGTAGGCAGCCTTCAGAAGCTAGAATATGTGAGGGACCAGATTCTCCACTAAAGCTGCCAGAAGGAACCCACACAACAACTTTATAGCTCTGAAACTGATTCTCACTGCTGGCCTCTAGAACTATAAGAGAATAAATTCCTGTTGTTTCAAACCACCAAATTGGTGGTAGTTTGTTACAGTGGTAATAGGAAACTAATACATGTGCTAGCATCCCCTGTATAGCTTCATTCTGCAGGAACTTGGCAAGTCCCTGTTATGTGCAAGGCACAAGACCTACTGTTCCCCCTTAAACCTAGGAGAGGGGGGAAGTGGAATAAAGGGGCTTTTTTTGCACACTACTCAATTTCCCAGACATGATGATTGGCATTTAACATGTTACCTTGTTTTAGCCTTATAAGATCAGTGGTATCCTTCCTCCCTCCCTCCCTTTGTCCCTTCCTCCCCTCCCCTCCCTTTGCTTCTCTTTCTTCTCTTTATTTCTTTGTAGAGGCAGGGTTTTCTCTTTGTTGCTCAGGCTGGTCTCTAATTCCTGGCCTCAAGAGATCCTCCTGCCTCGGCCTCCCAAAGTGCTGGGATTACAGGTGTGAACTCCTGTGCCTGGCCTCATTGTTTAATAAATGAGGAAACCAGGCGAGGTTAAGAGTAGAGGCTGGAGTGACAGGAATGAATGGCTTCTTGAAAGGAAGAGATCTTAATTTGGGTTTTGGAGAGTGGACTGGGCTTAGGTAGGTCATGAGAGGAAGGCAAGAGGGTAAATTGTATTGAGTACCTTTTACTAGACACTGAGAAAACCACTTTGCTTGGAGCGTGGAGGGCAGGTGAGACTCCATCTTTTTACTTCTCTGGACTTGTAGAGTGCTTCTAGCCTTTCCATTTATTTAGTTCCTTAATTATATCTTTTTGACTGGAAATTGGAGTCTACAAACTCAGTCTTATGCTTTGCTCCTCAAACTAGACTTGGAGTGATTATTGCTTTGGTAACATAGAAGAACACCGAGCAGCTGGGAGATTGGGATGGGCCAGCGGCTTATTTATACAATACCTTTAACCTTCTGAATAGTACCATATGCAGAAATAGAAACTTTTAAATGTGAGTTAATTGTCCTTCCACATATATGACTAGTGTTGGCTAGATTTTGTTTTTCCACACATTCTATCTTAGGCCAAGTTAGTCTTGGTCTAGTTGTTTTAGGTCATTGCATTTAGCCAGAGTGTGAGTGAGCACTGTAGTCACCTAATCGACAGTTTTGGGTAGAAGTTCCTAACATGATGGTTGCCCACATCACCTTACCCCCTTTGAATCAATGACTGTATTCTCAGCTTTTTCCAAATAGGAATTCTGAGATTTGGCTTTAATTGGCCTTGCCCACTTGTGTTCTGGTAATTAGCAATTGTAAACTTAAGTTATATTGGTTAAAGAAACCCATTGCAGGCCAGGCATGGTGGCTCACACCTCTAACCCCAGGGATTTGGGAGGCCAAGGCAGGAGGATCACTTGAGCCCAGGAGTTCAAGACTAGCCTGGGCAACATAGTGAGACCCCATCTCTACCAGGAAAAAAAAAATCAACTGGGTGTGGTGGTGTGGTGCACCTGTGGTCTCAACTACTGGTGGAGTGGGGTTGCTGGAGGATCACTTGAGCTAGGGAGGTTGAGGCTGCATTGAGCAGTGATAGTGCCACTGCACTCCAGCCTGGACAACAGAGTGAGACCCTGTCTCAAAGGAAAAGAAAGAAAGAAACCCATAGAAACTTCTAATGGGGTTAACTATGTCCTGTGAAACAATAAAAGATCCTGTCCTCAAGGGAAACTCCAGCAGGGAATAGACATACAACAATTTTTTAATGACCTATAGTGGGTCCAGACAATTTTTAAAGCAGATTTAGATACTTTGCTTCCTGAACATGTTTTACCTAGATGTACATTTGATATTACCCCATCGCTAGTCAATAGAAATCAGTAACATTCATAGCATAATTTGACATTCAAAGTGGATCAGTAAACACTCTCCTCTATGTAGCAAATCTTTTTCAGTAGTAATTATGAAGGGAATAGTATTTTTAGTAGCAATGGAGGTTTGCCATGTTAGCCAGGCTAGTCTTTTTTATTTTTTGAGACAGAGTCTCGCTCTGTTGCCCAGCCTGGAGTGCAGTGGCGTGATCTCGGCTCACTGCAACCTCTGCGTCTCAGGTTCAAGCTATTCTCCCACCTCAGCCACCCGAATAGCAGGGATTACAGGTATGTGCCACCATGCCCAGCTAATTTTTGTATTTTTAGTATTGATGGAGTTTCACCTTAACCTCAGGTGACCAGCCTGCCTCAGCCTCCCAAAGTGCTGGGATTATAGGCGTGAGCCAGTGTACCCAGCCAACCAGGGTAATCTTGAACTCCTGGCCTCGGGTGATCCGCCCACCTCAGCCTCCCAAAGTACTGGGATTCAGGCATGAGCCACTGCGCTGGGCCAGGGTTAATACTTTTTAACAAAGATTTTTATTATTATTATTTTTTATAATTTTCTTTTTTTGAGATGGAGTCTCACTGTTGTTGGCTCAGGGTGGAGTGCAATGGCATGATCTCAGCTCACTGCAACCTCTGCCTCCTGGGTTCTAGCAGTTCTCCTGCCTTGCCTTCCCAGTAGCTGAGATTACAGGTGCCCGCTACCACACCTATAATCTTTTTTTTTATATATTTTTGCTAGAGGTGGGGTTTCACCATGTTGGCCAGGCTGGTCTCGAACTCCTGACCTCAGGTGATCCACCCGCCTCGGCCTCTCAAAGTGCTGGGATTATAGGCGTGAGCCACCACACATGGCCAAGATATTTTTTTGAACAAAGAAAGAAACATATGTACATATGGCCTGTAATGTAATAAATAAAAATTACTAGCTTCTTTTACAGCATCATAAATTTCTATTCTATTTGGTAAAAACTTCTGATTTTCTTTTTGCAAAAATTAGCAAAATGGCCAAATGATAGCAAATATTGACATTATTTAATGTATTGCTTTATTGTGTGTCCAGCTTGTGAAAATGAGGCAGGTCAAATATTGTCCTTTTGATTTCTTCTGGCAACAAAAGCCAGTGTCTTTTGTCATTTCTCTAGAAGTCTTTTTGCAGCTTTTTCCTATATGTTTCTTTTCTCTTTTCTTTTCTTTTCGACGGAGTCTTACTCTGTCGCCCAGGCTGGAGTGCAGTGGTGCAATTTCAGCTTACTGCAAACTCTACCTCCCAGGTTCAAGCGGTTCTTTTGCCTCAGTCTCCCGAGTGGCTGGGATTAAAGGCACACGCCACCACACCTGCTAAATTTTGTATTTTTAGTCAAGATGGATTTTTGCCATGTTGGCCGGGCTGGTCTCGAACTCCTGACCTTAGGTGATCAGCCCACCTTGGCCTCCCAAAATGCTAAGATTACAGGTGCGAGCCACCATGCCTAGCCTATTTTATTTATTTATTTATTTTTTTTTTTTTTTGAGTCGAAGTCTCACAGTGTCGCCCGGGCTAGAGTGCAGTGGTGTGATCTTGGCTCACTGCAACCTCCGCCTCCTGGGTTCAAGCAATTCTCCTGCCTCAGCCTCCCAAGTTAGCTGGGATTACAAGCGCCCGCCACCACGCCCAGCTAATTTTTTTTTTTTTTTTTTTTTTTTTTTTTGGTATTTTTAGTAGTGACGGGATTTCACTATGTTGGCCAGGCTGGTCTCAAACTACTGACCTCGTGATCCACCCACCTTGGCCTCCCAAAGTGCTAGGATTACAGATGTGAGCCACTGTGCCCAGCCAGCCTATTTTCTTATATTTTCTTGTTCACAATTTCTGTGCAGTGGTCTTTGGAGAGTTCTAGTTATCTTCCTTGTAGGAAACACTGTTTTTTAAGGAATAAGTCATAAATGTGATAACATGTGTCTTAAATCTGTATCTTACGAGAATGTACAATAACCACAAAAATTATTTCAAACTTAGACCAACAAAATATGTTTTATTTTAAGGCAAGAAACTGATATTATTTGAAAGTGTGGGAGGGCCGGGCACGGTGGCTCATGCCTGTAATCCCAGCAGTTTGGGAGGCTGAGGTGGGCGGATCACCTGAGATCAGGAGTTAGAGACCAGCCTGGCCAACATGGTGAAACCCCATCTCTGCTAAAAATACAAAAAATAGCTGAGCGTGGTGGTGTGCCCCTGTGATCCCAGCTACTTGGAAGGCTGAGGCAGGAGAATCACTTGAACCAGGGAGGCAGAGGTTGCGGTGAGCCAACATTGCACCACTGCACTCCAACCTGGGGGGGACAGAGCGAGACTCCATCTCAGGAAAAATAAATAAATAAATAAGTGTGGAATGTGGTAATGATCAAGAGTACACTTATTTTCAGCCAGTTTTATTATGGTTTTAAAATTATGTACAGACCATGCAGCCTCTCTTGTCTGTGCTTAGGGCAAACTGCTTTTGCTGTATGCCACTTGGCACTTGATACGTCACTGAGTACAGTTTTCTTTAGACAGAGCTAGTTGTCTCCCTACTTGTGGACATCTCTCTTCAGTCTCCTTTGCAAAGTCTTCCTCATTCTCTTAATATTAGAATTGTTCAGGTTTTGATTATAATCCTTCTCCTCTCTGACTGTATTCTTTTTCAGTAGATAATCTTACAATGTCTTTCTGGGGCTTTCAATGCAGTCTGAGTCAGGCATGGTATTGTGGGCCTGTAGTCCCACCTACTTGGGAGGTTGCAGCAGGAGGGTCACTTGAGTCCAGGAGTTTGAGGCTGCAATGAGCTATGATCATGCAGACTATGATCACTCTAGTCTGGTCAACAGAGCCAGACCCTGTCACAAAAAAAAAAAAACATCTATATGCCAGTGATTCTCACAGATTACGATATAATTCTCTCTGACCTAGGTTTCTTATCCCCTATACATGCATATTTAGTTGCCTTTTTGAGGTCTGCCCATTAGATTTTGCACAGATACCTCAAACCAAAGAGGAACTCTAAATCTTCTGCACATCATCTCTTTCACACTCTTGTCCTCCATCTCATCAAATGACACCACCATCTTCTAAAAATTAGAAGCAAGAAACTCAGGTGGCATACTTGGCATCCCTGTTCCTCCCCAACCCATCTGATTAATTATCTAGCCATGTTTATTTCTCCATCCATTAACAGATGGACAAAATGGTATGTATGTACAGAATATTATTCAGCCATGAAGAGGAATGGAATGTTGTTATATGTTACAACAGGTGGGTCTTAAAAACATTATGCTTAGTGAAATAAACCAGGCATGGATGGCAAATACTGTATGATTCAACTGGTATGAGGTACCTGAAATAGGCAAATTCATAGAGACAGAAAGTAGAATTGAGGTTAGCAGGTGCTGAGGGGAAGTGAAAGTTCTTGCATAATGGGTATAGAGTTTTTTGCGGGAATGAAGAAAATATTTTGGGTATAGATAGTGGTGATGGTTACACATTCTGAATGTATTAAATGGCACTGAACTGTACACTTACATATGGTTAAAATGAGAAGTATTATGGTAATGTATATTTTACCACAATTTTTTTTTTTTTTACGAAAACCGTGGAAATATAGAGGTTGGATTTGGCCAACTGGCTGTACTAGTTGATTCCTGATATAGGTCATAAAGTCTTGTCAGCGTCTACTTTAGGCTTCTTTCATATATTTTTTTGGTTTCTGATTCTGAATTATTTTAGTGACCATCCTGAGGGTTCTTGATATTCTTCAGTGTTGGTAGTGTATGCCACTTGCACTTGATATGTCGCTAAGTTCTCTTTAGACAGAGCTAGTTGTCTCCCTACCTGTGGATATACCTCTTCAGTCTCCTTTGCAAAGTATTCCTCAGTCTTTCAATATTAGAATTGCTCAGATTTGGGTTCTGAGCCCCACTCAAGAAGTATTTCCTCATTTGACTTCCCTCACTAGACTGTAAGTTCCTTGAGAGCAGATACTTTGTTTCTAGCTTTTATTCCCAGTGCCCAGAACAATGCCAGGCACATAGGAGGCCCTCAATATGTGTAGAACTAATGATAATAATCATTTAGCCTGTGATTCCTTTATGCCATGAGTTCAGTCTTCTGTCTCAGCACACTTGAGACATGCCCTCTGGGGTAGACTGCATGTTTGTGTCTCTCCCAGATTCATGTGTTGAAATCTTAACCCCCAATGTGATGGTATTAGAGGGTAGGTCCTTTGGAAGGTAATTTAGGTCTGAGGGTAGAACCCTAATGCATGGGATTAGTGCCCTATAAAAGAGACTCCAGAGTGCTAGCCCTCTGGTTCTCTCTATGCTATGTGACAAGACAGTGTGAAGATGGCTATCTGCAAACCAGGGAGTAGGTCCTCACCAAGAACACCACCATGCTGGCACCTTGATCTTGGACTTCTAGCTTCCGAACTGTGGGAAATAAATGTTGCCTTAAGCCACCTAATCTATATTTTTGTTGTAGCAGCCCAAATGGATTAAGACACTTTCATCAGTAGCTTATTCAGAGTAGCACTGATTCTCAACATTGCTATCATTCTGTATCAGAAATATAAAACATGGCCCACACCTGTAATCCCAGCACTTTGGTAGGCCAAGGCGGATTGCTTCAGCCCAGGAGTTCGAAACCAGCCTAGGTAACATAGTGAGACCACATCTCTACAAAAAATAAAATTAGCTGGGCATGGTGGTGCCCGTCTGTGGTCCCAGCTACATGGGAGGCTGAGGTGGGAGGATTGCTTGAACCTTGGAGGTCAAGGCTGCAGTGAGCCATGATTGCTCCACTGCACTCCAGCCTGGACAATAGAGGGAGACTGTGTCAAAAAAAAAAGAAAAGAAAGAAATATAAAACATGAGGACAAATAGCTCCCTTGGCCACCAAAGTATTTCTGTACCCCGTGAAAGTTTTGATGTAGAAGTAGATGTGCCAGGCTAGAGGGATGGGCACGTGCAGGGGGTGTCAGTAGGAGCAGGCAGCCCTGGGAACAGGAATGAAATTAAAGAATTTGAGTCCTGGGTTTGTGTCTTAGGGTCAGTAACCATATTTCCTGTCTCTTTTTCGGAATACATCCAGCTATTTTTTTCCTAGGCCCCACCTAGGAATAGATAGTCTTCATCTGTGAATGGATAACCTTGGGTATATTATCACTAGTGTTCTTTCTGAACAAGAGGCAGCAGAGCTTAACAGTTAAGCATATAAATCTTAGGGGTAGACTTCATGAGTTTTTTGTATTTTTAGTAGAGACGGGGTTTCACCGTGGTCTCGATCATCCTGACCTCGTGATCCGCCCGCCTCGGCTTCCCAAAGTGCTGGGATTACAGGCGTGAGCCACCACGCCCGGCCCTCATGAGTTTACATCAGCCACTTCCTAGCCAGTTAACCCTGAGCAGGTTACTTAACCTCTCTGTGCCTGCGCATTCTCCTCAGTAAAATGAAAAAAATCTGTGATTCCTTGTAATGATGTATAATTATATTTCCTAGAATGAAGAGTGGTGGAATTAGAGTCATGTAAAGTTTACAATTGTATTCAGTGCTTTTCATTGCTGAGAGTGATTGAACTTGATAATGACCACTTGAATCAAATGGAACCTACGTTCTATCTTGATCTTCCTCTCATACTCCAGCTTTGCTCTGAGGTCAGAAAGCTGTGTGCTAAGCAGTTATATGTAGTTTTTGGTGGTTGTAGATTTCGTTTTGGTTTGGTTGTTGGTCTTGATTTTTAACACTGGTGGAAAGGTAATTCAAGGTAAAAGTTGAAGCCAGTTTCACTTCTGAAATATTTTATTTTACTACTTTTGGTGAGACAGACAATTTGAGAAGCAAAAACTTGCAGTTAGCCTTGAAAATTTCGGAGTACCTATTTCTAATTTAGGCATCAAAGGTAGAAGAAGACTTGTTTTTGGCCTCTGGGCACTTCTGCTCTACCTTAAGAGGCAAGACCCGCCAGGCACTGTGGCTCCCAGCACTTTGGGAGGCCAAGGCGGGTGGATCACGAGGTCAAGAGATCGAGACCATCCTGGCCAACGTGGTGAAACCCTGTTTCTACTAAAAATACAAACGATTAGCTGGGCATGGTGGTGTGTGCCTGTAGTCCCAGCTAATCGGGAGGTGGAGGCAGGAGAATCACTTGAACCTGGGAGGCGGAGGTTGCAGTGAGCTGAGATTGTGCCACTGCACTCTAGCCTGGGTGACAGAGCGAGACTCCGTCTCAAAAAAAAAAAAGAGGCAAGACCAACAAAAATTCAAACTGGAATGATTGAGTCTGTCAGGGAATAATCTAGGAGCTCAAAGAAAAGGTAGGAATCAAGACTGAACTGATAAAATGAACATGCCCTCAAATTCTCTAGAATTTGAGCTAGACTTTGGAGGGGAGGCTGGGTTGAGAAGAGAGGTGGTAAGAGAGAGCAAAACTCACACTTACTGAAACCTCCTGCCATGCACTTGTGAATTTAACCCATGAGAAAAGCTGGTTAGAATATAGAAGGCATGTGCAAAGGAGAAATAGAAGGTAAGACCAGGTATGTTGTTAAAGTGGGACCAGACAGCATTGGACCCAGAATGCCAGATTGAAATAATTTACAGCAGCACTGAAGGGATTATACCATGGGTGAGAATATATCAGCTATATTTTCTGTGCCAGTTTATCCTTTGCAGTATCACTAGAGAAAATAATTGTGAAAATCAATTAAGAAACTACTACAGTCATTTAGGTTTGAGATAATAGGAAATAAGTTGATGGCAGTGGATCAAAGAGGGAAGACTGGTGTTTTTTGTTTGTTTGTTTGTTTGTTTTGAGACGGGGTCTTGCTCTGTTGCCCAGGGTGGAGTGCAATCTCGGCTCACTGCAACCTCCACTTCCCGGGTTTAAGCAATTCTCTTGCCGCAGCCTCCCGAGTAGCTGGGCTTACAGGCGCCCGCCACCACACCTGGCTAATTTTTGTATTTTTAGTAGAGTTGGGGTTTCATCATGTTGGCCAGGCTGGTCTTGAACTCCCAAAATGCTGGGATTACAGGCATGAGCCACTGTGGCCTGGCCGAGAGATCTTTTAAAGGGGATCAATAGGATTTGGTGTCTGAGATATGGGAAATGAATTATATGGGGTCTGAATATATGAATATATATATATATATATATATACACACACACACACATATATGTATTTTTTTTTTTTTTCTTTTTTGAGACAGAGTCTCGCTCTGTCACCCAGGCTGGAGTACAGTGGCACAATCTCTGCTCACTGCAAGCTCTGCCTCCCAGGTTCAAGCGATTCTCCTGCCTCAGCCTCCTGAGTAGCCAGGACTACAGGTGCCCGCCACCACGCCTGGCTAATTTTTTGTATTTTAGTAGAGACAGGGTATCATTGTATTAGCCAGGATGGTCTCGATCTCCTGACCTCGTGATCCACCTGCCTCGGCCTCCCAAAGTGCTGGGATTACAGGTGTGAGCCACCGTGCCTGGTCCTTTTTTTTTTTTTTTTTTTTTTTTTTTTTTTTTTTTTTTGGAGGCAGAGTCTTGCTCTAGACTGAAGTTGCAGTGACGCAGTGACGTGGTCACGGCTCACTACAGCCTCGACCTCCTGGGCTCAAGTGATTGTCTTGCCTCAGCTTCCCAAGTAGCTGGGACTACAGGCATGCACCCCATGCCTGGCTAATTTTAATTTTTTTGTGGAGATGGGGTCTCTCCCTTTATTGCCCAGGCTGGTCTAGGAACTTCTGGGCTTAAGTGATCCTCCTGTCTTGATCTCCCAGAGTGCTGGGATTACAGGCATGAGCCACTGCACCTGGCCTATTTTTTGTAACCTGTTGGATATGAGATGATAGTAAGACATACAAATAGAGATGTCGTACATTTCTTTGAACATATGCTTATTTATTTTTATTTTTTGCTTTGTTTTTTTGAGACAGACTCTCACTCTGTCACTCAGGCTGGAGGGCATTGGCATGATCTCAGCTCACTGCAAACTCTGCCTCCCAGTTCAAGCAATTCTCCTGCCTCAGCCTCCTGAGTAGCTGGTATTACAGGCATGCACCACCATGCCTGGCTAATTTTTGTATTTTTAAGTAGAGATGGGGTTTCGCCGTGTTGGCCAGGCTGGTCTCAAACTCCTGATTGCAAGCAATCCACCGCCTCGGCCTTCCAAAGTGCTGGGATTATAGGCATGAACCACTGGTGCTGGGCCGAACATATATTTGTTGAGGGCCAGCTATGTGCAGATTTTGAACAAGGCTCTGTAAATGCACGGGATCAAAACTGACCAACCTCCATGTCCATATGCAGCTTACAGTCTAGTGGGAGGATGACAAAAATCACACAGCTATAATTACAAATTTTAGTCAATGGAAATTGCATGAATAAACACCTTGAGGTTAGGGTAGATGGGCCATGATACAACTGGGGAGCTAAAGGGCCAAAATAGAGGAGTGAAGAGGGAGGAGGCTGGAGAGGTAGCAAGAGACTAGCTAAGAGGTGAAGGCTATGAAATCAGATTTGAATCAGCACCACTGAATTGGTAGTTGCCAGGAAATGTGTGTGGTGTGAGTGAAAAGCCGAAATCTAGGCTGGGTGTGGTGGCTCATGCCTGTAATACGAGGACTTTAGGAGGCCAAGGCAGGAGGATCGCTTGAGTGCATGTGTTCCAGACCAGCCTGGGTAACATTGTGAGACCCTGTCTCTACAATAAATAAAAATAATTAGCTGGGTGTGGTGGCACCTGCCTGTAGTCCCAGCTACTCAGGAGGCTGAGGTGGGGGGATTGCTTGAGCCCAGGAGTTTGAGGCTGAATGAGCCGTGATTGTGATTGGGCCACTGCACCACTGCACTCCAGCCTGGGTGACAGAGTGAGACCGTTCTCCAAAAAAAAAAAAGGGAGAGGGGAGAACAAATTGAGCTGGTGGCTATAAATCACCCCATTTAAGAAGTTACTGGTGAAAGCAGTTTTTGTAGTTTTTAAAATCTATTTACTCAGCTAAAGATAATCTCATGATGTGTTTCAGATGAAAAAAAAGATATTGACCATGAGACAGTGGTTGAAGAACAGATCATTGGAGAGAACTCACCTCCTGATTATTCAGAATATATGACAGGAAAGAAACTTCCTCCTGGAGGAATACCTGGCATTGACCTCTCAGATCCCAAACAACTGGCAGAATTTGCTAGGTAAGTTATAAGAACTTTCCTTTCTTTTAATTATAGAAAGTGCTTGAGTCTTGCCAGCTATGTTTTCCTGTGCCTAAGTCAAAATGGTGGTTTGTATTCTTTCTCTAGGGAAATTCCTGAAAACAAAAGCAGTCAGTTTTATTTGTTTGTTTTTTGTTTCCTTTTTTTGAGATGGAGCCTCGCTCTGTTGCCCAGACTGGAGTGCAGTGGTGCGATCTCGACTCACTGCAGCCTCTGCCTCCCGGGTTCAAGCAATTCTGACAGTCAGTTTTATTTTTAGTAGTAACTATGCTATTAATGTGAGTGGCAGCATTTTAGATCCTTGCAGTAAGATGAAGCAAATACCCTTAAATAGGCATTGCATTTGAGTAAATAAAATTGCACGTAATTTGTTTTGGAATAGATATCTTCCACACTGCCTTATGGCTTCTTGGTACACATTTTATTTTTTATTTTTTTGAGACAAGAGTCTTGCTTGTTGCCCAGGCTGGAGTGCAGTGGTGCAATCTCAGCTCACTGCAACCTCCACCTCCCTGGTTCAAGCGATTCTCCTGCCTCAGCCTCCCAAGTAGCTGGGATTACATGCGTGTGCCACCACGCCCAGCCAATTTTTGTGTGTTTAGTAGAGACAGGGTTTCATCCTGTTGGCCAGTCTGGTCTCGAACCAGTCCTGGCCTCAAGTGATCCGCCTGCCTTGGCCTCCCAAAGTGCTAGGATACAGGCATGAGCCACTGTGCCCAGCCTGTAGTACACATTTTAAATTTGGGTGTGTTGTATTGGTCTATGCTGCTGGAGACCTGGGTCTGTACTTGACTCATCCAGCTGACCACTGGAAAGGATTTCATAAATTCGTGTTTGTCTTGTCATCAGTTAAGCTCCTGGTATGTTAATTTAAGCTGGCATGACAGGAGGAGATCAAGTATTTATGGCTTGGACATGGCGAGCAGTGGAGAAACTCTGAACCCATTGGTTGGGTGTGTTTGTTTTGCCTAAAGTGGGCTGGGTTCTTATAGAAGCCTACTTTTTGTGTTACTTTCTAGTACTGTTTGGCAGTTTGTACAAGGAGCTGAAAATACCACAAAGATGTAAACTTTTAAGTTAAATGAACTAATAAACTCTGGAGCAGAAAGCCTAATGCCTTTCCATACCTGAGGTTGGTTGGAACCTGGAATAGCTCAGGAAATTTCGGCAAGGGCAGGATCAAGAAGAAAGAAATCCTTTTGATCTTGCACATTCTAAGAACAGAGTGGGTTGCTTTTTTTTTTTCTTTTGAGAGCAGAGTGGTAGAGGTGGAGACCGTTCAGTGTCCTGGCTTCCTTCTTGGCCCTGCCGAAAACAAGGTGGGCAGTTCCTGCCACCTGGAGCTCGTTTCCCCACCTGTCAAATGGGCGTTAAGAATTCCATTGTGGTTTGATACATGGAGGTTCTCACTGTGTTGCCCAGGCTGGAGTGCAGTAGCATGATGATAGCTCACTACAGCCTCAAGCAATCCTCCTGCCACACCTCCCGAGTAGCTGGAACTACAGGTGTGTGCCACCATGCCTGGCTAATTTTTTTATTTTATTTTATTTTATTTTTTGTAGAGATGGAGTCTCACTATGTTGCCCAGGCTGGCCTCAAACTCCTGGCCTCAAGTGATCCTCCTGCCTCGGTCTCTCAAATTGTTGGGATGACAGGTATGAGCCACTGCACATGGCCCAAGAGTTTTTGTTTGTTAGTTTTGTTTTTTGAGATGGATTTTCACTCATCTCCCAGGCTGGAGTGCAGTGGTATGACCTCGGCTCACTGCAACCCCCACCTCCTGGGTTCAAGCGATTCTCCTACCTCAGCCCCCCAAGTAGCTGGGATTACAGGTGCATGCCACCATGCCTGGCTGATTTTTGTGTTTTTAGTAGAGACGGAGTTTCACCATGTTGGCCAGCCTGGTCTCGAACTCCTGACCTAAAGTGATCCACCCACCTTGGCTTCCCAAAATGATTATAGACGTGAGCCACTGCACCCAGCTGGCCCTAGAGTTTTGATAGAGATGGAGGGTTTACTGGGAATTAGGGCGCTTCCAGGGAAATGACTGGAGTTGAGGTAAACTGGAACCAGATCATTAAGGGCGATGAATCCTAGGCCAGGCTGTGCAGACATTTCTCATATGCAGTGGGCAGCTACTGCAGACTTTGAGCTGGGGAGAAGGGGCTGTGTGAGTAGAGCGTTAACTTGGGAGAAGTCCTTTGCAGCTGTCTGTGCAGGCTAGATTCATACAGGCACAGGAAATGAGAGAGGTCAGTTGAACAAGAGTTAATGAAGGCCTGAGTTAGAATTGTGGCAGTCAGATAACAAAGGAATAAATGTGATAGAAATTACAAGAGACCAGCTGGGCTCTGTGGCTCAAGCCTGTAACCTCAACACTTTGGGAAGCTGAGGTGGGATCGCTTGAGGCCAGGAGTTTGAGACCAGCCTGGGCAAAATGATGAGACTCCATCTCTAAAAGCTCAGTTTGGTGATATGCAGCTAGCTTCTTGGGAGGCTGAGTGGGAGGATCGTTTGAACATGGGAGGTCAAAGCTGCAGTGAGCTCATGCCACTGCCCTCCAGCTTGGGTGACAGAGCAAAATTGTCTCTAAAAAAGAAGGAAACTGAACCAGGCATGGTGGCTCACGCCTGTAATCCCAGCACTTTGGGAGGCTGAGGTGGGTGGATCGCCTGAGGTCAGGAGTTCAAGACCAGCCTGGCCAACATAGTGAAACCCCATCTCTACTAAAATACAAAAACGTAGCTGGGCTTGATGGCAGGCGCCTGTAATCCCAGCTACTAGGGAGGCTGAGGCAGGAGAATTGCTTGAACCCAGGAGGGGGAGGTTGCAGTGAGCTGAGATCACGTCATCGCACTCCAGCCTGGGCAACAAGAGGGAAACTCCTTCCCCGCCTCCCCCACCAAAAAAAAAGAGAAAGAAAAAAACTACAAAAGATAATGGAAAAGATTTAGAAACAGACTGTGTGCTCAGTTGGGGGCAGGGGGGAGGAGTAAGAGCATGCTTACCGTTTTGATGCTTTTAGCCACTGCTCATTAGATGACTCCAGCCCCAACTTACTTCCTAAAAACCACCTCAAGTCCAACATGGATGTTTTATTATTAACAGCATCTCAAACCAAATACTGACTACTCTGAGCCCCAAACCAGAACACTGAAGCTTTTTTTTTTTTTTTTTTTTGAGATGGAGTCTCACTCTGTCGCCCAGGCTGGAGTGCAGTGGCACGACCTCGGCTCACTGCAGCCTCTTCCACCCGGGTTCAAGTGATCTCATGCCTCAGCCTCCCAAGTAGCTGGGATTACAGGCGCCTGCCACCGTACCCGGCTAATTTTTGTATTTTTCATAGAGACAAGGTTTCACCATCTTGGCCAGGCTGGTCTTGAACTCCTAACCTCATGATCCACCCGCCTCGGCCTCCCAAAGGGCTGGGATTACAGGTGTGAGCCACCGTGCCTGGCCTTTTGAAACTTTAAATTACAATTGTGATTCTCCCGTGTCCACATGGCTGGGGAGGCCTCAGAATCATGGCAGGAGGCAAAAGGCATTTCTTACTTGGTGGCGGCAAGAGAAAAATGAGGTAGAAGCAAAAGTGGAAACCCCTGATAAACCCATCTCAGATCTCGTGAGACTTACTATCATGAGAATAACATGGGAAAGATTGGTCCCCATGATTCAGTTACCTCCCCCCGGGTCCCACCTACAACATGTGGGAATCCTGGGAGATAGAATTCAAGTTGAGATTTGGGTGAGGACGCAGCGAAACCATGTCAGAGGGTAAGAGGTCCCAGTGGCAGAGTAAAAGCATCATTCAGACAAATAGAAGGAGACTCAGGAGGTACGAGAGAGAGGAATAAAACCTCTTTGGATTATACATTGTGAAGGAGTTGCAGTGGAGGGGCGGAGGGCTGAAGGAAAGGTTTTGAAGAGAGAGGGAATCTATGGGTGGTGAGCAGTAAAGCCATTAGGTGTTGGTGACCCTTGGCACTGCTCACCCTCCTTGGAGCATTGGAGCAGCTGATCTAAAAGTTTGTCCCCAGTCTTCTGAGCAGAAAATCCAGGGACACATGTTACTGTTGGGAAGGTAACATGGCTACCTTAGACCATACTCCTTAAGAAAGGGACCACCCACAGAGACTGGCACCCGGGTACCAGATAGCCATCCAAAACACCAGGGCTGAAGAACCCAAAAGTTTCAGTAAGATAGGCCATCAAGTGGAAAGAATGATAGACCTGAATGAGACTTTTCTTCAGTAGCAGGGGATAATTAGAGACAATAAAACAATGCTTTGAGAGGAGAAATTACTGTAAACATAGAGTTATTGATCCAGCAAAGCTATCAAGTCAGATACAAGGTCAAGAGATGACAATTTTAGAGACCCAAGGATTCATGTTGCATGCACCCTTTCTGAGGAGGTAATTTGAAGATATAATACAGCGAAATGAGGATGAACATCAGAAGGAAGATTTCCTAGTGCACGACAACCAAGAGGACAGCTGTGTAGCAGGCTGGAAAATGTATTCCATTTAGAATAGAAAGTTGGCTGGCTGTAAGAATTTCTTAAGGAAAAGTCAGTTTCATTCAGTAGTGGGTAGAGTGAGTAAGAAGCTTGGTGGTATGGAAAAGGGTCTTCTGAAAAAGAAAAAGAAAAGGCAATCGGAAACTCCATGAAAAGGGGTGAGGGAGTAGGGCAAAGAAAGCTGTAGCCTGAAAAATGGGGCCTAATTTTGACAGTATTGAAAGAGAGAGCTTCTTTGACCTGACTCTGGGAAGATTTTCTCCTTGCAGCTCCTATGTTGTATACTTGTAGAGCATTAAGTGTGATCCTAGCACACTGTTGAGCCCCACAGTAAATAATATTTGCATAATCACAATATGAATGTAAATAGCATTTCTTTTATTAGCCTGTTAAAAGATTTCATTTGTGTATAGAAAAGAATGAAATCTTGCTCGCCTTGACAGTGTAAAAAGTAAAGTTACAGAGTTTGGGCCCTGTGAGGTGGGTCAAGGGTTGGGCTCCCTCTCATCCACATTCTACATAGTAGCTTTTTTTTTTTTAAATGGAGTCTTGCTCTGTCGCCAGGCTGGAGTGCAGTGGTATGATCTCAGCTCACTGCAGCCTCTGCCTCCTGGGTTCAAGCAATTCTTCTGCCTCAGCCTTCCGAGTAGCTGGGACTACAGGTGCCCGCCACTACGCCCGGCTAATTTTTGTATTTTTAGTAGAGACAGGGTTTCACCATGTTGGCCAAGATGGTCTCGATCTCTCGACCTCGTGATCCACCCACCTCGGCCTCCCAAAGTGCTGGGATTACAGGCGTGAGCCACTGCGCCCGGCCTCTAACATAGTAGCTCTTGAAGCTCATGTTCATCTGAACAAATATCTGTAATTGGACAGTGGTGTTGGTGAGAACTGTTTGCACCTAGGTGCCCTGTTTTGTTAGATCTTCACGTTTTGAGGATGTGTGTAACAGTTGAGTGGGATTTTCTGGAGGCTCAGGAATTGATGCCCGGGACTCTGAGAGCAGAAGATACAGAGGCACCAAGAGTTTTAAACTCTTGGGGGCCAGACCACATCTTCGCTAATTACGGCCCATAGAACTTGTCCTGCTGGCCTCCAGTCTTCGCCCCCAGCACTCACAGTGGCATTAGAGCCGCAGCTGTTGGCTTAAGGTAGAATGTAAGCTGCTTTTCTGTCTCCTCTGTGCACTGGGGTGATGGGGTGCTGGACTGGACTTGAAACTGTCCAAAGAGTATTTCAGGCTCATGCTGCACTCAGCCTAGACTGCCTAGTAAATCAGTTACATACGCACATGGGCAAAATATAAGCCATAATGACTTTAATTGGAAAGTCTGACATTGGGAAGGTGGACAGTCTATGGATGACTTTTTTTCCCGAAATGTCTGTTCAGTAAACATTTTGAAAAGTGGTCAGTGAGTGGTCCAGTGAGTTCTGTTTCCTGTAAAGTGACCACCTTTGTATGTGTTTCACTAAATAAAGTTAGACCTTTGAAAACCTTTGGTCTAGAAAGATTAGAATGGTTAGGCCAATCCCAAATGGGTATTTTTGTTGCTGTTCACTACTTACCCTGAGACTTTCACAATATTAATGTATAGATGAAATGTGATAATGGAGATGAAAATACCTCACAACTCTTCAGTATCATCACATGAATATTAATATTTAAGAGATAATTCATTGAACAAACTTTATTTGTCTAAGGCAATATTATCTTTTCACAAAGAAGGGAGGTGAATCATGCTTGCAAATGACAGCCGTATTACGCAGGAACTTCTGTCCCAATAGCACAGATCAGAGGATGGTTCTGGTCTGGAAGTCAGCTAACCTTGTTTTGTATGGAAGAGGCTTATTTTCATTAAAGAGTCACTTGTCCAAAAATGTTTCATCTCCCTTTCTGGGATATTTGCAGATCTGTTGGTTAGAACTTCGGTTTACACAATGCTCTGCTGATACTGTGCCAGAAGTTTGGGTTCTGAAGTCCACAATCTTTACAACGTTCTTCCCACATATGCCAGAATGAGCTATTATAAATCGGGCAGTCATGTCATTGGGAGTGTATTCTCCCTCTCTATTTGACAGGAAACTTGAGTTGTTGGGTGTCTGACTCCTCCATATAACATGTACTGCGTTGAGGGGTGTGTTCCTCCTAGTGCCATGCTTTCTCCAGTTTCTCAGTCCTTTATCGAAGGGTGGTTAAGAATGAACTCATTTTTAGCTAGACCCATTTCACACATAGCCAATGGTAATAAGAGCTATCATTTCCCAGGTGCTTAACATACAGCTCTTAAGTAGGTAGCATTATACCTTTTTACAGAATAAGAAACCGAGGCCGAGAAGTTACAGTTTGCTCAAGGTCATGCAGCTAGTAGAAGTCACCTCCAAGTCACACATCCCATACTGCCTCATTCATAATGTCTATGCTGTTGTCATCATTGTCTCCAGGTTCAAAAGGACTCTCTGGGTTCAAAAGTGTCCGTTGGTGAATGGAAGACTTAAATCTTAGTTACTTCTGAATAGTTGAGGAGGGTGAGAAGATGTTCTCAGTGGTAGTATATGATTTTTACTGTTTACTCGCAAAATGAAACACTGTTTTAACCTAAGTATATTTTTGAAAAATGACTTTTTTCATTGTTGGCATTCAAATAAAATCTTAAAAGTACCAACGTATACTGCTGCATTTGCCACTCTGTGTGAAGGAGGATGATTTGCCAAGGAGCTTAAGAGTGGCTGCATTTAAATCTTCCACTTACTCCTTAAGTCCAAGGGTATTTGTCCAAATGCATTTTAAACTCTCATTCTAAAATTAAATATATTTCTAAATACTAGCACACATTTTGAAAATGACATTTTAAGAAAAAATAATACCACTTATAATAACAAACCAAGAGTTGGGTAAATGGTACCTGAGACTGTTCTCTTTACTTTGGGGGCGTATTTGAAAATTTCCATGATAAAATATCTTTTAAAAAATTAAGTGGCCAGGCGCGGTGGCTCATGCCTGTAATCCCAGCACTTTGCGAGGCTGAGGCAGGTGGATCACGAGGTCAGGAGATCGAGACCATCCTGGCTAGCACGGTAAAACCCCGTCTCTACTAAAAATACAAAAAAATTAGCCTGGTGTGGTGGCAGGCGCCTGTAGTCCCAGCTACTCAGGAGGCTGAGGCAGGAGAATGGCCTGAACCTGGGAGGCGGAGCTTGCAGTGAGCCAAGATTGCACCACTGCACTCCAGCCTGGGCGACAGAGCAAGACTCTGTCTCAAAAAAAAAAAAAAAAAAAAAAAAAAAATTAAGTTACTAGGAATAACTCTAGCAAAATGTATGGGAGGCCGGGTGCCGTGGCTCATGCCTGTAATCCTAGCACTTTGGGAGGCCGAGGTAGGTGGATCACCTGAGGTCAAGAGTTCCAGACCAGCCTGACCAACATGGTGAAACCCCGTCTCTACTAAAAATACAAAAAAAAAAAAAAAAAATAGCCAGGCATGGTGGCACGCGCCTGTAATCCCAGCTACTCAGGAGGCTGAGGCAGGAGAATCGCTTGAACCCAGGAGGCGGAGGTTGCAGTGAGCCAAGATCAAACCACTTCACTCCAGCCTGGGCAAAAGAGTGAAACTCCATCTCAAAAAAGAAAAGAAAAGAAAATGTATGAGAGAGGACCTTACTAAGCCATGTTTACTAAGATTTAATTTGCATATGGTAAAGTCTACCCCCCTTTTAGGTATGTATGTACTATTCTGTGAATTTGGACAAACAGTCATGTAGCCATCTTCACACTCAACACAGAATGTTTCCAAGGAGTCCTAGGCAGGTGGATTGCTTGAGCTCAGGAGTTGAGAATAGTCTGGGCAACATGGTGAAACCACATCTCTACAAAAACAAAATAAAACAATGTTTCAGTAGAATTTTCAAAGAATAAGTGTTCACTCTTAATTGGGAACATTAAAACTTAAAAAAAAAAAATAGGCTGGGCGCGGTGGCTCACGCCTGTAATCCCCGCACTTTGGGAGGCCAAGGCAGGCGGATCACGAGGTCAGGAGATCGAGACCATCCTGGCTAACACGGTAAGAAACCCCGTCTCTGCTAAAAATACAAAATATTAGCCGGGCATAGTGGCGGACACCTGTAGTCCCAACTACTCGGGAGGCTGAGGCAGGAGAATGGCATGAACCTGGGAGGCAGAGCTTGCAGTGAGCTGAGATTGCGCCACTGCACTCCAGCCTGGGCGACAGAGCGAGACTCTGCCTCAAAAAATAAATAAATTAATTAAATTAAATTAAAAATAAATAATGTTTGAGTGGAATAGAGACCTTTCATATCAATCACTGTTATTTTCCAAACTGATGTAACCTCAAGGTGGCGCAGTGGCACCAAACTTTTGTTCTACCTGATTTTGTGAACTCAGGCCAGAACTCCAGGATTTATTTGTATTTAAGATAAGAAAGGCTAGTTCAGAGTCCTGTTTACAACAGGCACTTAAAAAAACTTGCTAACTGGTATTACAGGTTGAGCATCCTTTATTCAAAATGCTTAGGAACAGTAGCACTTTGGATTTTGGGGTTTTGCATATGCATAATGAGTTATCTTAAGGCTAGGACTCGGGTTTAAATACGAAATTTGAAATTCATTTGTGTTTCATTACACCTTATACACATAGCCTGAAGGCAATTCTGTACTTTTTTTTTTTTGAAACAAGGTCTCGTTCTGTCACCGAAGTTGGATCGCAGCCTCAAATTCCTGGGCTGAAAGGATTCTACCTCCTCAGCCTCCCAAGTAGCTGGGACTGTAGGCATGTGCCACCACGCCTGGCTAACTTTTTATTTTTTTTAGAGACGGGGTGTTGCTTTCTTGCCCAGGCTGTTATACAGTATTTTAAATAATTTTGTACACGAAACAAAGTTTTCACTGTGACCCTATCACACGAGTGCATCATGTTAGCACTCAGATAGTTTCAGATTTTGGATTTTGGATGTTAGGGATGCTCAATCTATAATCCATTTACGAGAAAGGACGAATATCTACAGGGTTGGGAAGGGGGAGGACACTGAATTGAAAATGTTCTCGTGGGTGGGCGGATCACGAGGTCAGGAGATCAAGACCATCCTGGCTAACATGGTGAAACCCCATCTCTACAAAAATACAAAAAAATTAGCCGGGCATGGTGGCGGGCGCCTGTAGTCCCAGCTACTCAGGAGGCTGAGACAGGAGAATGGCATGAACCTGGGAGGCGGAGCTTGCAGTGAGCCGAGATAGCGCCACTGCACTCCAGCCTGGGTGACAGAGTGAGACTCTGTCTCAAAAAAAAAAAAAAGAAAGAAAAGGAAAAGAGAAAATGTTCTCGTAGAATTTAAAATAACAAATATGTATAGTATCGGACCAACTCCATGGAGATAAGTGATAGTTACCAGATCTGTTGTTCCTCATATACTCCTAGGGCTGGAAAGTTTAACCAATGATTTCATGTGTTCAGGTTACAGATCAGGTCATCCTTTTCCCAGATTATAAGTGAAGAAGGACATTGTTAGGGCCTTCACAAACTTAAAAGATCACAGAATTAATTTTTTTTTAAGGAGTATTTTTTTTGTAACAAAAGAGTGGTGGTAAATTAGCTCTTGCTTTTAAGGATTCACTTAGGTGGGCTTTTTTTTTTTCGACTTTGACTTTTTAAAAAATTTCAATAGCTTTTGGTGTATAAGTGGTTTTTGGTTACATGGATGAATTCTATATTGATGAATTCTGAGGTCCGAGTGCACCCCTCGCCAGAGCAGTGTACACTGTATCCGGTATGTAGTCTTTTATCCCACACCATTCTTTCCCTACTAAGTCCCCAAAGTCCATTATATCACTTGTATCCTCATAGCTTAGTTCCCACTTATAAGTGAGGACATACCGCGTTTGATTTTCCATTCCTGAGTTACTTCACTCAGAGTAGTGGCCCCCAGCTAGTTTTTTGTTGTTTTTTTTTTGTTTTTTTTTTTTTGAGACGGTATTTCCTTCTTGCCGCCTAGGCTGGAGTGCAGTGGCACGATCCCGGCTCACGGCAACCTCCGCCTCTCTGGCTGAAGCAATTCTCCTCCCTCAGCCTCCTCCTAAGTAGCTGGGATTACAGGCATCTGCCACCACACCCGGCTAATTTTTGTATTTTTAGTAGAGATGGGGTTTCACCATGTTGGCCAACATAGTGTCAAACTCCTGGCCTCAAGTGATCCATCTACCTCGGCCTCCCAAAGTGCTGGGATTACAGGTGTGAGCCACTACGCCCAGCTATGGTTTTTTAAATTATTATTTTATTTATTTTTTTAAATCCAATACAGAGTTTCGTTCTGTCACTTAGGCTGGAATGCAGTGACACAGTCATGGCTTACTGCAGCCTTGACCTTCTGGGCTCAAGTGATCTTACTGCCTTCGGCTTCCCGAGTGGTTGGGACTATCGACACACACCACCATGCCTGGCTGATTTTGGGGGATTTTTTGTTTGTTTGTTCATTTGTTTTTGATAGAGACAGGGTTTTGTCCATGTTGCCCAGGCTTAATTTTTTTATTTTTTGTAGAGACAGAGTCTCACTGTGTTTCCCAGGCTGGTCTTGAACTCCTGGGCTCAAGCAATCCTCCCAGTTTGGCCTCCCAAAGTGCTGGGATTACAGGCGTGACCCACCACACCCGGCTGATTTATTTATTTATTAAATATGAACCATCATGGAGGGGTGTGAGAGGGGTAAAACTAGGGACAAAAAGAAAATCTGTTTCCGAGATTTAAATTTATTCTCTAGTTTTTTTAGGAACGCTTAATTTCTCACCCCCCTACCACACACAGATCTATAGGGAATATTTGGAGAGAAAGTTTTGACAAAAGTCCAAAGCTTGATTCAGTGGAGAAGCAGGTAGGTAAGTTACCAAACCAGGAGGCTCTCTGGACAGTAATTTCACCTGGGGCTCTGCCAGACGGTTACCACATTACCAGGACTCTTGGTACAAATGAGAACTTCCAAGCCCCCATCCAGAAGTAGGGTAACAGTATGAGAGTATGTGGTGTTCCCATCTGTCCACCAGGCCCTAGGAGCTCTCTCCCCAAAGTAACTGGTGCTAATGGTTTGTCGTGTGTCCTTCCAGAGATATTTGATATTTAATATCTATAAATCTTGATTTAAAAGGACTCTTCTGTACCCTTTAAAATGATATATTTTAAAGATCATTCGTGTCAGTACTAATTGGACCCATTTCGTGTATAGAGATGGATATTTTAGGACACTCCTGTGTTCACCGCTTCTTTTTCATAAGGCACCTTCATCATCGCAGCAGCTGCCTTTGGAAATCTTCCCTTGCCTCTCACAAGGAGATTCATCTGATTGTCTGAGTTGATTTTTTGTGTTTTTTTAAAGGGTTTGGAGTTAAGAACAGGTATGTGAATCACACAGATCATAGTGCCATTCTAAGCTGCACCAGCTTATTAGCTATGAGACTGTAGGCGGCAACTCGATGTTTCTAGCCTGAGCATCCTTATCTGTAAGATGGGAAGAGTGCTTCACAGTCATTGGTACTTAGTGAATGCAAGTTGTCTCATCCTTTCTGCTTCATGGAAATGTATCATAATTTTAGTTTGGGTACCTATAAGGAAAGCATTTTAGGGACTATATGATTTATGCCAGTTGAGTCTACCCACTCCTACAAATCTGTCTGTCTCTCTTTTTCTTTTGATAAGAATGAAGCCAAGAAAAATTAAAGAAGATGATGCTCCAAGAACAATAGCTTGCCCTCATAAAGTAAGTAATGCTAGAGGGAGAGTGTTCATTAAACTGTTGATGAAGTTTTAGAGAGTTATAAGAAATTTGCACTTTTGTTTCTGCTTGTGATAATTTAAATGAAGCAAGGAATTAGAATCTTCGGTTTCTAAATCCAAGAGATGAAGTTTTGTTATTTAGTAAAGGCAACTTTTTAAATACTGTTAAATGGGATGACTGCAGGGAGCCGTTGCTTGATTACTGTGTGTTGACTCTACTGTTAGCGTTTCATTTCTTTTTGGATTATATTAACAAGTCCGTCTTAAGATCCTGGGTTGTGTCTCACCTATTGACCTTTATGGGAATGTAGGCTTGTAACTGAAATTTGAAAATTATTTTGGATGTTGCTAAAATAAGCCAAATAAAGACTTAATAATTGTGTGTGATTAGAGAGGCACTTAATTGTTTTCAAATGTAGTTAGTCTTTAAAATAAAAGGATAACCTGAAAAGTACTTTTGAGATATTTGTTGGGGGCTATTTTCAAACTTAATTGGATATGAGACTAACAGAAAAATCAAGTATCACATAGGTACAGAGAACAAAGTAGGAGAGATTGAGTGGAATAAAGAATGTTAAAAATGAACAATCGGAGCAGGCTACATTTAGTTTCACGGTCTCTTCCCTGTAATGACTGTGCACTAGCAAGTCCTTCCTGTTCTTTGTCAGCGTTCTTGATGTGGCGATTTGAAATGTAAACGTATCTCCATTAGGGCCGAAATAACAAGCATTTGAAAACAGTTAGGCTGGAAGTGCCTATGCCATCCCTTTAGCTTCTCTGAAGTTTTCTTTATAATGGACACATAATACTTGTACATATTTATGGGGTACCGTGTGATGTTTCAATGCATGTATACATTGTGTACCAGTTAAATTTTTTAAATTTCCATTTTCTAAATGGAAATTCAACCTAGGGGTAAAGGCGGAAAAACTGGGGCTTCCCTCTCCCTTCTGCCTGTGAGCTGTCTAGTGACTTGTGCTGTCCTTCTGTCATGCTGTCTTATCATTTCCCCATTCACTCCATTACTGGGCAACAACTGCAGAAGAAATTGTTGAGGACATGCTTCTCGAGCGCCACACATCCATCTGCCTTTCCCGCCCTGCACTGGTATCAATTTGCCTGCTTCTTCCTTTTCCTAGTGTCTCACAAAATAAATTTCTTCTGTAGTTGCCATTCCTTGGAGACCCTCTTGCTTCTTTCTCTGTCAAGAAGGGGAAAGAGGCAAAGAGAGAAGAGGGAACAGTAGGCGATGGAGAATGACAGTCCATTGTTGCAGCACAGAATATGGGGCCACCAAAGGTAGTGGTGGACTACCGTCATTTTAACTCCATTTGCTTAGCAGTGCTTCTGTTACTTCATTTTGGGGGACATAGTCGGGTGAGGTGGCTGTGGTAGAGCTGGAAGCCAGGGTGTTGGGTTCTATTCCCAGTTTGGCTACTACTAGTAGTGTGACCTTGGGCAAGTCTACTTAAAGACATCTCTAAGCCTCAGTTTCCTCATCTGTAAAACTAGGGTTTGCATTGAATGATGACTTTTTCAGCTGTCTGCTTTTTGTCTTAAATGATATTAATGTTCTACCGTAATACTAAGTAAAATTAAAATGGGGGGTTGGGGAGGTGGTTTTGTTTTAATATGTCAGTAAAGGCTGTTAAATGGTTGAATCCTTTCTAACAGTTTGCAATGTGAACTTCTAAGCTGCTTTCTCTGTTTTAAGGGCTGCACAAAGATGTTCAGGGATAACTCGGCCATGAGAAAACATCTGCACACCCACGGTCCCAGAGTCCACGTCTGTGCAGAATGTGGCAAAGCTTTTGTTGAGAGTTCAAAACTAAAACGACACCAACTGGTTCATACTGGAGAGAAGCCCTTTCAGGTAGAGCCAGTTCCCTCTCTTCCCCACACTGCCTTGCCTGTCTGAACACTGCAAGTGTAGGTGGTGTGGTGATGAGGCAGGAGGCGCCAGCCCAGAGACTCAGGGTCTTATTACTCCTTGGTGAGAAACAAAACTTCTCCTGGGGAGTCGCTTAGAAGGGTTGCCGGGGCTCTGGACATCCTTGTCTATACTCTGTGGTACTGGGTACGCAATGTATTGGTGTTGATGGAGTACACTTTATGGCAGGAGGAGAACAGGATTGAAGAGCATACCTAAAACTCAATTTCTACTTCATTCATTACAGGATTGAAGTAATTTATTTTTGGTAGTTAATAGTATAATTACTAACTGATAAAGTTTCTAGAGTGTAAGTATAGGTAATACTTTAGCCCATAAATAAGTGAAAGAACTAGCAGTGCAGCTAGTAAATCTAACGTGGTTCTTTTTTGACAACTGACACCAGAACCCTTAATCATTTGTATTTTACTGTTGGAAATGTTTACAGCAGCACTAGGACTCTAGCCTGCATTTAGGAAGACTTGCCATTTTGCCAAGTGTTTTAAACAGTTCGTGAGGGCTCTCCTTGGGTTTTCGGGGTTGTCCAACCTGCCTGCTGATTCTAGACTATATCCACAAAGTTCACCCAGGGCAGGAATGAAAAGTGTTTGGTAAAATAAATAGGCTGTTCTCTAGCAAAGCAGTGAGCTCCTGACTCCCAGGGTCTGGTCAGAGTTGCTGAGTGGGTTGATCTCTGGTCTTTCCTTGACAGTGCACGTTCGAAGGCTGTGGGAAACGCTTTTCACTGGACTTCAATTTGCGCACACATGTGCGAATCCATACCGGAGACAGGCCCTATGTGTGCCCCTTCGATGGTTGTAATAAGAAGTTTGCTCAGTCAACTAACCTGAAATCTCACATCTTAACACATGCTAAGGCCAAAAACAACCAGTGAAAAGAAGAGAGAAGACCCTTCTCGACCACGGGAAGCATCTTCCAGAAGTGTGATTGGGAATAAATATGCCTCTCCTTTGTATATTATTTCTAGGAAGAATTTTAAAAATGAATCCTACACACCTAAGGGACATGTTTTGATAAAGTAGTAAAAATTAAAAAAAAAAAACTTTACTAAGATGACATTGCTAAGATGCTCTATCTTGCTCTGTAATCTCGTTTCAAAAACACAGTGTTTTTGTAAAGTGTGGTCCCAACAGGAGGACAATTCATGAACTTCGCATCAAAAGACAATTCTTTATACAACAGTGCTAAAAATGGGACTTCTTTTCACATTCTTATAAATATGAAGCTCACCTGTTGCTTACAATTTTTTTAATTTTGTATTTTCCAAGTGTGCATATTGTACACTTTTTTGGGGATATGCTTAGTAATGCTACGTGTGATTTTTCTGGAGGTTGATAACTTTGCTTGCAGTAGATTTTCTTTAAAAGAATGGGCAGTTACATGCATACTTC
Source organism: Homo sapiens (assembly GCF_000001405.40). Lineage (NCBI taxonomy): Eukaryota > Metazoa > Chordata > Mammalia > Primates > Hominidae > Homo > Homo sapiens. The sequence goes on from NC_000014.9 coordinate 100,278,118, forward strand.
AAAAGTATTTTCCTGTAAAAAAAAAAAAGTTATATAGGTTTTGTTTGCTATCTTAATTTTGGTTGTATTCTTTGATGTTAACACATTTTGTATAATTGTATCGTATAGCTGTATTGAATCATGTAGTATCAAATATTAGATGTGATTTAATAGTGTTAATCAATTTAAACCCATTTTAGTCACTTTTTTTTTCCAAAAAAATACTGCCAGATGCTGATGTTCAGTGTAATTTCTTTGCCTGTTCAGTTACAGAAAGTGGTGCTCAGTTGTAGAATGTATTGTACCTTTTAACACCTGATGTGTACATCCCATGTAACAGAAAGGGCAACAATAAAATAGCAATCCTAAAGCAAGAATATGGCAGAACAAGATCTGTAAGCACAGTCTTATTTTCTTTTGTTGTCCAGAATACTTATAATTCTTGAGCCTCCCAGAAATTGGAAGCTAAATAAAGCAACTCAAGTTTCCTTTATTTTGCACTCAATTACAGTGATTATTGATGAAAGCGATGCATGGATATTTTAATACTTCCTACATGTCCTGACTTCTGAAAGAGAGTAGGTAACAGGCATCCCGAGTTCAGGAACTACCTCAGAACACCCCAGGCCAGGTTGGTCATAGGCTGTGATTTTAGCCCCCGGCAAGTGTGAGTGAAGCATCTGTACCACCGCGCAGGCTGAGCGCCTGCGCAGGGTAAGGTGCCACCTGGCAGTGGGGCACACAGAGGGAAGACCAGGCCTGTCCATCAGCCGGCTGCCTTCAGAGGCAGCTCCAGCAGGACCTTGGCTTGTCTGACAGGAAATGCTTGTGGTCGTTGGTTATTTGGTTTGAGAGCCCTTGTTCCTCCATCTAGTGGAGTCCTTATTAAATGCTAGCAATGTGGCAATTGAGTGCCAGTAGCTTAATTTCATGTTTCTAAATGGACACTGGGTGCAAATCGGCAAGGTGATTAGATTATTAGAAAATTCTGCTCAATGAGTACCTCTCACATTGTAACCTCTTAAATGTACGATTATAATGTTGGATCTTAGGTCAAATAACAGACTTGAGAATACTTTATAAACTGCCATGATACAGCAAAATCTCATTTATTCAAAGTGCAAACATACTGTGTGTCTTTCTGTTTTGTGTATGCTTGACTGCAAGATAAATGACAAACTAGCTAATATCCGAGATTTATTTACAAATGGCCAGGGACCCCATCAGGTGAAACACATAGCCCATTGTCTTAGAGCTTCTCCATCGGTCCTGTACAGGAGGATTGGTGACCTACTAACAGTGACCCTGTGGCTCTGTGGAATTTTGAAGTGCCTTTTGTGAATCATGAATGAAACATTTAACTTGAGACCCTTTAAAAAATTCATCCAGAATCTGTTACCCCTTGGGTAGTTTGATGGAACTGAGTTAAGCAGAAGACCCCAGCTGTTTTCTGGGTAAGCCAGGCTTTGCTGTATCTGGCAGTCAGGAGAGAGGTCAGCCCATGGTGGAGGTCTTCAGTGCCGAGGGCTCGGATGAGAACGTGTAGTTCTTTGACTTGGACCTGGGCAGCGTCTTCTATGGATGCCTGCCTTGTGAGCACCCACACCTTCCCTCCCCACTGTCGGGTTGAGTAGCCCCAGCGTGGCTGTGTTAGGAGTCCTTTGCCCAACATTGTGCTGCACTGGAGCCTGGCCCTGGCACTGTCCTCAGGACCCTGCCCAAGGGCCCACCGCAGAGCACACCTATGCTATGGGGAGCCCTGCTGGCAGCCCCGAGAGCCATGCCATGGCCTGCAGGAGCCAGGCTCCTGTGTGGATGAAGTCCCTCTTCCTCTGTGCCTTGATCCCTTGGGGGTGCCTTTGGTCATCTCTTCTGTCCTTTCCTGTCTCTGAAATAGTCATCACTCCCCTTGACTCTCTCTGTTCACGTCTTCTCAGTCTGCAGAGTTAACTTCTGTAAGGAGTTTAATCTGGGGTTCCAAGAAAACAAGTTCCTTGTTAACATAGCACTGACTTTGCAACAATAGAAAACTAACAAATGAGCAACAATATAAAGAGTAGAGGTAGTTCTCATTGGGTGTAACTTCAACCCATTCTGCTTGTGGTTAGAATTTATAATTTTGCTAACGATGTAATTTACTAAGGTTTGAAATGGTATTCTAACAGTGAGTCCATTGTCTTGAGGATTAATCTGATTTATAAGTAATACTGATAGACATATTTTCGTACATCTGAGCAGAAATAAATGCATGTTTCTAGCATATGTAATATAAAAACTCCAGAGGATAAGTTTACACTTAACAAGATGTTGTTTTCTATTTTTGAATTTCTTATTATTTCCCCCTTTTTGGTAGTGGAGTTGAGAGGGGGAGCATACTATTTGTATAAAGAACTGTCACCCCAGAGTGACATTTATTTTCCAAGATGACCCTGAACTCATGCTGTTGGTTTCATATGGTGTTTGTGTGCTTTGCCTAGATTCAAGGCCTGAGGATTTGAGGAAAATCGGGATTTTTTTTTTCCTATTTGGTTTTCATGTAAAAGTTCTAAATGTCACTTATTTTGCTAAATAAGACCCTTTCACAGGATAGTGTGCGCAATACCTGTCCGTGTTTCCAAGCAGAGTTCAAGTTCATGTCTTCACAAGTAGATGAGAGTCACTTCCAGTCGGGGGAAGCCCGCCTGAGCAGTGTTTTGAGAGTGCGTACATTGGAGGACTGCCCCACGTCCGTTTGCACTCTGCCTTGCAAAACTTACTGTGGAGACGTGTCCCAGACTGGTCTCAGACCAGAGTTTGTGGCACAGGAAAACCTGGCCCCCTAAAAAGAAGTTTTGGAATTGGAAGCCTGATAATTTCGGGAGGCTGAGGCAGGAGAACGGCGTGAACCCGGGAGGCGGAGCTTGCAGTGAGCCGAGATCGCACCACTGCACTCCAGCCTGGGTGACAGAGCAAGACTCCGTCTCCCAAAAAAAAAAAAAAAAAAAAAAAAAAGGAAACCTGACAATTCTACCCACCTCCCCCCACCCCCGACTATAGGCAAAGAGAGTTGATCACTTCCAGGGTCTCTGACTTCTGTGACCTGGAAATCAGCCTGGCTTGGGAAATTCATGTTGTTGATCTTTAATTATTTAATTATTCTTTAATAATCCTTCTATTTTCTTGACATCTGACCCCCAGCAAGAGTAAGGATCCCAGAGGTCAAAACAGTGGTGAGAGCCAAGCTGCTCACAGACACCCACTTGATGCCACAGCCATGCCATGAGGCTTCCTCCCAGCTGCTCTGCTGGCTTGCTGAAGCCAGCTCTGAGTCACAGGGTTGCCTTGGACCCTCGGCTGTAGGGGGCACCTGTCTGGCTCCGGGCCCTTTGTCCTGGATACACTGACAGTAATGTGAGCGCAGCACTTCAGAGTTCAGGCCCAGCAGGTCCTGGCAAGTGCATTCCACCCGAACTTTTAACCCAAGCGGTGGGGAAGGAAGCCAAAACTCCAAGCTGCACTTTCTTGGGGTTCTGGCCATGCACTTCTTAGCCTTCTCTCTGACTTTACAGGACAAAAGGTACCCCACGCCTTCAGAATCATGCTTACCTGCACGGCAGCATCTGACTGGATGGCTGGCTAGGTCTCATCCACCCCAAATTACTGACCCTTGATTTATGTTGTTACTGCTCAGGTTATGCTCAGATGCCCTGGTTGCCTGAAGATGGTTTAAGTGCAGGCCCTTCAGACAAGTCACGTCAGGCAAGAGAGGGCTGGCCTCTGACCCACAAGAGGGCAGATTTGTGGCCAAGAGGCTTCCTGGCATCCACCCCCAGGCCCAAGGGATCAGTGTGGTGCCAGAGAGGATCTTTAAGCTGGGACTGTACTGAGGCTTGATGGGAAGTATGGGCAGCATGTACTTGACACGTTATCACCCAGTCCCCTTGTAAAATCTGGAATGGAGCGTTTAAGCTGAGCGTTAGCATCAGGTCAGCAGGCAAAGCAAACCTCCCACAAACTGGGTGCCGTAAGGTGGGAGGTGACACATGGAGAGCTTCGTCCTGGCCGAGCAGGCACCCAGCCCCATGTCCCCCGCCAGCATTCTGGATGTCAGAGGAGGGTGCGTGTGATGGCGTCACATTCATCTGAAGCACACTGATTGATTTTCCACAAGGTGGCAAGTTTGATCAAATTGACCGCTTTTCATGAGACACCCAGATGCTGTAAAAAAAAAAAACAGCACTGGGATGTGTTGAGGAGGGGGCAGTTTGCTGTGCTCTGTTCTGTCTGCTGCTCTCTCTGGGGGCCGCACAATGTCCGCACACATCACGGAGGGGAGAAAGGCATCAGTACCAAACGGAACAACCTCTTTTTTCTACATTGTCCATACCCGGACATGTGAGGCTCTATTATCAACAGGTGGTGAGAAAAATTATGTTTTTATTCGCTTTCTGGTAACTTCTGTAGGCCCTGGCTCAAGGACTTAGCATTTCGTCTCATGTACATCTTTTTCTTAAGTGTTCTTTGCCATTTCTGGAATTGTCCTTGGTTTTTCCTTAGCTCATAGGTCATAGATGCAGAAATATAGTATTTAAGGCATCCGCATCCAGCATCAGATGGCTTTGCATCCAGAAAAACATTGATAACTCAGTTTGAAGCACCAAGCATGTGTAATATGGCTCTATACAATATAATAAATGCATAATGTTAAGCTTTTTAATGCCTGTGGTTCTTGTTTGTTCCTCAGTCCTCTAAGCCACTTCTTTAGTGTTTCACTGCACATGAAACCAGGCCATGAGCCCTTCCTGGTCTAAGAGTTGCCTAAACTGCCCGGGGCAGTTCTTGCGGCTTGCTTTCTCACACACAGGACTGGGAACTCCCAGGATTTGGTCTCACACCAGCAAGAAATGCTTCTGTAACCTTTCAGCTCCAAGGTGGGCTCAGGAGCAAGAGGGCGTTTTAAAGAGAGCCTCACCCACTGTTCAGAAAGCACAGCCCAGTGAAATGCCCACGCAGCCGGACCTATGAGCCCATGTCAGCCCTGGAAGCTCCGGAGCTAACTGGGATGGACTCGGAAGAACTTGACCAAATACACTGAGAGCTACTTAGGATTTAGCCAAAAGCAAAATGCAGAGCAGAGCTTCCTCCCTCTGGTTGGGGCCTTGGTGTCTGATGTTCTGCAGAGCAAGGTTCAGAGTGAGGCGTGAAGTTCATTATTACTTGAATACATGTGACTTTCCCTTTTTGCTAGTGACAGAAGGGGCTGCTGACAGAATGCTACTGAGGTGGCAAGTCGCAGGCCTGTGCAAGCCCAGAACTGCTGAGTGAAGGCCCTAAGTAGGGCTGAGCTGAGCAAGACGGTGGAAAACCTGTAGATTTTACATGGGAAGGAACTAAAGCTTTGGAATTGCTTTTTTTTTTTTTTTTTTTAGATGGAGTATTGCTGTGTCTCCCAGGCTGGAGTGCAGTGGCGCGCAATCTCAGCTCACTGCAACCTCTGCCTCCCGGGTTCAAGCGGTTCTCCTGCCTCAGCTTCCTGAATAGCAGGAGGTTGTGTGTGCCACCATGCCCGGCTAATTTTGTATTTTTAGTAGAGATGGGGGTTTCACTATGTTGGCCAGGCTGGTGTTAAACTTCTGACCTCACAATCCACCCGCCTCGGCCTCCCAAAGTGCTGGGATTTCAGGCGTGAACCACCGTGCCTGGCCTGGAATTGCTTTCTTTAGAAACCCCTAGATACAGATGAAACCAGTATCTCTCCTTTATACTTGCCGGTGTCTCTGCCTGGCTATAATTTTTTATTTTATTTATTTATTTATTTTTTGGTAAGAGACAGGGTCTTGCTATCACCTAGGCCGGAGTGCAGTGGCACGACCATAGCTCACTGCTGCCTTGAATTCCTGGACTCCAGTGGTCCTCCTGCCTTGGCCTCCCGAGTAGCTACGATTACCGTGAGCCACCATGCGCAGCCCATAACATTTGTTGAGAACACATATGTACCCAGTGGCCTCCTCCAAACCACCCTTTGATGAATTAGCTAGCAATATCACCATGCTGTAAGAGAGGAACAGGCTCAGATTTATTTGCAAAGTCCAGGCAGCCAGAATTCAAAGCCCAAGCCTGCCTGGCTTCCAAGGTACTCTGCTTGCCACTGGCTCCTTAGCTTGAATTCTCCTCCAGTCCCCTTTCAAAAAAGCCCTGGCCCTTGTTTATGGAGCAGTGCATCGGCCTCCCTGGTGTGCGGCCCTTTCTGTTCTGGCGCAGTGGTGCCTCCTGGCCTTGGAAGGGTCCTCAGGGCTCCCCGACTGCCCGCCATTGTGACCGTTCCCCTCGGTCCTTGCTGACCTCCCCACACGGCCTTTCTGCTAACAGGGTCTCAGCACGTGATTTGAACTGCAGCGGTTCCCTACTTCCTACCGAAAAATCCAGTCCCGCCGACCCTCAGAGCCCAGTCCTGGCTTTATCTCATTTTTCAGCCTTTCCTAATGGATCACCTCTTGTCCTGTCCCTCCCCTCCCTCTTGGAGTTTTCGTTTCCAAAGCTTACCTCTCCACCTCCAGGGGCCCTGATTCGATCAATGCAATTATGTGCCAGGCCCTGTTTTAGGCAGGAATGGCATTGCCCTACTGGCACTGGCATGACATCTGGAGGAAGGAGGATAAGGCTGTGATAAATAGGGGCTAGGGGCCGGACGCGGTGGCTCATGCCTGTAATCCCAGCACTTCTGGAGGCCGAGGCGGGCAGATCACCTGAGGTCGGGAGTTTGAGACGAGCCTGACCAAAATGGAGAAACCTCCTCCCTACTAAAAATACAAAATTAGCCGGGCGTGGTGGCGCATGCCTCTAATCCCACCTACTCGGGAGGCTGAGGCAGGAGAATCGCTTGGACCTGGGAGGTGGAGGTTGCTGTGAGCCAAGATCGCGCCACTGCACTCTAGCCTGGCGACAGAGCGAGACTCCGTCTAAAAAAGCGGGGGGGGGCGGGGTAGCTAGGGAGGGAGAGGAGGCAAGGAGGCAGGACGGGGTCTGAGCACGCCCCTCAGGTGTTTGCATGGCTTCTTCTTGGCCTGCCACGTGCGTCTGTACCGGACCCTAGGAATATCCCGGGAGCTGGTGGCCAGCCCTAGCCCCTGCCCGCCTGGCCTTTGGCCAGCACTTAGCGCGGGCAGCCCTGCCCGCCCCCAGACCCTTCTGGGGACTTGGGCCGCGCCTTTGTCCCAGCCCTTCCCTGCCACCCTGCAGTGCTCCAGGGCCTGTCCCCCACGCTGCTCTGGCGGGCGGCCCCGGGGGCTTCTAGACCTGCGCCTGGGCCCCCACCCGCAGGGTGCGCCGCCGCCGCCGGCCGCAGGAGGGCACTGTGCCAGCGGGCCCCGGGGCTGGGCCGCGTCCGCTGTGGGGAGGGGCTGCGCGTGCGCAGCGCGGAGCGGCCCGGACCTCGCGGGGACCCGAGGCGCGGTGGGGGCTGTCCAGAATCCCTGAGTGTGGGGTCCCCGCGAGCCGCCGCCGCTTACGAGCGTCCCCCGCGCGGAGTGAGCCCAGGGCCACGGGGGCGCGGAGATTCAGAGCCCGAGAAACGCGGAAGGAGGCTGCGTGCACCCCACCTGCCCGAGGCCTCGGGCGGAGGAGACTCCCGCCGCCAGGGCCACAGGGACACGGGGCAGGGCGGTGCGGCGGCGACGCCCGAGGAGGGAGGGGCCACATACCAGGGGGCCCCAGCTAAGCAAGGCCCTGGGACGCCCCCCCTTCCCCCCGGTGGAGCAGCGCCCCCTGGAGGGCGGGGTGGGAGAGGCTGCGGTCCTGGGATTAGGGGGCGGGCCCGGGAAGCGGGGAGACAGGGCCTTGGGGTGCCGGCCCAAAGGGACGTCCTGGAGCCCTCCAAGCTGGGGATGCTTTTCCTCTCCCCACGGAGAGCTCCACCACGGGCGTGGCGGGGGCTCCTACCATCACCCTGCCTGTAGGTTCTGGAGCCACTCCGGCCGCCCCAGCCCCTCTCCAGCCCATCACCGCTTCACCCTCTGCCCCCAAGCGTGTTCTGGCCTCACAGTGTACATTCCGTCTTCCCTGGCCCGTCTCTGTATTGCCTGGCAAAACCCAACCTGGCCCTGTACTCAGCAGCCTCTGCTCTCACCCATTCATTCACTCATTCATTCAGCATGCTGACTTTGCACCCCTGGCCCTCATGGAGCTAAGGTAGAGGTTGGGGAGATAAACAAGAAACCGGCCAGTACTGTCACAACACCAAACAGAGCCCACCATGTTCCCCTGTGTCTGCTCTTTGTCCTGTGTCCTCACCATCCCCAAGGATATTCAAGCCAGATTTGAACTTACTCATTCACCCAAACTTTGTGGGACATCATTACAGCTGGCGTGGTGTTGGCTGGCCTGGCAGAGCATGGCTGGGGGGGGGGGTGTTGCTTGCAGAGGGGCGCTGGTGGGGGCGTCTGGCATTCCCCACGATCCTGGGGGAGGTCAAGTCGGAGGAGAGCAAGGCTGAGCAAGGAGCCCCTGGGGCACAGGCCCATTCCCCTCAGCCTCTGCCCTATCTCTGCTGTGCCCTGATCAAGGTGGACACTGGCCCCACCGCCTTTCCCAGTTCCCTGGGAAGTGGCCTCTGGACCCAGCAATGCATCTGCCTCTCCGTGGGTAGGTGGGTACCATGAGGTCAGGGGTGTGTAAGAAGCAGCAAGGAAGCTGAGACCCAGGAGCATGGGACCTGGACCCTTGCCCTGGCCAGGCCCCCTCTGGTTCTTGCATTGCCGCTCCAGGGTTGCCTGGCCCCAGCTGATCCTGCTGAAGGGCAAAGGATGGGCTGACTGGCTCCTGGCGCTGGCTTCAGCACCAACTAGCTGTGTGGCCTTGGACAGGGACCCTCCCCAACTGGTACCCTGCACTGCAAAATGGGGGTGCCAGCACCGACCTTGTATGGCTGTTGGGAGAATGAAGGGATGGGTGTGCATAGGGCTGAGCCATCCCTACAGTCACAAGAACCCACCCAGCACAAGGAGGGCTGGTGAAGGTCCCAGGTCAGTGTGGCCTCACGGGTGCTTTTTATAAGAAATGACTCACTAAAGGCCCAGGCCAATGATGAGAAGGGCACAAGGAGGCTTATGCTCCATTCACTCCATGCACCTGATGTCCAAAGGGATCAAAAGAAAAGGGAAGGGGAAGTCTGTGTGTGAAGCCAGTGTGGGCTCTGAGATTGGAAAAACAGTTTATCAGATTTGGACTCCCCAAACTGCCACTGCTTTGCCTGAACTCTGCACCAAGGACCTGAGCACCAGCCCTCACGGGGCCTGCCCCCTTCTCTCTGCCCTTCCACGCTTTAAGCCTCCCTCCCCCTTTCCCACCCCAGAGACAAATGCCTTGGCAGTGCCGTTTCATAGCCCTTTCCCTTAAGGGGTCAAGGAAGGAGCCATAAACTCCAGATCCCTGCGGAGTTCAGACTCTAGCTCCTGCCACATAGTTTCGCCTCCCTTGACTGCACCCTCAACACCTCCAAGGGCTTCTTCTGCCGTTTATTCCCCAGTGGTCTCGCCCACCTGCCACTGGAGCACCACCCCCCCCCTCCGAATTCCTGGCCTCAAGAGGTCCTCTGGCTTGGACTCCCTCATGGCCTCTGCCCCCCACCCTGGCCTGCCTCTTATTGCCTCCTAACCTCCTGTGGGGTCTTCAAAACATAAATTGGATCCTGTCACTCCCCTGGGTAAAACCTGCTCACAGCTGCTGATGCAACGAAATAAAGTCAGCTCTGCATGGCGGCTGGTGGTGCATTTGGCTGCAAATGACAGGAATAGTGTGCTGAATGAGAGGAGTGTGACCAGCCTTCCAAGGCCAGGCTGGCTCAGTGGCTCACGGCCGTGGTCTCTCCCACTGCACCTCCAGGCATCCTATTCCCTTTTCAGTGGGAAGCAGAGAGCTAGGTCAGAGACCAGAGGTCAAGGGGTGTGCCACAGTGTGTTTTACCTGTTTCACAGCTTTCTCAGAAGCTGTCAGACATATGGCCAGCTCCGGCCGCAAGACAGTCTGGGGGCCAGGCGCGGTGGCTCATGCCTGTAATCTCAGCATTTTGGGAGGCTGAGGCGGCGGATCACCTGAGGTCAGGAGTTTGAGACCATCCTGGCCAACGTGGTGAAACCCCATCTCTACTAAAAACACAAAAAATTAGCAGGGCATGGTTGCTGCGCCTATAATCCCAGCTTCTCAGGAGGCTGAGGCAGGAGAATCACTTGAACCTGGGAGGTGGAAGTTGCAGTGAGCCAAGATTGTGCCATTGCACTCCAGCCTGGGTGAAAAGAGTGAAACTCTATCTCAAAAAAAAAAAAAAAAAAAAAAAAGACAGTTTGGGAAGCTGTTTTGATTAGACATACTGAAGCCCAGATCAAGTTGAGATTTCAAGAGCAGTTGGCACTTAGGAGGATCTGCCACTGTCCCCAAGGCACTGCCATGTGACCCGCCCTGGTGGCCCTCTTGAACGTCTGGCCCTGCTGTCCTCCAGGCCCTGCCTCACCCCCCTCCCCAGCCCCCACCCACCCCTTCCACCTCGGGACCTTGGCTACATCTGCCCTTCCAGCTACAGCCTAGTGGTATCTGTGGCCCCGTCCGCTGCTGCTCTTCCTCTAGGACTCTGCTCAGACGTGTCCCCCAGTTACTCTCCCAAACCTGACTGGAAAAGCAAATCAAGCAAAGTTTATCCAATGAAATATGCCATGCAGCTGTCAGCAGGAAGGAGGACCATTCAAACACACCAATACAGAGCCCTGTTGAAGGTTGGATTGTGGCCCCAGAAAAATCCGTTCAAGTCCTAACTCCAGGCAACTGAATTTGGCCTGATTTGGAACCTGGTCTCTGCAGATGTTTTTAGTTAAGATGAGGTCATACTACAGTAGGGTGGGCCCTTAATCCCATATGACTGGTGCCCTTATACAAAGAGAAGACATGGAGACACAGACACACAGGAGAAGGCGGCAAGAGATGGTGGCAGCGATCGGAGCGATGCTCTTGTGAGCCTAGGGAGCCAAGGATTGCCAGCTGCCCCCAGAAGCTTGGAAGAAGCAGGGAACAGTTCGTCCCTCAGAGCCCCCAGAAGGAACCAACCCTGCCTGCAGCTGGAGTGTGGCCTTCAGAACTCTCAGAGGACACTTGGCTATTGTTTAGCCACAGTGTGTGGTGTTTTGTTACGGCAGCCCTAGGAGAAGGATGCAATCTCCAGGATCACTGTCAAGGGAAGACAGCAAAGAACAGAACAGTCAGGACCTCGGCCACACTTTGTAGGGGGTGCAGATGTCCCTCCGCTGCTCCATGCTGGCACTTGCCCAAGATGTGTTGGATGCCCTCTGGGAACTGGAGACTGTCCTCGACTCAGGAGGAGAGGCTGGCCCCTGGGAGGTGGAAGGAGGTTTTCCTCTTCACTGCACAAGCCTGGATTCTGGTAGTATTTTTAGTTTTTAGCACTTCATATATCACTTATTCCAAATCAATTGAAATCAGAGGCCGGGCGCAGTGGCTCACACCTGTAATCCCAGCACTTTGGGAGGCTGAGGCGGGTGGATCACTTGAGGTCAGGAGTTTGAGACCAGCCTGGTCAAGATGGTGAAACCCTGTCTCTAATAAAAATAGAAACATTTGCCAGGTGTGGTGGTGCACGCCTGTAATCCCAGTTACTTGGAGGCTGAGGCAGAAGAATCACTTGAACCCGGGAGGTAGAGGTTGCAGTGAGCTGAAAGAGCACCACTGCACTCCAGCCTGGGCAACAGAGCAAGACTCAAAAAAAAAAAAAAAAAAAAGTTCAAATCAGGGAGAAAAGAAAATGTAAAATAAATTCATTAAAAACAACAACTCTACTCCCTGCCTGGCAGATGTGTTGGTCATGTGAGGCCGCTGAACTGGGAAGTGGGAGGGAGCTAGAAGCCCCCCGCCCCTTCACCTTGCTCCTTGCCGCACCACTCCTCACTTCTGAAGGGCTGGCCTGTCTGTGTGCTGTCCCCAGAGGGCAGGCAGCCGCAGGGTTCGTGGAGAAGCCCCAGGGTGAGCAGGGCTCAAATTAGTTCCTGACAAGGGTCACGTTGGGGCCTTTCTAGAGAGTGCAGATGTGTGGAGAGATCCAGGGTGATGGGGACCACAGCCACAGGCCACACTCAAGCTGCCCTGAGAGATTCAGCCACCCAGGCCTAGAGAGGCAAAGGGGCTGCCAAAGCTGGACATGGAGGAGCTAGGGAAGGGGCCCCTCTCTGTGCCCATGGCCAGGGTGTTTCCCCCATCCCTGGGAGCTTCCCCTGGTTTATTTCAGAGTAAAGAGAAGCGAGAGAGGCCAGGAGACCCCAGGGGTCAACAGCCAGCTTCCTCCCCGCCTCCTGCCTCCCTGTAAAGCCCAACTTCCCAGGCTAGCACTAGGGTTAAACAGGCACAGGAACTGGGGCCCCTCCCCGACTCCCCCTTGTCAGTGGGCAGAGCTTCTTGGCTCAGCACTTGGGAGGGAAAGCCTCCAGGGCTGGTGGCTGCAGAGGCTCAGGATGCCAAGGGCTGACTCCAGGAGGCTGAACAGAACTGCAGGTGAGGTGGGCAGTGAGACCCCCACACCACACCTTTGGCAAAGCTCCAGGATGCCCTCTTCCAGGAAGCCCTCTCTGACCTCCTAGTTTGGGTTAAGTACAGTTGTGCCCAAGTTGCCCGGGTGGCTGAAATGGTCAGCTCCACTCAGACCTCCCCTCTTCCAGGAAGCTGTTTTTGGGACACACCCTGCCCCTGCTGCCCCGCCCGCCAGTGCCCCTCACCACAGGCCTCTCTCTCTCATTGCTGGGATGATGATAGCAGAGGGGCATCTGCTGAATGGCCAGGCTGCACCAGCGTGTTCACGCCCTTCATTAGCTTGCCTTGCAGATGAGAAAACAGGCTCTCAGATGTATCCGCAACTGCCCAGGTCACATGGCCAAGGCTGCTGTCAGGGTCCAAGGGCACACGCACCCCTGAGCTGGCCCCTTCGACTCCAGGGCAAGGGTGCTGAATGAAGCCCTTTCCTCCACCATATGCAAAGGCAGCCTCGCCACTTAAAAAACAAAGAACACTTTATTCCCTTGACAGTTTCTGTACAGCGACACCAGGCTGTGCAAAGCCCAGTGTCGTCTTCACTGAGCACATTCCCCAGGACGCCTGGTGCAGCCCTCCTCTGCCCCAGGCCCCAACTAGCCACCCCTGTGCCCACTAGCAGGCCCTGTGCCTTCACAGGGATGAAGCCCTGGCACTGAGAATGCCTGGGAGGCACCGTTTGCTGGGGAGCAGAGGGACTGACCTTTGGCTTCTTTGTGGCTGGAGGTGTTCCAGGCCTGGTGAGGGGGTCCCATACTGTTCTCTGCTGAGCCCTCTGCACACTTTGGGGGATCCTGGCTGGCGGTGGTAGGTGGGCCGGAGACTCAGTTGTCCGTCAGCTGGCCATGTCCCCATTTTATGGACAGGCAGCCTGAGGCCCAGAGGCGGAAGGATTTCTCCTTGCCACAGCTGCATCACACTTGAACTGTCCAGACCTCCACCGCTGGCCTGTTTGCTCCCCACCCTAGTCCCGCAGGCTGATATGGTGCCTCCAGCAGACTCCATGGCTTCCCGGAGGGTGCAGGGTCCCCAGTTCACCCTCCAGCAGGAGTGGCAGCAGCTGGGGTACCCCTAGCAGTGGCATGTGGAGAAGCTGGGGTATGCAGAGGATCCAGTTCTGTGACACCAGGAGGCACACCAAGTTTTCCTCTGTCCCTAACACAGACCAGAGGGGTGGCCCACCACCCCCCCGGGTGGAGGATGTGTGGAGTTAGAGGTCCCTGGGTGGCCCCTTGGTTGGCCATCAGAGACCCCCGGGAGCCAGCCTGCAGGGCAGGAGCACAATGACGTGGCCAGGATCCCAGAAAGGGGCTGGAGTGTCTGCCTCAGTTTCCAGGATAACGGTGCAATGGCCTCAGCCAGGCCAGGTGCTGGCTGCTGCTGGGAATAATCTCTGAGCTTCGTGACTCTACAGTGTGGGCATGAGGGTCCTTATTTCATAGATGAGAACACTGAGGCAAGTGCAGTTCTCGGCCAAAACTACCCAGCTGATCAGCAAAATTCAGCCCACGTCTGATAGACTCCACAGCTCGCAGCATCCCAGCAGGAAGCAGGGCAATCGACTCAGGGGCCAATTTATGTCCCAGGTTTCTGAGAAGGAGCCCTGGGGAAGGAGGGCGGGGTGAGCGTCACAGGCTGGAGGGCTGCGCCAGGGCAGGCCCCGCAGGGGCGGCGGGCACAGCCTCGCCCTCGGGCCCGGCCTCCTCGCCGCGCGCGTAGGTGAGCACCACCGTGACGGTGGCGAAGGTGGCAGCGTTGACGGGGAAGGCGCGCAGCAGCGTGGACGCCAGCCCCCGTGTGAAGACGCGCCAGCCCTCGGCGCGGTAGCTCTGGTGCACGCAGTCCAGGATGCCGCGGTAGCGCGGGGCGCCCCGCAGTCCGTCCGCCTGCAGCCGCGACTTGACCACGTCCACAGGATAGGTAGAGAGCCAGGACACGATGCCTGACGTACCGCCCGCCAACAGCAGCTTGGGCACCAGCAGGCGGTCGCCCGGCTCGCAGCCCAGCGCCCGCGTGAGAGCGTCATAGGTGAGGAAGTAGACGCCGAAGCTGGGCGTCTCACGCAGCAACGTGGACACCATGCCCCGGTTGACGCCACGCAGACCCTCGTGCCCGTAGATCTGCGCGAGGCAGTCCAGCGAGCCCTTGTAGGTGCGCGCTGGGCCCGCGTCCTGCAGCTGCAGCCGCGTCTTGGCCAGCTCCATGGGGCAGCAGATGACGCACTGGATGGCGCCCGCCGCCGCACCTGCCAGGAACTGGTTGAGGGGCGAGTCGTGGCCCAGGGCCCGGAGGGTGTTGCCCTGCACCCCGAACACCAGCGCGTTGATGAAGGTGAGCCCCATGAGCGGCGAGCCCAGGCCCTTGTACAGGCCCAGCACCTGCGGGGACAGAGACGCCATCAGAGCCGGCAACGCGCACCTCCCGGGCCCTCCACGCGGAAGGGGGTCGGGGGATGGCAGCCCCAGCCCACCCCAGGGGCTCCTGAGGACCAAGCAGAATTTCGTTAGAACCTAGGTCCTGACTGGCCTCCTGGTCGTCCTGACACCTTCCTTCCTGGCTCTCTGGTCTGGGGTGGTGGCAGCCCGGAAGCTAGTTCCCCATCCTGTGCCTCCCGAGCCCCACCAGCCCAGGCCACTCACGCTCTCTTGCTTGATGATGGACTTGAAGCAGTGCAACGTCCCGCGGTACTGAGGCTTCTCCACGCTCTGGACCTGAAGCCGTACCTGGAAGGAGAGGGTCCAGTGAGAGGCAGGCAGGCAGGACCAGAGCACCCAGCTCCCGGGTCTGGTGCTTAGGCTGCCTAGGAGGGTCTCCCAAGGAGGCCGGGCACTCAGGCACAGTCTAAGACTTTTGTAATTCCAGGGCAGGGTGGGCCGGGTATCTATGCCTTCTCAGGATGGGGTGCCAGTAGGCAAACAGCTAAAGGGACAGGCTGCTGGAGACAGGGTAGGGGGTCCCCAAGATCTCAGACCAATTCAGGTTAAGCCTCTTGTTTACACTATGGCTGCACAGTGCACTGCCAGTGGGGCATGAACGACCTCCTGAGACTGGCCCGTTCTCCAGGTGATGCTTGTCATACTGCTGAGTGAGCGGCCCATGTCCCAGACTAGGCTGAAGGGCCCCTGCCCTAATGTCCCATCAGAGACTGGCTTCGAGGCAATAGGCGCAAAAAGTGATGAGCCTGGCCAGGTGCAGTGGCTCACGCCTGTAATCCCAACACTTTGGGAGGCTGAGGTGGGTGGATCACTTGAGGTCAGGAGTTCAAGACCAGCCTGGCCAACGTGGCGAAATCGTGTCTGTAAAAAAAATTAGCCTAGTGTGGTGGCATACGCCTGTAATCCCTGCTACTCAGGAGGCTGAGGTGGGAGAATTGCTTGAACCCGTGAGGCAGAGGATGCAGTGAGGTCATGCCACTGCACTCCAGCCTGGGCGAGAAAGGAACATTCCATCTCAATAAATAAATAAATAAAAATAAAAGCAATGACCTTGGCTCCAGGAGCTCCTGCCTGGTCTCTGCCAGTAGCCTCTCGTGAGAACAGCAGTTATGAGTTAATAGAGTGGTGGCAAGAGAACAGCCAACAACCTCCTTGGGGACCCACGTCAGCAGCTCTGGGGCCTGGGGCGCTGGTCAGGCCCCGCTGCCTCCGAGCCCAGTGGCCCAGAACCTCTTCCATGTCAAAGTGCTCTTTGTTGCCTATGAGCTTATCTTTGCTCAATAGGAGGCTCAGAGTTGCAGAGCGGGCGGTGGGAGTAAACTAGGTCAAGTCACATTCTCAGGGGCTGGTTCCCTAGGTCTGACTCAGAAATGATCATTCTTACAGCCAGGGCCACAGAGCAAGTGCCTTCGGTACTAGGCAGCATGGGACAGGGGAGGGCTTCACACTCAATTATCTCGGCATTGGGACAACTGCCCCCATTTCCAAGATGGGAAGACAGGCTCAGAGATGTTTAACAACTTGGCCAAAGCTGTCCTCTCCAGGGACATGAGCAGCTGTGTTGCTCAGAGTGAGGGTGGGAGGGAGTGCTAGCAAGGGAGAGCCCTCACCGGGAACAGCCAGGCTTCTGCCCGGATTCTGGAACCTTTTCCAATTCTCTCCACCAGAATAGGTGGGCCCTCTATTGGTGAATGCACTTATAAAAAATGTTTTGTTAGGAAACAAGTACCATCTCAGTACCCCCAGGACCTCAACAGCTGGAAGCCAATGCTTCAAGATTGGCCCGAAGCACCCTCCCACCCTGGAGGCCCAGTTCTTGGCCAACACCTTGATGCGAGGTTTGCTGCTCTCCCTTCAATGTTCTGGGGCCTCTGGGGGGATCTCTGTTCCTCCTGCAGCCCCAACACTGGCACTAAGAGGGCTGTGTGAGTAGAACTGATGTGACATGGAGCTGTCCCTTCCCAGGTTGGATACTCAGTGCCACCTGGGTAGTGTTGTGAAGTCTTTGCAGATCACAGACACTGGTGAATGCCCAAGTCCAGCCGGCTGGGGAATGTCAGGCTTAGGTCAACTCAGCTTCTCCCACCAATGTGGGCAGAGGCCTCTCCCCACTTTGTTTCTGACCCCTCAGTACC
The DNA here is from genome assembly GCF_000001405.40 of Homo sapiens. Lineage (NCBI taxonomy): Eukaryota > Metazoa > Chordata > Mammalia > Primates > Hominidae > Homo > Homo sapiens. The sequence goes on from NC_000014.9 coordinate 100,295,225, forward strand.
CCTCAGTCTGTGACGAGCCCTTGCTCTCTGGGAGAGGAACTGTGGCCCAGTGTCCCAAGTCTTGTCATTTATAGCTCAGGCTCTTAAAATCTTGGGGTGCCAGGCTCTCCTTTGAGGATTGATGGGAACGGACCCACCCCTGGGAAACTAGTCATTTGGACACAAGTTTAGGAAGCTCCCAGCTCCCCATAGGGCCGAGAGACCCCCACATGAGGACCCCCAATCCAGAGGGGGCTGATTTTTTTTGGCCAGCCCGAGCCCCCACCCCAGGACCTGTGCTGAGCCCAAGCTTGCCTCACACCCTCCCTGTCCCCTGCTACGGAGGGAACTCTGGGGTTGGGGAGATGGGCATGACAGGGTGGGGTCCAGGCTGGGATCTGGTTCACCTGGTCTGTACTTACTAGCGCTCTCCAGGGTGAGGCTTACGCCCATCTACAACAAAGTTACACTTTTGCTATGGATGGAGACAGCCCCTAGCTCAGAAAGTAAAGGCGGTTAAAGCAACACAAAATTTCAACATCACATCCAGGCGCGGAGCCCCCACAGCCAGCCCCCACCCACACTCCCCATCCCATGCCCAGGGATGGCCGGTCACCCCCTCATCATAGGTCAAGACAACTGCTCCCTGATTATTGCTGTGTCCAAGGAAGCAGGACAGAAAACTCCCTTCGTGTAGAAACGTGTGAAGGCCGTGTGCTTCAGGACGGTGGCTGTGGTTCTGGGCGCTATAGAGGAGATCCAGATCTTGGATTCTTTCAGTCCCAAGGGCCTGGGGGAATAAACTGTGACTGTCCCAGCCATGAGATAGTCTGTGGCCATGTGACAGTACGGACTGACACAGACTCGGGTGGCCCCTGATGATCCTAGGGTACAGCTGCAATTATATTCAACCAGGCAAAAGGGACCCGTGGTGTTGGAAGTGAGGACAGTGGGCCAGGCCTGTCATCCCAGCACTTTGGGAGGCCAAGGCAGGAGGATCACTTGAGCCCAGTAGTTTGAGACCAGCTGGGCAACATATCAAGACCCCATCTCTACTAATAACTTCAAAAAAAACATGAGCTAGGCATGGTGGTGTGTGCCTGTAGTTTCAGCTACTTGAGAGGCTGCGGTGGGAGGATTGCTTGAGCCTGGGAAATCAAGGCTGCAGTGGGCTATGATTGCACCACTGCACTCCACCTAGGGTGACAGAGCAAGACCGTGTCTCAAAAAAAAAGGAGGAAGTTAGGCCAGTGGAAGCCTCAGAAGGGGAGGGAGGAGTTGATAGGAGCAGGAGGGAAGACTTCCAGAGGGCTGGCCATGTTCTGTTTCTCCTGGGTGGCAGCTCGCCACGCATGTGTTTTGCGACGACTTGTACACCTAGGATGTGTGCACTTTCCTTCTTTTTTCTTTTTTGAGACGGAGTCTCATTCCGTTGCCCAGGCTGGAGTGCAGTGACGCGATCTTGGCTCACTGCAAGCTCCGCCTCCCGGATTCACGCCATTCTCCTGCCTCAGCCTCCCGAGTAGCTGGGACTACAGGCACCCGCCACCACGCCCGGCTAATTTTTTGTATGTTTAGTAGAGACAGAGTTTCACCGTGTTAGCCAGGATGGTCTTGATCTCCTGACCTTGTGATCCGCCCGCCTCAGCCTCCAGAAGTGCTGGGATTACAGGCATGAGCCACTAGCCTGGCCAGGATGTGTGCACTTTCTATATGTGCTGGACCTCAACTAAAAACAAACAGTAGCCAGGCGTGCTGGCACGTGCCTGTAATCCCAGCTACCCAGGGGGTTGGGGGGGGAACCGAGGCAGGAGAATCACTTGAACCCAGGAGGAAGAAGTTGCAGTAAGCCAAGGTCGCGCCACTGCACTCCAAACTGAGTGACAGACACAGACTCCATCTCAAAGAAAAGAAGTTCAGCTTTTTAAGGTAGGTATGTCCAGATGTGATGCTGCTGGAGCGACAGAGTGGCAAAAACAAAAACAAAACAAAACAAAAGGATCACATATAGATCTTCTCAAAGACCACCCTCCAGACGCCAGTGAAGTAGGGTCTGGGGAGTAAAATCTCATGGGCTGGAGAAACTCCTGTCCCTGAGTCACTTCAGGGGTGCTGCTCGCGGGCTCAGTGGCTCAGGACAGCAGAGCACCAGAACGAAAGTGCTCCCAGGCCTGCCAGGGGCTGCCTGAGGGGGCCGGGCAGAAGCCCAGCAGGTCTGGCCAATTCATAGCTCAGAGAGCCCAGGCCTCCACGGAGCTGGAAAGAGGAAGTGAATGTGAAGCACTTCTTGGCTGCGAGAGGCGTTCACAACACATGACCACGAGACATAAACACAGTGCAACGTGGACACTGCCAGGCTGTCCTGGGCTGCTCTGGCCTGGGGGAGGCTTCACGGGTGGCCTGGCTAGGCAGCGCGTGGGCATGGCTGGGGCCGGGGGCTGTGTGGGCAGGCTCTGCACGGCCTCACTCTCGGCAGGCCGGTGCAGCAAACGTGGGGCCGCTGCCTGCCAAGAAAGCCTGGCCCTTCAGCCTCCTCCCCAAATTGGCCTACAGTGGATAGAAGAGTTGTGGTTTTCAGAGCTAGCATTTAATCCAACATAAATTATGCTGTTGAGCACTGGCACGATGACAACGTTTGAGCCCAAAGATACAGGGACCTGCCCAAGGTCATGCAGAAAACCGGCTGGCAGAGGGGCCCGGACCTGCACAAGGCCCAGGGACAGAGCTTTTTAAGGTCACAGCCAATGCAAAGGCCAGACCCTCACTCTTGTGCTGGATGCAATCCACCCCTTATGGTAAGTCACTGTCTCTGCCAACACACACCTAGGCTCACCAGAAAAGGAGACTGGAAGTCTCCCGCAAACCCAGCTCAGGGTGCGCATCCTGCCTTGCCGTCAGCTGTGCCTTTGCTCAGTGGGAAGAGCGGCCACGTGTAGCGCTGCCAGCAAGCACAAGGCTGGTCTGGTGCCTGCCACTCACAGCTTGCCCTGGGGCCAAGGAAAAAGAGCAAGGAAGGGCCCCGCTGGGCTACTTTCAGAACACACAGCCCAACCACAAGCGGAGGGTGGGGGGTTTATTGGGGAATTTCCAGCTGGAGGGCATAGATTTCCTTGGTTTCCGTTCTGGGGGTCTGAGAACCTGGAACTCCGGTTCATGGAGGTGTGGGGTGTTATCAAGGAACCGGCTAACAGGGCCCTTCCTCAGGCCTCTGGCACGTGGGAAACCATCACTGGATTCTCTGTAAGGATGATCACCACTCCGTGAAGATCATGTTCATGGGAGATATGAGTTTTGGTTTTTTTTGTATTTTCTCTCTGAACTTTTCTTTCTTTCAAGGAACTGTTTGGGAGAGTTCTGCATGGGAACATGTGGGTGCCCTTGCTCTGGGTGGGAGAAAACCTCAGCACCTCGGTTCCAGCTGGCCAAGCCCAGGATGGACTTGGCCATGAACCCAGCATGTGGATCAGCCCCAGCTGGGAGATGCCAGGACAAAGCAGTGAGGAAGGTTCAACCCGGCCTGGTGTAAAAGCAGCTGCCCACCTGGGGCTGTACACGGAAACAGGCTTCCAGCCACCCCAACCCTGTGAGCCTCTCTCCAATGTACGCGCCGAGGAAAAAAAAGCAGCGATGAGACTCACCTTGACCGTGTCAAACGGGTGTCCCACAAGCACGCCTGCCACACCTGGAGGAGGAGAGGGGGACTTGTGACCCACATACCTCAGAAACACAGTGCAGGGTGCTGGGCAGGAGGGGGTTCTGACAAGGAAGACTGGCAGGAGCTGCTGCCGGGGAAAGGACATTGACCAAGCACCTGTGGGTGCAGCAGGCAGATCCCATGAGCCCCTGGAATCCTCACGTCCACTGGGAGGGTATGCATGTGACATCCCAAGGCCAAGCCAGCACCTGTCCCACTCAGCACTGGTGTCCCATCTGCAGGCTGCTGCTCTCCGCGGCTGACTGGTCTGGGTGGCTGACAGCAGAAGTTGTCCCCTGGGAGGCTGCACACACTATTTCTGGGATATCCCATTAATCCAAACACCTGACATGGGCAGGAGGCTCCAGAGATGTTGGACTTTGGGGTCAGACCCTCCCCAGATTTGAATTTTCCCCCTGCCGCTCATCAGCCTGGCGTGCTCACAAATGACTCTGTCTCTGGGCCTCACTCTGGGCCTTACCTGTAAAGGTTTACCTCCCTCCCCCAGAGTGGCCACGGAGACTGAACAGGGTAATGGCCCCTTGGGAGTGACGACCCCAGGTCCTGATGCACTGGCTGATACCTCCGTCCCCTTCCCTCAGTGGGAGCCACCTTGAGCCCAGGGAGACAGCTTGTGACTGTGCGGTCATCCTTGGTTCTTCAGGTCCTGCCAAAAATCCAGCCCCTCTTGAAGGACAAAGGTTCACCCCTCCAAAATGGCTCACAAACACTTCTCCAGAGTCCTAAATGCTGTGCAGGTGGTAACCATCTCTGAGTCTTGCCACCACTGTGAGTAAGCAGCCTCATTACCCATTTCACAGGAGAAACAGGCTCAGTGAGGTCAGGTAACTGACTCTGACTCCCATGCTCCTCTCCCTGGAGTTTCACGTGGACATCTGTTCAAGCTCTCCCTTTACTGCCAGTAGCGTTTATGTATAATTAAAACAGCTGGCATCTGCTGAGTAACAAACTAACATTACGACCCATTCTCACTCTTCCACTTGATGCCTGTGGAAGTTACTATGCATCTCCACAAATTGAACTTTGTATCTTTACCTAACATCCTATCCATCCTTTAATACTTTGGACCTGGCCAGGTGTGGTGGCTCACGCCTGTAATCCCAGCACTTTGGGAGGCCAAGGTGGGCAGATCACTTGAGATCAGGAGTTCAAAACCAGCCTAGCCAACATGGTGAAACCCCGTCTCTACTAAAAATACAAAAATTAGCCAGGTGTGGTGGCGGGTGCCTATAGTCCCAGCTACTCAGGAGGCTGAGGTGGGAGAATTGCTTGAATCCAGGAGGCAGAAGTTGCAGTGAGCTGAGATCGCGCTACTGCACTCCAGCGACCCAGAGAGCAAGACTCCGTTTCAAAAAGAAAAAAAAGTTTGGACCCTAAAACCCACTTGATACTCACTTTAACTTTGCCAGTTCTGCTTTCTCTTTGGTTACATGTGACTGGTATGGTTTTGTCCAACTTGTAATTTTGGTGTTTTTGTTTTTTGAGACAAGATCTCACTCTGTCACCCAAACTGGAGTGCAGTGGCATAATCTTGGCTCACTGCAACCTCCACCTCCTGGGCTCAATCGACCCTCCTGCCTTAGCCTCCCAAGTAGCTGAGACAACAGGCATGAGCCACCACACCCAGCTAATTTTTGTAATTTTGGCAGGATGGGTCTTGCCATGCTGCCCAGGCTTTGTTCAAGAAAACTCCTGACTTCAAAAAAAGCCAAGCCTCCCAAAGTGCTGGGATTACAGACATGAGCCACTGTGCCCAATGTGTAGTTTTGAACCTTTTCTTACTATCTTCTTTTAGATGTTTGTTGTAAACAACTGTATCTGGATTTTGTTTTCTAACCCAGTCTAAAGCAGTCTGATTTTGCTGGAACAACTGAGGGATCTGACATTTTTATGCCACTTTATTTTATGTAAATGGTTTATTTTACTCCTTTTTCCATACTTTTGATGGTTTGGGAAAATTACTATTTATTCCCTTTCTTTTATTTATTTTTTATTTTTTGAGACAGAGTCTCGCTCTGTCGCCCAGGCTGGAGTGTAGTGTTGCGGTCTCGGCTCACTGCAAGCTCCACCTCCCGGGTTCATGCCATTCTCCTGCCTCAGCCTCCCGAGTAGCTGGGACTACAGGCGCCCGCCACCACACCTGGCTAATTTTTTGTATGTTTAGTAGAGACAGAGTTTCACCATGTTAGCCAGGATGGTGTCGATCTCCTGACCTTGTGGCCCGCCCACTTTGGCCTCCCAAAGTGCTGGGATTACAGACTTTAGCCACCACGCCTGGCCTATTCCCTTTCTTTTTTTGAGAGTCTTGCTAGTGCCGTTGCGCGATCTGGGCTGACTGCAACCTCTGCCTCCCAGGTTCAAGTGATTCTCCTGCCTCAGCAGGACTACAGGCCCACCCCACCACACCCAGCTAATTTTTGTATTTTTAGTAGAGAAGGGGTTTCGCCATGTTGGCCAGGCTGGTCTAAAACTCATGACCTCATTGATCCGCCTGCCTCGGCCTCCCAAAGTGCTGGGATTACAGGCGTGAGCCACCACGCCCAGCTATTTATTCCCTTTCTAATTGTTAATTTGTAATTTCAGCAAAGGGTTACTTCCTGCTTTTTATTTTTATTTATTTATTTTTTGAGACCTAGGCTGGAGTGCAGTGGCACGATCTCGACTCACTGCAAGCTCTGCCTCCCAGGTTCACGCCATTCTCCTGCCTCAGCCTCCCGAGTAGATGGGAATACAGGTGCCCGCCACCACGCCTGGCTAATTTTTTGCATATTTAGTAGAGACGGGGTTTCACCTTTGTTAGCCAGGATGGTCTCGATCTCCTGACCTCGTGATCCACCCGCCTCGGCCACCCAAAGTGCTGGGATTACAGGTGTGAGCCACCACGCCCGGCACTTCCTGCTTCTAATACGTCTAATCATTATATAGAAACAGGGTAAGCACCGCCTCCCCCACGACTCTCTGCCTCCTTCTGCCCCACCCACCCCAGTAAGAGCTACCCGAAGAAGGCTCCCATCCCTGCCACCTTCCATTGACATTTTCCTCATTGAGACCGTGAGACTCAATGCACAACGATGCCCTCTCCTTCAATCTTGGGGTCTCTACTCATCAACTGCCATTTCATTAGAGCCTTTCTTTTTTTTTTTTTGAGACAGAGTCTCACTCTGTCGCCCAGGCTGGAATGCAATGGCACAATCTCAGTTCACTGAAACCTCCACCTCCCAGGTTCAAGTGATTTTTGTGTTTCAGCCTCCCGAATAGCTGGAATTACAGGCTCCCGCCACCACACCCGGCTAATTTTTGTATTTTTAGTAGAGGCGGGGTTTTGCCATGTTGGCCAGGCTGGTCTTGAACTCCCGACCTCAAGTGAGCCACCTGCCTCGGCCTCCCAAAGTGCTGGGATTACAGGCTTGAGCCACCAAGCTCGGCCCAAAATCTATTTCTTTCTTTTTTTTTTTTTTTTTGAGATAGTCTTGCTCTGTCACCCAGGCCGGAGTGCAATGGCGCGATCTCGGCTCACTGCAACCTCTGTCTCCCGGGTTTAAGTGATTCTCCTGCCTCAGCCTCCTGTGTAGCTGGGACTACAGGTGCGTGCCACCACACCCAGTTAATTTTTATATTTTTAGAAATGGGGTTTCACCATGTTGGCCAGGAGGGTCTCGATCTCTTGACCTCGTGATCCACCCATCTCAGCCTCCCGAAGTGCTGGGATTACAGGTGTAAGCCACTGAGCCCGGCTCAAAATCTATTTCTTAATCTGGTTGGGGAACAGTATGAATGCTCTGGTTGAGAATCCTGGGCCCAGGCCAGCCTTGGTCCTCTGGCTTTCAGTGCTGCAGATGAGAAATCTGCTGCCAATGTTTTTTTTTTTTTTCTCCTTTGTCAATGGTTTATTTATTCTGTGGGAGGTCGCTGAGATTTTATCTGTGGATTTCAAGAATGTCACCAGGAGATGCCAAGGGTGTGTCTTTTTCTTTAAAGTAACCCTGCCTGGAGCTCTACCAACACTTTCACTGTGCAGACTCATGCCCTCTTCTGATCAGGGAAAATTTCCACTATTATTTATTCATCATATTAATCATCTCCAGACCTGTTCCTTCTTCTTCCAGAGCCTCTAACATTCACAGGTGAATGAAGAAGCAACCACCAAGCCTATCTTTTCTTTCATGACTTCCATTTGGGTTTCTGATTTTCTGGGAGGCCTTTGCATCCTGGAAACAGGAAATCCATCCTCTTTTCCACTTCAGCTTTTTAATTTTCTAAAGCTGAAAATCCTCGTTCTAGAACCTCTTTTCTTGGGAAGTATCTGGATTTCCCTCGGTTTTGGAAACTGAACACTTGCCCAGGATGTGCCACTGGACTTTACTTCTCCCTCCAGCAGGGGGCCCCTCGAGGCCCCTCCATGTCCCTTGAAGCTAGGTCCAGCTGTGGGGTCCCCTTCCTGTGGGTGCATGGTCACGCCTCTGGCCCCAGACCTGCCCAGGTGACAGCAACAGCAGCAAGGCGTGGGAGGGAGAGAGCAGAAAGACCCTTACGCCACTTGCCTCTGTTGGGAGGCCCCACTCCCACAAGGCCCCACTCAAGTCTCCCAGGAGAGGCACTGGTTCCCACTTTCTCTTCTGACTTGTTTCAGCACCCTTCGGCGAGGGGCTTGGTCTCCTTCACCCAGAAGAACCCATCCTCAGGAACAGTGTGGGCTGTGGGGCCGGCCTCCATTGGAGGAGCCTCCTCACCACCTTTCTGAGCGCACGAGGAGGCCTCCAGTCACACCAGCAGAAGCGGAACCCTGTCTCCCAACTCCAAAGCCTACTGTCTACTGTCCTCCCTAAGCTGGGCTCCGGAGGCAATCCCCAACCAGTAGTCCTCAGGGCTGGGCGGGGTGGGGAGGAACCACTGTCCTGGGGATGGCTGGTAGCAGAGGTAGTGGAAGAGGCACCCTTCCCTCTTGGGGTTACCTCTCCTCCCGGGTTCTCCCACCCCTAGCTGAGCTTTTCTCTCTGCGCCTGCTTCTGTCCATCCAGAGCCCAGTGTCTATGTGGCCTCAAGATTTGGGTTGATCCCCCAGTAGGGGAGAGGGGGAGGCATTCCAAACCTTCCACCATGCAAGGCCTCAAGGATGCTGTCAGTCAAGATGCTGGCCCCGCCTCCCTGAGAAGTTAAAACACGTGACCCACACTAGGCGAATAGTAGGGGGTGGACAGTCCCCCTCCCCAGCCACCAAGGAGAAGCACTGGCATTATCTGCCCTGAGCCTGTAGGTTGGGGGCACCCCAAGAAGGAGCCAGGCAGGGGCTGCTGGGGTACGGGTCCCAAGGTGGGGTGCCTCTGGGCAGGCTGTCAGTGTGACCCCAGCTGTGCCAGGGACCTGGAGCCTGGGACACAGTCAGTTCACTGTCCTGAGGGGCCACCCCAGCACCCTGGAGTAAGGGGGAGAGGAGAGGACTGCAGGCTCACCCTGGCCATCAGAGGAGCATGTGGTGTGACTTTGCTTTAGTACCCCCACCTCTCTGGGCCTAGGTTTCTCCGATGAGACCAGGAGTGAGCCCCCAGGTGACTTCTGTCCTTGTCCACCTGGGAGGCTCAGGCTTACGCTTGTAGAGCCTTAGCTGGGTGGCCATTATGTGCCTGGGGGTTGCACGAAAAGCAGGGCCTGGGGGCAGGGGGGTGGCCTGTGCCCCAGTGCTACAGCACCAGACAGTGCCAGTCCTTGACCCACAAACCTGGGGCAGGGGGCATGGATATGATCTCTCCCAGGTGGGCCTATGAGGATGGGCAGCGAAGGACATTCCAGGCAAGGAGGCTGCGCGAGCGACGTGCAGAGGAGACCACAGATGTGCCGGGAGGCGCCAAGCAGGCCTGCTTTCAGGTGAAGTGTTCCTGCCCCAAACCCCGGTGTTTCCAGGAGGGCAGCACGGACGGTAGCGCCACTGCAGAAGGAACTCTGCCCATCCGGGGAAAGAATCCCCACTCCCCAAAGCCTGGAAGGAGGTGTTGGCCTGGGGACAGCCCTTCACCCCCACCCGCTGGAGCTGATAGTGGGTGGGGAGCAAGGGTGGAGCAAACAGCGAGATCAGAAGCGGGAGGGGAAGGTGAGAATGGAATCCGCAGAGGACACGCCCCCTCTGTCTCCAGGGCACCCAGCGATTAGCAGCAAATTCTGGGCTTTGTGCCCCGCAGCTTCCCACTGGGTAACCGACCGGGAAGTTCTAACTCCCCTCAGCGCACAACACCTCCCCAACACACTCCCTTTTCAACGAGTCTCTCCCCCAAGAAGCAGGCTCCGACGCCACAGATTTAATACTTAAGGCCACCGCTACCCACTCTTCCGCCAGGGCTCTCAGCGCTGGCCGGGAGCTGAGGGTTTATTCGAGCCAAATCCAAGTAGATGAAGAGGCGGTGAACAAGGGCAGGTGCTGGGAGAAAAGTGGGACCAAACAGGGATAAGCGGCCGGCCCTCTCAGCAACTCCCGCCGCCAACCACCCTCCCCCGCCCCCGACATCTAAATCCTGGTGAATAAATTAACCCTCAAGGTAAAAGCAGAGAAGCCAGAGGCCCAACAGGGAAGTGCCGTGCCCGACGCCCACGGTCGGGGCATGGGAGAGCCTGGACTGCACGCCCGCCCGGGCCCTCCCGGGGACAACTGCATGGGAGGAACCCCAGAGCCGCGACCGCGCCTCGGAGAAGGTGCCCCACACCGGCTCGCCCGACCCACCCACCACCCCCCTTCCGCCCCCAACAGCTCACAAAACCGCGTAGGAAGGGGCGGCGTTCCAAGGCGTGACTCGGCGCCAGAGTGGTTCAGTGCCCTCCAAGGCCAGCCGAGTAGGGGGTCGGCTCCGTAGCCCCAACCCCGCTGGATGGCTGCGCGGGACGGGGTGGAGTCAGTCCCGAAATATACGGCCGGGGGAGGGGACCCTGCTCCCAGTGCGCAACGGATGGGGATGGGGGAGGGGAAGGAGATGAGCCCGGGACCTCGGCGCGGGGGGCAGTGGGGCATCCTCCCGGCAGTCCTGGCCTCCGCTCAGCCACGGTGCTGCCCCGGCGCCCCAGACCTCCCGTCCGAGCGTGCCCAGAGAGAATAAAGACACCTGCCCTCGCGGACAGCCCGGGCCTGAAGTCAATTTACGCCCACGAGACCCGCCCGAGGCAAGAGAACTGTGGTCCCCATTCACAGACGCGGCGACCCCCGCCAGCGGGAAGCCGCGAGGCCAGGGCGTGCTGGTGGGCCGACCTCCCTCCCCGGACGCCTCGCCCCGGCCCGGCCCGGCCCGCCGCCTCCTTACCCCCCGCGCATCCAGCCAAGAAGTCCAGCGCCATGGCCGGGTCCCCGGCGAGGCCGCCTTTCCTCCTCGTCCTCCCCCTGAGGCCCCTCGCCGGGCTGGGCGCCGTCGGGGTCCCCGAGCGCGCGGTGCCGGGGCTGGGCCTGGCCGCTCCTCCTGGCGCGGAGCCCGGGCAGGCGCGGTCAGGGATGGTGGGGATGGCGGCAGCAGCTAGACCCGCGCTGGTCCCTCGGCGGCAGCTGACTCGCTGGATCCCCTCCGGCCCGCGGTCCCTCACCTCGGGCCGCGCGCCCCGCCCCTCGTGCCTGCCGGCAGGGCCCGGGTGGGGGCGCCGAGTGAGGCCAATGGGCGGGCACGGCGCGGACAACACCCCGGGCACTGCGCTTCGCCGCCGCGCCTCATTGGCCGGGCGTGCGCGGGAGGCGGGGCGCGGGGGACGTGGTGGGCGCGCGGGCGGGGCGCGGGGACGCCTCAGACAAAGAGCGCGCTGGGTGCGCAGGTCCGGCGGGAGGGGACGCGCGGGGTGGCGGGGTTGAGCCGAGGACTCCCCCACCCGGAGTACGCGGGGTGGCTCTGGTCTGGACCGGGTCGGGAACCGGACCCTGGGTTCGGAGTCCGGCGCCGCCGCAGAACCTCAGCGCCCTAGTCTGTGCCGTGCGGACCCTGCCGCGAAAACGGCCGTGGAGCGCCGGGACGTTCCGAGGCCCGCAGACTGGGACGCCGCTAGTTGCGAAACTCCGCGAGCGGGAATCGCCCGTGGGGAGCCTCTGCCCGTCCCGCCTGCGCGCCCGCGGCGGCGGTGGCCTCCGGGGCTTCCGGACTCCTGGCCGAACCCGCCGGGTTCTGGGGGTCGGACGCGCACGGGCGCTTCCTGCGGAGCCTGAGGCTGGGATTTGGGCGGAGAGCAGGGAACCTTAAAAGGGAAAGGGGCCATGGGCAAAGGGCGCAGCAGGCCTTCGGGCCACAGCTCCTTCCCGAGGACTGCGGGTCGCGGGAGCCGCGGAAGGTTGTGGAGAGAGGGAGGTTCCTGGACTGGGCTGCAGAGTGGAGTCGGGCCAGATCGCAGCGCCTCCGTCAGCGGCGGCCGGACGGGGCGAGACCGGAGGGGCTCGGTAGGGGCCGCGCTCAGGCGCTGAAGTCGGAGGGTGCTTGGCTCTGGGTCACCAGGGTATCCATGGGCTGCGGGGATGAATGAGAGCCGAGTCTGACTCGGCCCCCCAGGAGTCCCTGACATTCGCAGTGGCAAGGGACTGCCCTGGTCCCTGTGGAGCGTCCCATTCGGTGACTTCCCACCAGCCCTTCCCCAGCGCCTCTGGAGGTCCAGACTGTCAGGTTGGAGCCTGGGAGCAGGGACGGGCCAGGCGCTTTCTCTTCGCTGTAGGAGTCAGATCAGCCTTAGGCCGGGCCCAGCTTCCTTCTTTAGGGCCTGCAGGCAGGCAAGGCCACACCGTGTGCCACGTTTCCAGGTTTAGGGTCACATGGTTCTTTTATCCAAATTCCAGTGGGTACCTACCTCCTGGAGGTGCAGGTCGAAAGGTTCTGTGTATTTGGTACTAGGACACACAGGTAGGTGTTGTCAGTAGTGCAGCCTGGTGCTAGGGGCAGGGGTCCCCAGTGCTCATGTTAGTTTCCTTTTAGAGTCTAAGTAGAATGTTAAGCAGAGACCCAAACCCTAGGTCTGCTGACTCCTAGTCCAGGGCTCGTGATGGCTGGTGGGCCCTGAACGAGGGGTCTGGAGGCCTGGGTTTGAATATCGACAGCCTCTCTGACCCACTTGGTTGCCTCAGGGAGGCAGGTGTGCGGATGGGGGAGAGTGGCCCATGGGCCAGAAAAGCAGTGGTATGGGGGCCCCAAGAGAAGCCCAGACCCAAAAGGGCAGGAGCTGGCTGTGGGGCTACTCAGGTGGCTGGAGGCCTCCTGCAGACACAGTGATTACACTGGACTACCTACATGTAGTCACTTACCTTAGGAACAGGATGTCCTTGGGATGCTGGAGGGCTCATGAGGTAAAGCACAAATCCCTGCACATCCATTCCTGGTTGAGGAGGTTTGGGAGGGAAATCCAGTACCTTGACAGCATGTGGCAGTAGTGAGAAAATGATGGAAACGGATAAGGAGACAAGCATGACCTGTTTTGCTTTGTTATTGAGAGAATGCACATGCCTTGAAAATTATGCTTGGGGCAGGTTGCACTGAGCTGTCAGTCCCTGGGGTCCTTGGGAAGGGGCCTAGTAGCCTGGTAAACAGTAGGTATTCCATAGTTGAGCTTCAGAAACCTCCTTGAGGCTGGGTTCAGTGGCTCATGCCTGTAATCCAGGCACTTTGGGAGGCTGAGGCAGGAGGATCGCTTGAAGCCAGGAGTTTGAGGCCAGCCTGGGCAACATAGTGAGGCCCCATCTCTAAAAAAAAAAAAAATCGGCAGGATGTGGTGGCGCATGCCTGCAGGCCTGTAGTCCTAGCTACTCAGGAGGCCGAGGCAGGAGGGTCGCTTGAGCCCAGGAGGTCAAGGCTGCAGTGAGCTATGATCGAACCATTGTGCACCAGCCTGGATGACAGAGCAAGACCCTATTTCAAAAAGAAAAACCTCCTTGCAGGGAGGGTCCTTTGTTGAGAGAGCTGAGGCAGGCCGTGTGAGGGCAGCAGTGGGATCGTGCCAGGCCTGGGAGATGAGGAGTGCGGGCCCTTAGCTGTGCACTTTGCAAGGAGAGGGCAGGGTTCTGGGTGTGTGTGTGTGGTCGGGGGAGGGCTGTTGGATTTGGGGACTAAGGTCAACATGTGGGGGACAGTGGAGGACTGGGCTCTGGGACAGATTTGCCTGACCTGACCCGCCAAGGGAGCCTCAGCTCCCTTGTGGGTGACAGGGGGCTGCCTTCAGCTGGAAGTACCCTGAGGGCAGGTCCCAGGTCTGTCCCCTTCATCTTGGTGTGCCCAGGGCCTGCACAGTTGACACTGGGTGGGGGACATTGGGGAGGGGGTGAGGACAGGCACTGGAAAGGGATGCGTCCACACGGGTGTGCTGCTGGGTTACTAAACTTTGCAAAACCACATCTTCCTGAGCACCCTGTTTCCCTGCTGCCTGGGAATCATGCACTCAGTCGGCGCACTGCCCTGTGCCCTGTGTTGGGGACAAGACAGACACAAATCCCTGACCTCCATGTCAGGGCTGAGGAGAGACCAGAAAGGAGGAGTGAAAAAGTTGGTGCCAAGTAAATGAATCCGTATGCCTACATCTTGGACACTTGGGTTCAGTGTCTATTGTTTTATTTCATTTCCTGAGGATAAGGTTACAGCACAGAATGTGCTTTCTCAAACTCCCATGTTCCACAGAGCCCTGGACCTCCCATCCCAGAGGAGGCAGGGCTCTGTGCAGCCCTGAGGACCCCAGCCTTTTAAGGGGCAGGGCAGACCCAAGGCCAGCACAGGACAGCAAGGCCGGAGGGACTGTCACGGGGCACCGAGGGTCAAGCCAGCTCACTGGAAAGGGTGTGTTGGAGTTTTCCCTGTGTACAGCTTTTATTCTCACACAAGACAGGTTCAGTGTGGAGAAATCAGAAACGCCAGAAAGTAAAAAGGAAACGCAAGTCTCTGTCCCCACCCTGGAATCTTGGAGCTGAATGACCCCCTGCAGGAGCTGTTTGGGCCAGGACTTGGGGGGGGTGGCTGCAACTCAGGCTGCCAGAGGGCAAGTTGAGGGGGAGAGGATGAGGCACCAGCTGTGTAGACCTTCCCAGGAGTTAGGCTGTGCAGGGGAGAGTGCACAGAAGGGCTCTGGCAGCAAGCACAGGTGTAGACTCGGGATGGGAGCCACCTGAGCAGGTTGCAAACTCCTGGCCAAAGATTGGTGGGGCCGGCGCGCTGTCAGTCGCCTCCTGTCTCATATTGGAATACTCGAGCTCAGTGCCATGGTGTGAGGCCCAGGGTAACCAGACTACAACCTCACCTCCCACCTTTCATGCCCTCTGGCCCTCTTATTGGAGCCCACCCTCTAAGCTTGTGCCCCTCTCAGGGCCTTGGCACTGGCAGCTCCTCTGAGTCCCTGGGGTCCTTGGGAAGGGGCCTAGTAGCCTGGGATTACAGGCACCCGACACCATGCCTGGCCAATTTTCTGTATTTTTAGTAGAGATGGGGTTTTGCCATGTTGGAAGCTTCTGCCTGGCCTGGCGTCGTTACCTCTAGAACTTGGGTTCTGGCTGGGCGTGGTGGCTCACGCCTGTAATCCCAGCACTTTGGGAGGCCGAGGCGGGTGGATCATGAGGTCAGGAGTTCAAGACCAGCCTGGCCAAGATGCTGAAACCCCGTCTCTGCTAAAAATACAAAAAAATTAGGCGCGGTGGCAGGCACCTGTAATCCCACCGACTCGGGAGGCTGAGGCAGGAGAATCGCTTGAACTCAGGTGGCGGAGGTTGCAGTGAGCCGAGATCTTGCCACTGCACTCCAGCCTGGGTGACAAGAGTAAGACTCCATCTCAAAAAAAAAAAAAATACAAAAATCAGCTGGGCGTGGTGGTGCATGCCTGTAATCCCAGCTAATTGGGAGGCTGAGGCAGGAGAATTGCTTGAACCTGGGAGTCAGAGGTTGCAGTGAGCCGAGATCACGCCACTGCCCTCCAGCCTGGCAACAGAGGGAGACTCTGTCTCAAAATAAATAAATAAATAAACAAACAGGATTTGGGTTCCTGCTCAATGCTTACCTCTTCAGAAGGGGCTTGGCTGACCTGCCATGGTCTGAATGTGTGTGTCCCCCCAAAGTTCATATGTTGAAGTCCTTTTTTTTAACTTTTAAGTTGAGGGGTACATGTGCAGGGTTGTCGTATAGGTAAACCCATGTCATGGGGGTGTGTTGTGCAGATTATTTTGTCACCTAGGTATTAAGCCTAATGCCCACTGATCCTCTCTCTCCTCCCCTCCACCCTTAGGTAGGCCCCAGTGTGTTTTGTTCCTCATATGCTGAAGTCTTAACCCCGGAGGTGATGGTGTTAGAAGCAGGGCCTTTGGGAGGTGATTAGGTTATGAGGGAATGGGATTGGTGCCGTGTGTGTGTGTGTGTGTGTGTGTGTGTGTGTGTGTGTGTGTGTGAGAGAGAGAGAGAGAGACAGGGTCTCGCTCTGTTGCCCAGCCAGAGTACAGTGGTGCAGTCACAGCTCACTGCTGCCTCAACCTCCTGGGCTCAAGCCATCCTCCCACCTCAGCCTCTTGAATAGCTGGAACCACAGGGGGCAGGTCGCCACGCTGTGCCCCACCAGCTTTGCCTCCTCCCAACCTGAGCAAGGGGCGAGCAGGCAGCCTTGGAGCCCAGCCTGGTGAGAGGACCCAGACTCTGCTCTGTCCTGCTGTGTGGCCTTGGCCACAGGTTTTCCCTCTCTAGACCTCTGGGGTTGGAATTGGCCAGTGGGTCCCTGTGGGGCTGAGTTGCCGCCACCTTGGCAAACAGCTAGGAAGGCAGATTTTGAGGCCCTGCCCCAGACCTAAGAAGTCAGCCCCAGGGAGCAGGTAGAGACAAAAGCTGCGTTTAAACCAGGCTCTTTAGTGGTTCTAAGGTGGCTGTGAAACTGTGGGTTGAGACCATCTCTAAGGATAGATTCAGGAAGATCCAACTTGAAGGGGTGGGTTGCCCCTCCACACCTATGGGTGTTTCTCGTTAGGTGGAACGAGAGACTTGGAAAAGAAAGAGACACAGAGACAAAGTATAGAGAAAGAAAAAAGGGGGCCCAGGGACCGGCGTTCAGCATACGGAGAATCCCGCCAGCCTCTGAGTTCCCTTAGTATTTATTGATCATTATTGGGTGTTTCTCGGAGAGGGGGATGTGTCAGGGTCATAGGATAATAGTGGAGAGAAGGTCAGCAGGTGAACACGTGAACAAAGGTCTCTGCATCATGAACAAAGTAAAGAATTAAGTGCTGTGCTTTAGATATGTATACACATAAACAGCTCAATGCCTTACAGAGCAGTATTGCTGCCCGCATGTCCCACCTCCAGCCCTAAGGCGGTTTTCCCCTATCTCAGTAGATGGAATATACAATCGGGTTTTACACCCAGACATTCCATTGCCCAGGGACGAGCGGGTGACAGATGCCTTCCTCTTGTCTCAACTGCAACGAGGGGTTCCTTCCTCTTTTACTAATCCTCCTCAGCACAGACCCTTTACGGGTGTCCGGCTGGAGGACGGTCAGGTCTTTCCCTTCCCACGAGGCCATATCTCAGGCTATCACATGGGGAGAAACCTTGGACAATACCTGGCTTTCCTAGGCAGAGGTCCTTGCGGGCTTCCGCGGTGTTTTGTGTCCCTGGGTACTTGAGATTAGGGAGTGGTGATGACTCTTAACAAGCATGCTGCCTTCAAGCATCTGTTTAACAAAGCACACCTTGCACGGCCCTTAATCCATTTAACCCTGAGTGGACACAGCACATGTTTCTGTGAGCACAGGGTTGGGGGTGGGGTTATAGGTTAACAGCATCTCGAGGCAGAAGAATTTTTCTTAGTACAGAACAAAATGGAGTCTCCTATGTCGACTTCTTTCTACACAGACACAGTAACAATCTGAGCTCTCTTGCTTTTCCCCACACCAACTCAGACAGTTCTGCTTTTAGTCTCAGCTGGGACTCCTCCTGGCTGCGCTGACCCATGAGCCTTCCTGCCTCAGGTTTGTCATCTGTGAACCGGGCTGGGGAGAATTCTAGGGGCTGGTCTATGCACGTGGGGGCCTCACACCAAGCTGGCACAGAGCAGGGAGAGTGCCTGCCGTGCTGTTCTAGGGCAAGATGCTCTGGCTCTCTGCCCACAACTGTCCACACCTTTGCAGGAAGTGGAAGATAAGTGTGAATGTAATTAATCAGCTGAAGTCCTGAAGGCTTCCTAAGGGCATCTTCAACGGTCTGGATGGGTTGGGGGAAATCGGGGCCCCCGCAGTGGGGCTCCCGGCCCCAGCTAGCAAAGGTCCCAAACAGCTGCTGAAAACCCAGGAACAGGTCAGGTGGCGTTGTGGCCAGGGGCTGGGGCCCGAGCTGTTGGTTTGAGGCCTGGCACTGGCGAGTCATGACTGCCCAACTGGTCTCTTTCTTGCTGTGAATAAACATTTGCCGTCTGGATAAATCTCCAGCTCTCAGCCACTCAGTGGGAGTGACCCCTCTTTGCCAGGGGGTGCCCTCTGGGCCTCAGAGGCTGAAGGGCTTGGGGCCTCTTGGCACAACACATTCAGTCCCACAGTTGCCACCAAGGTGTGTGGGTTTCTTGTATTGCCATTGGTTGCAAACGTTTAGTTTCCCAGGGCTACTGTGCAGGCGAGCTGTGGGCTCTGGGCAGGCCGGGTGCCATTCAGAACCCACTTGGCCTTCAAGGGGGCCACGAAGCCTGAGGAGGCTTGGGCCAGATTATGAGAGGACCAGAAACTCAAGATGGGGAGTGACATAAATAACACATGGCGAGTGCTTCTTGGATAAAAATAGAGCTGAAGGGGGCAGGAGTGGGGGCGGGGTATGCTCCAGAGGCAGAAGGCCAGAGGGATGGTGCGGCCACCTGGTCAGGACACAGAGGGGCCGGCAAGAGGAGCTCAGCCAGGCGTCTGTGGAGACAGCGTGGGCTTGCGGCCCTTGGCCTTCCTACATTGCCCAGGGCTCACAGAATTTAGCCTCGGGGGCAGCCCTGGGACGCTGCGGGGGCCTGGCTGTGCCCTCTCTCAGGTTCCCATTGTCACAGTGGGTATGGCTGGGTGAGCAGGCAGTCCCAGGCCTCCAGTCAGGGCAAACTGGGTTGGAGTGGTAGGGTGAGCTGGAGATGGCACCTGGAGGCAGGAGTGGGCGGGAGAGGGCGGGGAGGCTGGCAGAAAGGACAACGTGTACTGAGCCCGAGGTGTGTTGGGACCAGTTACCTGCCCAGCACGTGCCGGCATCGGGCAGAGCTGCGTCTTCCTGGGGCAGCTGCGTAGGGCTCTGCTACCTGCCCCTGCTTCGGGCTCTGTCCTCTGGAGTTCCCACCGCAGCCCCATTATTGAGCTCCTCTGCCACTTGGCCCTCCAGTGTCTGCGCCACACGTGAGAGCGTGAAGGCCAGCTGGGAGCCGGGTTCACCTCCAAAGTCACTCCTTCACAGGCCTTGCTGTGCAAACGGAGGGTGGCAGGCAGCTTCCCGTTCACCCTGTCCATGTGTGGATTTTTTTCTTTTCCTTTTTTTTTTGTTTTAGAGACAGAGTCTCTGTCACCCAGGCTGGCGTTCCGAGGCCGCAATCACGGCTCACTTCAACTTTGACTTCCTGGGCTCAAGGATCCTCCTACCCTAGCCTTTCAAGTAATTGGGGCTACAGCATGCACTACCATGCCCAGCTATTTTTTCTTTTTCTTTTTCTTTTTCTTTCTTTTTTTTTTTTTTAGAGACAGAGTCTTGCTAAGTTGCCCAGGCTGGTCTCGACCTCCTTGACCTCAAAGCAATCCTCATGCCTTGGCCTCCCAAAGTGCCAAGATTACAGGTGTGAGCCACTGTGCCCATGCGTTTACTGAGCATCTTTGTGTGCCAGGCCTGGCTAGCAGGGGCGCCTGGTGAGCCTGCCTGCAGGAGGCTTCCCTTCGAAGCTGCCTCTCTTTTCCCCTCCAAGGCACCTCCTGCCTGGGATTCTGTCCTGTCTCCCCTCCTTCATCTGCCACTGCCCCACCGGGCTCACTGCCTTCCCTGGATGTGCTGTGCTGCTCCAGCCTGGGAGCTCCAAGCCCTTCCCAGTCCTTGCTGGCCTGCCAGCCTCACCCCAGCCACTCCCTGCCAAGCACGTCCAGGCCGGTGTGCCCATTAGGCATGCACTCCTACTGCTGCCTGCGAGGACGTCTCCATCTGCTTTCCAGAGGGCTCATCTCTCTTCTCTTTGCTGAAACCTCCACAACAGCCAAGACTGAGACAGGCTTCTGGGGTCCTTGCAGGGGCCTGCCACATCCATCTGTTTCCATTCCTGGCTCTTTGTGGTGGCTTGAAAATATGTCCACAAGTCTTTAGTGCTCCCCCATTTCAAGAGGCGAAACCTCACTTCCCTCCCAGCAAGCGTGGGCTGGACTTAGTGACTCGCTTCCAGTGAATAGAAAATGGTGGCAAAGACAATGCATTGCCTCTGAAACTGGGTCCTAAAAGGCACTACAGCCCCTCCTTGCTCTCCTGGATCACTCGTGCTGGGGGACATTGGTGCCATGTTGTGAGGGTGCCCAAGCAGTGCTGTGGGGAGGTCGGCAGTGTGGTGAGGAGCTGAAGCCTCCAGCCCACAGCCGTGTGAGTGGGTCACTTCGGCAGGGGTCCTCCCAACCTAGCCTAGTCTCCAGATGACTGCAGCCTCATGAGAGCCCCTCATCCAGAGCCACCCAGCCAGTTTATTCATGGCTTCTGGACCCTCAGGAGTTATGAGATCATAAATGTCGATTTTTGTTGTTTTGTTTTTGTTTGTTTGTTTGTTTTGTTTTGTTTTTTAGGAGTCTCGCTCTGTCGCCCAGGCTGGAGTGTAGTGTTGCGGTCTCGGCTCACTGCAAGCTCCACCTCCCGGGTTCATGCCATTCTCCTGCCTCAGCCTCCCGAGTAGCTGGGACTACAGGCGCCCGCCACCACACCTGGCTAATTTTTTTGTATTTTTAGTAGACACGGGGTTTCACCATGTTAGCCAGGATGGTCTCGATCTCCTGACCTCGTGATCCGCCTGCCTTGGCCTTCCAAAGTGCTGGGATTACAGGCGTGAGCCACCACGCCCTGCCAATGTCTGATGTTTAAAGCAGCTAAATTTTGGGGCAATTTGTTATGCAGTAATAGATTACACACTCTCCAGCCAGGCTGGGGCCACAGGTGGGCGAGGGTGGCATCTCTGGCTCCCCTGCCCAGCGTGGGGCCTGGCATGAGAAGGTGCACACGAGTGAATGAATGAAGGAATAACAGACAGAAGTCAATCCCTTCCTTTGCCCACATGAGCTGATATGATAGGCCCCAGGCCCTGCTCTGGAGAGGGCCTCCCTTTCCTCAGTCCAACCTCCCTGTGCCTTGGATCCAGGTGAGAACCCTGAGGTCCAGGACAAGTGGCCTTCTCAGCCCTTGCAGCCAGTGGACTCCAGGTCTAAGGACGCCTCCTGGTCAGGGCACAAAGGGCTGGAGAGCAGGGAGAAATGTGGGCAGCAGGAGATGCTGCAAGAAGCAGCCCCCCAAAAGGCTTACGGGTCTGGGGACTCTGAAGGGACAGAGCCAGGGTGTGGTGGGGGCTCAGGAACGCCAGCAGCAGGGCCTGACCTGACCTGCGTGGTCAGCCCTCTGACTTCACTTCTGCCTCTGATTACTAATACCTGTTAACCCTGCTGCAGCTGGCTGTTGTCCCCGTTCACAGATAGGGAAACCGAGGCACAGGAGTTAAGTCCATTGGCTACGGTGTCATCTGTGGCAGAGCTGGGCCTCAAATTCCAGGTCTTTTCTTGGACCTTTTTTTTTTTGAGAGTCTCACTCTGTTGCCCAGGCTGGTGTGCAGCAGTGTGAACTAGACTCGCTGCAACCTCCACCTCCTGGTTCAAGAGATTCTCCTGCCTCAGCCTCCCAAGTAGCTAGGTTTACAGGCACCCGCCACCATGCTCAGCTGTTTTTTTGTGTTTTCAGTCGAGACAGGGTTTCACTATGTTGGCCAGGCTGGTCTTGAACTCCTGACCTCGTGATCCGCCCACCCCGGCCTCCCAAAGTGCTGAGATTACAGGCTTGAGCCACTGCGCTTGGCCATTTTTTTTTTTTCCAGACAGAGTCTCGCTCTGTTGGCCAGGCTGGAGTACAGTGGCACCATCTCATCTCACTGCAACCTCTGTCTCCCAGGCTCAAGCAATTCTCCTGCCTCAGCCTCCCGAGTAGCTGGGATTACAGGCGGGTGCCACCACACCCGGCTAATTTTTGTATTCTTAGTAGAGATGAGGTTTCACCATGTTGGCCAGGCTGGTCTTGAACTCCTGATCTCAGGTGATCCGCCTGCCTCGGCCTCCCAAAGTGGTGGGATTACAGGCGTGAGCCACTGTGCCCACCCTTTTCCCGAACTCTCATCGGCTGCTTCTGTCTGGGCTGTGGTGTCCTTATCGGTAACAGGAGCAGTGGCAGTGGGCCCACGGGGTGGGGTTTGACACCTGTGATGACCTCAGTGGGAAAGGTAGCATCTAGTGCCTCTTCCTGCAGGAGTGGAAGCTGGAGTTGGGAGGCAGCCCTACCTCTGCACCCTGTTTCCAGGGAGGGGAGACAGCACGAATGCCCTGTGATAGGCTTTGTAGCTTGAAGGTCTGTCCCAGGGGCCGCACGGGCTCAGAGACCCCAGGCCCAGGGCCCTAGCTTTCAGGATTTCAGAGGGAGGCTAGAGTGTCTGGGAGGACTGAGCGGGGGCTCATCCTGCTCCACACACCAATCTCACCCCAAAGGCACACCCACTCCCTTCCAGAGTGGGTGAGACTGCACCCACCCACTGCCTGGGGTCGTGTGGTCTGCAGCAGCCAGCTGGGCATTGTATATACCCAAACACACACGGGCCAAGCCTGGAGCATATAGGCTCTCATATCCTGGGCACAGGGCTGGCTTGTTTCATTTTACTTATTTATTTTGGGGATCAAGGTCTCACTGTTGGCAGACTGGAGTGCAGTGGTGTGATCATGGCTAGGGCCCTGGGCCTGGGGTGAGAAAATGCCTATATTTCTCAGAGATTTTGGGAGGCTGACGCAGGTGGATCACCCGAAGTCAGGAGTTCAAAACCAGCCTGGCCAACATGGTGAAACCCCGTCTCCACTAAAAATACAAAAATTACCTGGGCGTGTTGGTGGGCGCCTGTAATCCCAGCTACTCAGGAGGCTGAGGCAGGAGAATCGCTTGAAACCGGAAGGCGGAGTTTGCAGTGAGCCCGAGATAGCACCACTGCACTCCCGCCTGGGCAACAGATCGAGACTCTGTCTCAAAAAAAAGAAAGAGGAAGATAAAGGAAAGGCTAGTGCTGGCCGGATCGCTGCAGGCGGGTCCTCAGGCTGGGTGGTGAGACTTTCACTTTCCATGCTGGCTCCATCAGTTCTGTGTGGGTTAAAAATAATCATAACCTGTAGTTATTCCTTTCGTTATAAAAATAAAAAGGTATTTTAGAATGTGTGGCCCGGCCAGCAGGGCCTGCAGGCCCCCTCCCGAAGCCCTCTGCGGCGCCCGGGTTGGTTGCTTGGGCAACGTCTGCCGCCCCCTAGGGGACAACGCAGCCTTCCCGCAAGGGCAGCCCGGGCCGCGCACAGCGTGGGCTCGGGCGCCGGTGGAGGAGGCCTGAAGGCAGCCTGGATCTCCTAGCAGTCACCCTGCCTGTCGGAGGGGCAGCCGGCTGGCTCCAGTGGACTCTCCCAGGCTCTGCCTCCTGCCGTCCGCAGAAGACCCCAGGTCCATCGCCTGCTGGAAAAATCAAGACCCCGAGAGGTCACGCCACCAGCCCAGGGTAGCACAGCCGGGAGAGGCAGAGCCCCGGGCCAGACCCTAGGCTGAGGGCTCCTCCCCTCGAACAGGCAGGAACGATGAGGCCTGGAAGGAGGCTGGACAGGGTACAAACAGCTTCATTCCTGTTCACTGTTCTTTTACTACTTTTTTTTTTTTCAATGAGACCCAGGCTGGAGTGCAGTGGCATGATCTCAGCTCACTGCAACCTCCGCCTCCTGGCTTCAAGCGATTCTCATGCCTCAGCCTCCTGAGTAGCTGAGATTACAGGCCCCCGCCACCACGCCCAGCTAATTTTTGTATTTTTAGTAGAGATGGGGTTTCACCATGTTGGCCAGCCTGGTCTCAAACTCCTGACCTTAGGTGATCCGCCCACCTCAGCCTCCCAAAGTGCTGTGGTTATAGGCGTGAGCCACCACCCTTGGCCCTTTTACTACTTTTTAAATTTTTTTAGATGGGGTCTCACTCGCCATGTTGCCCAGGCTGGAGTGCAGTGGCTATTCACAGGCATAATCCCACTACTGATTGGCACAGGAGTTTTGCCTTGCTCCATTTCCAGCCTGGGCGGGTTCACCCCTCCTTAAGCAACCTGGTGGTCTCCCACTCCTGGGAGGTCACTGTATGGATGCTGACTGTAGTGTATTGGACAATCAGCACAGTGCGCTACAGTCCAGAACTCCCGGGCTCAAGTCGTCCTCTCACCCCAGACTCCTGAATAGCTGGGACTACAGGCATGCGCCACCACACCCGGCTACTCCTTTTTATCACGGACTACGACAAAGGCCATATACTCATCATCTTTCTCCTTTTCTTCCTTTCTTTTTTTGCCAGACAATGTTAAAGTAAATTTCAGCCATCGTGCCATTTCACCAACCTGTACTTCTGTTTGTATCTCTAAGAAATATAGGCATTTTCTCACAGAACTTTGGTGCCATTATTGCACCTAACAAGAATAATAATGATTGTTTAAAGTCATCTAATGCCACTGGGTGCGGTGGCTCATTCCTGTAATTCCAGCACTTTGGGAGGCTGAGATGGGTGGGATCACTTGAGGTCAGGAGTTTGAGAGCAGCCTAGCCAACATGGTGAAACCCCATCTCTACCAAAAATACAACAAAATTAGCCGGGCATGGTGGCACGTGCCTGTAATCCCAGCTACTCAGGAGGCAACTCACTGCAACATCCACCTCCTTGGTTCAAGGAGAATTGCTTGAACCCAGGAGATGGAGGTTGCAGTGAGCCAAGATTGCACCACTGTACTCCAGCCTGAGCGACAGAGCGAGACTCCATCTAAAACAATAAAAATTAAAAATAAAAAAGCAAATAAAGTGATCTAATGCCATTGGCTATCTCCAGCTGAGGACACCCAGGAGGGCAGGGCCTCCAGGTGCACACCTTCAGGGAGGACAAGGTGCTCGGTGGAAAGGATGGATGGGGTGATGGGGGCTGGTGAGTGACATCCTTTTGAGGTCCCTTTGATCATTAGGGCCCAGCACAGTGTGGGTGCTGAGGGTGTGGACTGACTGACGGCCTGTCTCAGATTCTGCAACACTGTCTCACCCCTTTCTTGTGGGGCCCCTGCCATCCTTCCATCTGTCTTTCTGTCCATGCGTTCATCGCTCTACCCCTTCATCCATCCACTCGTCCCTCCATCTATCACCCACTCATCCATCCGTCTGTCCAGCCCTCCTCCCATCCATCCATTTGTCCACCTGCCCATCTCTCCCTCCTCCGTTTGTCTTCCATCCATCCATCTGTCTGCCCAGCCCTCCTCCATCCGTCCCTCCATCCCTCTGTCCATCCATCCATCCTTCCATCTGTTCACTGACTCATTTTCTCACATACTTATTTACGTGGTCTCCCCAGGGTGCCCACCTATTCTGGGTGCCATGGGTGTGGAGACAAACCCAGCACCACCCTGCCTGCCTGAAGCCCACAGCTGAGTGGGGAAATGTTTAGACCTGCACGAAGCAGCCTAAATGGTGGGGTGGCCTGTTTTCTATTTCTGCCTCAGAGAAGAGGGTCAAGTTAGGGCATGTTTGTTCAGGAGACAAAGGGCAGGTAAAACTTGGCTGCGATGACTGAGAACATGCTTGTCTCAAATGTCACCTTCTGGGGCCTCCCTAACACCTCCTGCAAGTCTCCCTCTCCCCGACACCTTATTTCTCTCCTGGCACTTGCCGCCATTGCGGGTACTCTGTATTTTGGCTATTCATCTGTTGGCTGGCTGTCCTCCTCCCTGAACATAATTATGGTCCACCAGGGCAAGGGCTTTTTTTTTTTGGGACACAGAGTCTCACTCTGTCTCCCAGGCTGGAGTGCAGTGGCCCAATCTCGGCTCACTGCAACCTCAGCCTCCCGGGTTCAAGCAATTCTCCTGCCTCAGCCTCCCAAGTAGCTGAGACTACAGGTGTCCACCACCACGCCTGGCTAATTTTTGTATTTTTAGTAGAGACGGGGTTTCACCATGTTGGCCAGGCTGGTCTTGAACTCCTGACCTTGTGATCTGCCCGTCTCAGCCTCCCAAAGTGCCAGGATTATGGGCGTGAGCCACCGTGCCCAGCCCAGGGCAAGGGCTTTTATCCGTTGTGTTTACTGATGTGTCCCCGTGCCTAAAACTCGACAGGCAGCCTTGGTTTCATGAGTAGAGGGCATGGGCGGGGCGGGCTGCGGTCCACGGGATGATGACGCGGCTGAGGCCGTGCAGATGGACAGTGGTGAAGGGAGCTGAACGTGAATTTAAGAGGTTGACACACAGGACTGGGGACTCTGGATGTGGGGTGGAGAGAGAGAGGTGTCCAGGGCAATTCCTGGGCTTCTGGCTCAGGTGCTATGGGTGGGTGGCACTTGCTGCATTGGATGCTCTACAGGAAACATGGATCTGAATGGTCCCTGTTCTTTCAGTTAGACACAGTGCTTCAAACTCCCTCAGCACCCAAGGTACTGGCTTCTTGAGTGCAGCATCAGCAATCAAACCCAAGTCTCAGCTGTATTTGCCCTGCCCAGAACAGGCCAGCCACCTCCTTCCTTCCAGACTCTATGCTTCTGTTAATGCAGCATTAGCATTTAGCTGGCCACTCTCACAGGGACACGCCCGGACTTTGCCCTGCGTGGTCGCAGATATGAGGCAGGTACTCTCTTCATTTCATGGATGCAGAAGCTGAGGCACAGAGTGGTCAAGGGGCTGGCCCACGGTCTCAGCTGTGAGTGGCAGAGCTGGGCTTTAAAGGCAGGCAGCCAGCTTCTAACCAGATGCTAAGCTTCATCCCCTTGAGGGCCAGGACTAGCATTGGGACTGGCCTTGGATGGGCCACTTCCCGCCCTTTGCCCTCTGCCGTGGCAGCTGGCACTGCTCATCCTGTGTCTCCCACTTGCCTATAAATAGCCGGGCTGGCAGGGGGGCTGTCCCTCCATCAGCTCTCAGCCTGCTCAAGGCCAGCCTGCAGGTCCAGCCATTAGAGGACAGGAAAACAGGTAGACAAAGAGCCTCCTGGCCTTGCCACCTGTCCCGAGGGCTGCCCAGATGGGCTGCCTGGGCCTCATGCATCAACACCTGCCCCTCCCCTATCCTGCTGGCATTCCAGTCTGTGGGGCACTCACTTAGATTCTGTTGCTCAGCAGCTGTGTGGCCGAGGTACCTGCACAGCCTCCCTGAGCCTTGGTGTCTCACGTGGAGATCTCACAAGGATGCAGTGCAGGTCACATGGGGCATGCACTGAGTCCCCTTGAGAGCCCTCTGGGGCCTCCCCAGGCGGGCCTGGATATCCCAGAGGGTGGGTTGTATGAGAGCATCTGGGGATCACATCCAGCCCTGCCGCCCTCGTGGCCTTGGACAAGCCCCCTTTCTGGGCCTCAATGGCCCCATCTGTGAAATGGGGAGCACTAACGCTGCGCTGTCTCCCTCCTGGGGCGGTGAGGAGGATCCTAGAGCCTGAGAGTGAGGGGAGCTTGGTGAACTGTAAGGTGGGGTGCACGGGCAAGGAGGTCCCTGTTTTTACAGTGCCCAGCAGACAGAAGTAGCGTCTTAGTGGAGAGGTTTCCCCTTCAGGAGGGCCCCAGCCGCTGGTTCAGAGGCTGAATCGGCAGCCTCTGTCCCTGGTTCATGTGGGCAGGGGGACTTGGTGGAGGCAGCCTTGGCCTTCGCCTCTGGGTCCAGGGAGACACATTCCCATGGAGCAGAGAGCAGGGAACCGGGGCAGCGGGAAGGGTGAGAGCAGATGGTGGGTGCTGTTCCTGGGTTCAGGCCTGTCCTTGCCACCCCCTCCCTCCCTGCCAACTGGAGCTCCTTGAGGACAGGGACTGGCTCTCATTTGCCTGGGTGTAGCATCAGCAAAGTAAGTGTTTTTTGAGTGAGTAAGAGAGGGAGCTTTGCAGGTTTCCCAGGCAGGGGTCCTGAGCAAATCCAGGGGAGTCGGGAAAGCCCAGGGGACACAGTGAAGGCCTGGGCTTGGACCTGGAGGGCGAGAGCTGTCACAGCCCCATCTCTGGACCTTCCCAGGAGGTGTTTGGATGTGATGGGGCAGTGCCCCTGCTCTCTGGTGCCTGTCACCTCCCGTGCTCTCTCCTGTGTTTTCCTGACACCTGGGTCCCGAGGGCACTGGGACAAGGGTCCCGGGGGCAGGGAGGGAGTCCAGCTGTGTGCCGCGTGGCCTCAGCAGGCTCTGCTTCCGGTCCCCTCCCCTGCCGCAGGTATTTAAGGTCTGAGAGGGGCCAGCTGGGAGCTGTTGAGGCCACCCTGGTGGCACCAAAGCCCTCTCAGGCAGGCAGACCCAGGGCCTCCCCGCCACACCTTGTTCATGGATTTTGTCGCTGGAGCCATCGGAGGTAACAGACAGGATGGTGGGCTGTGCAGACACTGCTGCTCCTGGGGGTAGCAGGAGGAACTGAGGTCCAGGAAGGTGCTGGGCAGCAGGGTGGGCTTTGAGGAGCCCCTCACCCCCCAGGATCTGCCAGGAGCAGAGAGCAGGTTCCTGGGAGGCTAAGGCTGGGTGAGGGGTGCTGCAGGGCCTGGGGGGCTGCACTGGCCTGGGAGGCTCAGACAGGAGGCTGAGGGCAGGCTGGGGATGGGGCTGTGGTCTAGGCATGGGGGCCGCTCGGGAGGCAGAGTCAGGGAGGCTGGGAGTCCTTGGTGTGGGGAGGGGTGATTGAGTCACTGGAAGGGAAAGAAGACCCCAGGAGAGGATCGAGAGGGTGGGGAGATGGGTAGGGAAGATGGGCCTGGTCCTGCAGCAGGGACTGGAAGGGGCGGGCAGAGGACGGTAAGGGGCCTGGCGAGGTGGCTCCACCTGCCCTGCTGGGTGTGTGCACCTGGCTAGGCCTCCAGAGCCTGCTTCTCAGGCCAGACTCTGCTGGAGAAACCGTTCTCCCTCCTGGGGAAGGGCTCCTGGTGAAAGACTGATTCAGGGAGATAACCAGGCCCTGGGACACGGGCTCAGCTCCATCCCGTGGGCTGTGGGGGCTGTTCTGAGTGGGCACTCCTGCCCTTGCTGGTCTTGTGAAACATCGGTGGGTGGCGTCAGTACTTCTGGAAACAGCATGGGGGTTGGGAGAGCGGCCCAGCTCTGGCCCTGGGAGAAGGCAGAGTACCTGCCCCATTAACAGGCTTTTTCTTTTTTTTTTCCCTTGAGATGGAGTCTTGTTCTGTCGCCTAGGCTGAAATGCACTGGCGTGATCTTGGCTCACTGCAACCTCTGCCTCCTGGGTTCAAGTGATTCTCCTGCCTCAGCCGCCCAAGTAGCTGGGATTACAGACATGCACCACAATGTCTGGCTAATTTTTGGGTTTTTAGTAGAGGCAGGGTTTTACCATGTTGGTCAGGCTGGTCTCAAACTCCTGACCTCAAGCGATCCGCACGCCTCAGCCTCCCAAAGTGCTGGGATTACAGGCGTGAGCCACTGCGCCCGGCCTCCATTAGCAGCCTTTCTCAGCCCCAGCTAGGTGCCAGCCTGGGGCCAGCCGCTCCCTTCCTCAGGGAAGCTACTGGACTTGCCTGACATCACACAGCTGGAAAGGGCTCCTGAGTCTGGCATCTTTCCTCCGGAGCCATGAGGAGGCCTAGGTAAAGGGCTCTCACTCTGTGCCTGGCCCTGGGTCATGGGGTGTCAGCCCTCGGCCGTGTCCTTGGAGAACTCCAGTTCTGGAGGTGGCGGTGGCATACAACAGCAAGGCCATATGACAAGGGCTCTGCTCAACATGTTCCAGGCACAGAGGCAGCCCAGAGTACAGAGGCCAGAGAGGGCTCCAGAGAGGAGGTAGTGTCGTGGCAGGGCTTTGATGGATGAGTAGGAGCCTGGTGAGGTGTGTGAGGTGTATGGGAGGGTTAAGAAGGGTCGTTCTCTCCAAGCCACTTGGTCTTTTGCCTTACATTTATTCACTTCATTCTTTCATCCCACATATTTACTGAGTCCTGGGCTACAGTGAATAGGGTACAGTCCCCATGTGCCTATTTTCTTCCATTGGCCTTTACCACCTCCCCTCAGGGGAGAGAATGGTCCTCCCAGGGACCACCCTGTTTCCCCTCTGACTTCCCTGTGGCAGTGCTGGGGCTTGGATGTTGAGGCCTGGCACCCGAGGCCTCTCTGCAAGGTGTGGACTCCCGGCCCTCTCTCTTCCACACACGCTTGTGGTTCCAGGCAGTCCTGGCTCTTCACGAACCCCGG
Source organism: Homo sapiens (assembly GCF_000001405.40). Taxonomy (NCBI): domain Eukaryota; kingdom Metazoa; phylum Chordata; class Mammalia; order Primates; family Hominidae; genus Homo; species Homo sapiens. The sequence goes on from NC_000014.9 coordinate 100,325,278, forward strand.
TGTGGGCTTCGGCTTCCCTCCTCCTGGCCTTTGCCCAGGCTGTGCCTCCCCCTCCTTCCACCCACGCAGCCAAAACACAGTTACCGCCTGGCTCACAGGCAAACCCTCCATGGGCTGACGGCTTGAGGGCAAGGTCTGCCTGGCTCAGAGACAGGGCCCAGCTAGGGTAGGATCAAACGTTCTCTCAGAGCATGACGCCCGTGGGGAGGCCGGGGCATGTCGGCATGTCTTTGGCCCAAGGCAGCGAGGACGAGGCAGTCCCGGGCCAGGACTCAGGGAAGGGGAACTTGCTTGCAAAGGGTAGAAGACACTCGGAGGCTCAATTTCCTCATCTCTAAAACGGGGGTGCCCTCAGGATTGATGAGACCTGGTGCAGACCAGAAGGGCCAAATGTGGGTCTGCCCTTGGGGGAGCCCAGTCAGCGTGCGCTCTGCTTCTGCTTCCCTGCAATGGGGTTGAACTGCTCGCCGGCCCCACTCTCCTCACCGTGGGCCTCTTCTTTCCTTGCAGGCGTCTGCGGTGTTGCTGTGGGCTACCCCCTGGACACGGTGAAGGTGCGGCAATAGCCAGCCCCCCAACCATCCTAAGGCCCCTGCACCTGTCCACGGCCAGGAGACTTTTCTAGAATGCTAAACAGACCCACCCCTTTCCTACCCAAATGCCTTCAATGGCTCCCCATAGCCCCTGGGACTATGTCAGTCCCACTTTCTCACCCCTGTGCCCCAGGTTTCTCGTCTAACACAAGGCTCCCTGTCCCTGCTGTGCCACCGTCCAGCATGGCTGGGACAATCAAGAGTGTGACTCTGCCCCTTCCCCAGGGCCTGCTGGCCTTGCCCTAGGCCTGGAGCCGCTCGTGCCTGAAGCCCACTTCTCCTGCAGGTCAGGATCCAGACGGAGCCAAAGTACACAGGCATCTGGCACTGCGTCCGGGATACGTATCACCGAGAGCGCGTAGGTCTGGGGCCAGGGGCTGGGTAGGGAGACAGGGAGGGGATGCTGGGCCTGCCTCCGCTGCCCAGCAGGTGATGCCAGGCTCCCCGCTGGGTCTCAGCTCTCTCACCTTCCACATGGGAATAGTTCTGCCAATCTCATGGGTTCCTCTGAGGTCTGGAGCCAGGACATCTGGCAGCTAGAGGGGCCTCAGAAGGAGGTTCCCACCTCCAGCAGAGGGTCTAGAGGTAGCGTTCAGGTCTTTGAAAGTCGGAGGAGGGACCCATGCACTGCATTTCTGTCTCCTCCAGGCCAGGCACCCCTTGAAGGCAGTGTTGGGTGGAGTCTTTAGGGTCTAGCTCAGAGACCTGTCCGGAGCAGTACTTGGCGACATTCTCCTACGTGGACTTGGGGCTTGGTGCAGGCCAGGGGCTAGTTTGTGAAAGCAGCAGTGGCAGAACATGCTGTTACTAGTTCATTGTCAGGCCAGGAGCGGTGGCTTACGCCTGTAATCCCAGCACTTTGGGAGGCCGAAGCAGGCAGATCACCTGTGGTCAGGAGTTCAAGACAAGCCTTGCCAACATGGTGAAACCCCGTCTCTACTAAAAATACAAAAATTAGCTGGAGGTGGTGGCAGGCACCTGTAATCGCAGTGGCTCAGGAGGCTGAGGCAGGAGAATCGCTTGAACCTGGGATGCGGAGGTTGCAGTGAGTTAAGATCGTGCCACTGCACTCCAGCCTGGGCAAAAAAAAAAAGTTCATCGTCATCAAGCAGCTGGGCTGGGTTGGGCCTGGTCCTCTGGCTCTTCAGGTCCCCCCTTGTGACCTCCATCTTACAGCAGAGGAAACTGAGGCCCTGAGGCCGTGAATGACCTTCCCGAGGTCCGACAGCGGAGTGCGGAGCAGGGCTGAGTGTGGGCTCCCTCGGGTGGCTCCTCCTCCTGGCGGGGCCCTAGCCTGACCTGGATCCTGTCTGCTAGGTGTGGGGCTTCTACCGGGGCCTCTCGCTGCCCGTGTGCACGGTGTCCCTGGTATCTTCCGTGTCTTTTGGCACCTACCGCCACTGCCTGGCGCACATCTGCCGGCTCCGGTACGGCAACCCTGACGCCAAGCCCACCAAGGCCGACATCACGCTCTCGGGATGCGCCTCCGGCCTCGTCCGCGTGAGTAGGGGCAGCCAGGGTGGGGAAGGCCCAAGAGAGACTGCGGGGTCTGAGAGGTTATCCATCCTGGCAGGTGGGGAAACTGAGGCTTGATGAGGGCAGACACTGGAGGCCATGCATGGAGTCAGGGGCTGTGGGAGAAGAACTCGCATCCCGCCTAGGCTGGGCCTGGAACCCCTCAGCAGCACACAGATGAGGGGGTCGCTGCTGTCCTGCCCAGCACGGCCCCCTCAGGAAGGGGGCTGTGACCAAAGGGACTCTCCCTGTCACGGTCAGAAGGTCACCTAGAAGCCACCATGGGGAGCTGAATAGGCAGGCCCCGGGCACTCATGGCTCCAGGCACGGAGATGCCTGAACACAGTCGGCCATTGCTGGATGTGGGCATTTCTCCATCCTCAACTGTGCATGGAGCACCTGCGGTGCCCGCCTGCCCTCAGGGAGCCCTTGCTCCCGCAGGGGAGACAGACTTTCGCACTTGGTGACAGCACGGAGCCAGCTGGAGCAGCCCAGCAGCTGAAGGCCTGGCCCAGGGGTCCAGACCACCAGGCCCAGCTCTCAGCTCTGACCCTCATGAGCTGAGCAACCTTGGGCAAGCAAGGGAGACTCTTGGAGCTTCTGTCTCTCCATCTGTAAGAGGCATGATGAGAATTTAGTGAAATCATGAGGGTAAAGCCCCCAGCACACATATGTGGAGTCCGACATGAATGAGTACCCACAAAGTGGCAGCCAGTATGTCTAGTGATTTTTTTTTTTTTTTTTGAGACAGAGTCTTGCTCGGTTACCCAGGCCAGTGTTTAGTGGCACCATCTCCGCTCACTACAACCTCTACGTCCCAGGTTCAAGCAATTCTCCTGCCTCAGCCTCCTGAGTAGCTGGGACTACAGGCACGCGCCACCAAGCCCGGCTAATTTTTGTATTTTTAGTAGAGATGGGGTTTCACCCATATTGGCCAGGCTGGTCTCAAACTCCTGATCTCGTGATCCGCCTGCCTTGACCTCCCAAAGTGCTGGGATTACAGGCGTGAGCCGCTGCGCCTGGCCATGGTATTATTTTATTGCTGATATGTTACTAAATACGTTCTTGAACCTGGGTCATGGAAATTATCTTACACGTCCCAGGAGAAGCCTGGCAGGCTGGCCTGGGAGAGATGTGGCTGCCGAGGAAGCATGGGCTTTGGCATTGGGTGGGCGGAGCTGGCTTTGGGCCCCGTGGCCCCCCAGCCCTGGGCCAGCCTGCAGGGTCTCGGGGCCCAACCTCCTGAGGTCACCGTGAGCAACATGAGGCTGGTGGGAGGCCAGGTCCAGGCTGTGGGCAGAGCCACAGGTGGCTGACCCCTGCTTCCTTCTCTGCTCCAGGTGTTCCTGACGTCGCCCACTGAGGTGGCCAAAGTCCGCTTGCAGACGCAGACACAGGCGCAGAAGCAGCAGCGGCGGCTTTCGGCCTCGGGGCCGTTGGCTGTGCCCCCCATGTGTCCTGTGCCCCCAGCCTGCCCAGAGCCCAAGTACCGCGGGCCACTGCACTGCCTGGCCACGGTAGCCCGTGAGGAGGGGCTGTGCGGCCTCTACAAGGGCAGCTCGGCCCTGGTCTTACGGGACGGCCACTCCTTTGCCACCTACTTCCTTTCCTACGCGGTCCTCTGCGAGTGGCTCAGCCCCGCTGGCCACAGCCGGCCAGGTGAGCAGGGGCTGGAACCTGGCAGGGCGGGGAGCCCAGAAGGATGAGGAGGTCAAGGTGAGGTCGTGCTGCCCGCCAGTACCCGAGTGGGGGCTTGAACTTGGCCTCCTGCCTCCCAGAGTGGGCTCCTCAGTTCTCCCAACACCAAGAGTCAGGACAGACTTGCTGTGTCACAGAGTCAGTGTGTGGTTGTGGACAAGTCCCATTCCCCTCTCCCAAGCCTGTTGCAAATGAGGACGGGCCGGAAGCGTGAGTCCAGGGTGCGCTGCCCTGGGCGCCCCGATCAGGCTCCCAGTCAAGGCACTGTGGTCTCTCTGCAGATGTCCCGGGCGTGCTGGTGGCCGGGGGCTGTGCAGGAGTCCTGGCCTGGGCTGTGGCCACCCCCATGGACGTGATCAAGTCGAGACTGCAGGCAGACGGGCAGGGCCAGAGGCGCTACCGGGGTCTCCTGCACTGTATGGTGACCAGCGTTCGAGAGGAGGGACCCCGGGTCCTTTTCAAGGGGCTGGTACTCAATTGCTGCCGCGCCTTCCCTGTCAACATGGTGGTCTTCGTCGCCTATGAGGCAGTGCTGAGGCTCGCCCGGGGTCTGCTCACATAGCCGGTCCCCACGCCCAGCGGCCCACCCACCAGCAGCTGCTGGAGGTCGTAGTGGCTGGAGGAGGCAAGGGGTAGTGTGGCTGGGTTCGGGACCCCACAGGGCCATTGCCCAGGAGAATGAGGAGCCTCCCTGCAGTGTTGTCGGCCGAGGCCTGAGCTCGCCCTGCCCAGCTACTGACCTCAGGTCGAGGGGCCCGCCAGCCATCAGCCAGGGTTGGCCTAGGGTGGCAGGAGCCAGGGAGGAGTGGGCCTCTTTGATGAGAGCGTTGAGTTGCATGGAGTCGGTTGTTCATCCCAGCCTCCCCATGGCCCTCGCCTCCCATGTCTTTGAAGCACCCCTCCAGGGAGTCAGGTGTGTGCTCAGCCACCCTCTGCCCCATTCCTAGACCCTCACCCCCACCACTGTTCCTGTGTCTTCACGAGCTGTCCCTTACAGGCAGGGGCTTCCCACAGGCTGGGGGCCTCGGGGCGGGGAGCATGAGCTGGGCTGGCACCACGACTGAGGGCTCCCGGCTCGGCTTCTTCCCCACAGCAGGCTGCTCAGAGGGGGTGCTGCCGGGACTGCCATGCCCACCTGAGAGGGGCCTGGGGTGGCCGTCCTCGGCCGGTTAGGGAATTTGGGGTGAGGTTCCTCAGGAGCCCTCACTCTGCCTGTGGACGCTGCACCTGCCACTTAAAGACCCCAAAGACTCTGTTGGGAACTGTTGTCAATAAAATGTTTCTGAGGATGTTCAGGGCTGTGGCTCCATGGCCGTGGGCTGACTGTTCCCTGCCCCCAGCAGCTTTGCACCCTGTGAGGCCTGCCCACCCGTCCTGGGAGGTGTGGGGCTGTGGCCCTGTCCTGCTCCCTTCCTGCTGGATGAGCCCTCGAAACCTGAGCTGCTGGTGCTCCCACTGTGCAGATGGCCACACTGAAACCCCGCCTGGCACTCTGGCGGGCTCCACTCTCTCGGCCTTCTGGGCTGTGGGGCCTAGCCTATGGTGCTGAGTCCTGCCGCAGGGGGCTGTTTAGCAGGGTACTTACTGTCCTCACCACCCTATCCCAAACCCACCCGCTTTCTGAGCGAAAGCTGGTTCCAGCCAGGCCCTCCCACCTGCCCTGAATGTGAGCTCCCCTTCCAGAGGGGGCTGCCCGTGGGAGGGCGCCAGGTGCCTTGCACAGCTCACCACAGCCACCTGACAGCTCCAAGAGGGAGGGGGCCTTGCCTGCCGTCACGCATCAGGGAGGGGTGGGTGGACTGCAGCCAGTGCTTCTGAGGCTCCAGCACCCCCCCTCCTGGCATCATGTGGCTTCCAATGATGGGGGCTATCAGGGGCTAGGGCTGGCAGGTCCAGCGTGAAGCCACCGGGTCTCCACCACAGCAGCCCTCTGGCAGGGCCAGAGGCCACCTGCATTGACTATATTCACTCATGGACACTGACCTTGACTGTGTCTGTGGACTGAACGCTGTCCTGTGTTCTGCCGAACAAAATTCTTCTGCTCCCAGAGTAAGGGGTGGAACCCCTCTTGTTACGCCAGTCCCCATATGTGTGGTGCTGTGGGCACCTGACCTTATGCCCTGTGCCCTCTGCCAGGAATACCCTCCTACTGCTCTGCCTGGCTGGCTCCACACCCCAGGCGCCACCTCCTCCAGGAAGCTCTCCTTGCCTGACCACTGGGCTGCTCCCAAGCATCTCTTGCTCTGCTCCCTTGGGGACCTGGTTGGGTGTGTGGTCACTCATCTGCCTCTCCCCGGCCACAAGAGCCTGCGGGCTGTGCAAGGACTCCATCTAGCTCCAGGGCTGCTGCATAGTAGGGGGTGTGGGATGAATGAGCGAGTGAATGAATGAATGAATGAATGAATAAGTCCTGCAGTAGATTCCAGGAAGTGTGTCCAGCTTAGGAGTTGCAGAGGCTGAGATGTTGTGGCCGAATGCCGGGAAAGGGCAGGCGCTGACAGGTTTCCATGGCTCATCAAACACTGACCCCGGGACCGTTTTTGTCGAGAAGACCCCACCTGTTCGGCCTTGGCAGGAGGGTTCCTGGCAGCACTCCTGGCCCGGCTCTGGCAGTGGCTGCACTCTGGGAGGTGGGGGCCTTTGGCTCTCCCTGAGCCCGTGTCACTGAGCAGCTGGCTCTGCGTGTCACTGGGGAGGGGGTTTGCAGGAAAGGCCTCTGTCCTCACTGTTTTTTTTTTTTTTTTGAGACGGAGTCTCGCTCTGTCGCCCAGGCTGGAGTGCAGTGGCGCGATCTCGGCTTGGCTCACTGCAAGCTCTGTCTCCTGTGTTCACGCCATTCTCCTGTCTCAGCCTCCCGAGTAGCTGGGACTACGGGTGCCCACCACCACGCCTGGCTAATTTCTTTTTGTATTTTTAGTAGAGATGGGGTTTTACCGTGTTAGCCAGGATGGTCTCGATCTCCTGACCTCGTGATCTGCCCGCCTCAGCCTGGGATTACAGGTGTAAGCCACCGCGTCTGGCTGTCCTCACTGTCTTTACAACCTCTATGGTAATGACCAGAGAGTCCTGGGCCTCAAGGCCCAGCCAGTGTGACCCTGGGGAGGGCACATCTGCTGGTGCTGCAGGCGGGCACTGGGGGCCAGAGGCAGGCCTGTTGCTTGCCAAGTGCCGTCCTGGAGCAACGAGCTGTTCCACAGCCACCCGTGTGCTCAGCCACCCTCCTTCCTGTCCCTGCTTCCCCACCCAGTGCTGTTTTGTGTGCTTCTCAGGCACCATCTCCTTTCAGGCAGGCTCAGCTGGTCTCTCCTCCAGGCTGGGGGCCACGGGACAGAGAGACTGAGCTGGGTTGGCCCCACATCTGTCTGACAAGTGGACATTACCAGCCAGAGCAGGAGTGCTCTTCCGGCAGAGCCTCTGGCACCACGGTGGTGCAGGCACCCGGCCTCATGCCTCATCCCCAAACACTCATGGGGCCACTGCAACCTGTCCATCCTAATCCAGACACGCCCATGTCTTTCAGGGAACATTTCTCTCAGAAACCACTGGTTTTTAGCAAAACTGGGGAGGCTTGGGAGACATGTGGCTCCCCTGTGTCCTGACCAGCAGTGGCCTTGGGCAAGTCACCTGAGTATTGGACCCAGGGCACCCCTCCTAAGACCCTAAACAGGAGGCATCACTGCTTTTTACAGGGGAGGAGATGGAGGTCCTGGGAGGTTAAGTGACCTGGCCAGAGTCACACAGCCGGTGAGGGGAGAAGCTGGTTGGTGTTGGCTCACTCCTCCCTGGGGCCAGGGTCTCACCAGGGCCCTGCCAATAGATGCTGTGGCTGGGTGGACAATGACAGCAGCAGCTGTCACTGACTCCATTTGTCACCCCTCATTGCACTTGCGTCACAGGTGCAGTAGAGCGACGAGGAGTCATATTAGTTGCCCAAGGCAACAGGCTAGTGAGCTATGTGGCCTCTGTGGGTGGCTCACCCCCACTGGCCATAGCCAGCCAGGTGAGCAGGGGAGGGCAGGGGTGGGGCCCAGGCCAGCAGGAGTCGAGACCGGGAGAGGAAGCCTACTTGAGGTCATGGTGCACCCGGGTACCTGAGTGGGACTCGAGCCCAGGCCTCCAGCCTCCAGGGTGGGAACCGTAGTTCCCTCATTTGTAAAATGGTCCCTCTGTATGTGTGTGGAAAGCACCAAGAGTCAGGACAGACTCGCTGTATCAGAGTCACCCTATGGCCTTGGACAAGTCATGTTCTCCTCTCCTAAGCCTCAGTTTCCCTACTTGCAAAATAAGGATGGGCCGGTAGAATGAGCCCAGGGCTCCCTTGCAGCTCGGCCTCTGCCCTGGGCCTCATGTGAATGGGGCCCGACCTGGCTCCCAGCCTGTGCTCCCCGTCACTACACAGCACCACTAAGCACCCCACGGCCAGCCCCTCCTCTGAAAAGCGAGGACAACCTCTGCTTGCATTCTCCATCAGCTGCTGGAAATGAGAAATGTGGTGTGAGAGGGAGCCCGCACCAGGATGCTGCTAAGGGCTCTCCCAGCACAAGCCCATTCCTGGGAGCTGTGGCACAACACCATGGGGTTCCTGGGACTGTGCGCTTTCATCCCCAAATTTTGACTCCAGCAGACTCAAGGTCATCCACAGAAGGGTGAGGGGAGGGGTCTCTGCTCCCTCCTCAGACCTCCCAGACAGAGCACAATGACAAGAGCAGGAGCCAAGGAAGTTTATTTACTCTACTGGGTGACAGGAGGGCAGAGTGCTCCAGAGGAGACCCAGATACATCAACCAAGGACTTCCCTGAGATTTGGCTTTGCTCTTCCAGGCCTGCACATGCTGCGTGATGAAATGAGGCCTGCCTAGACATCTGTGAGGGCCTCGAGGGCTGCTGCCTCGACTTTCTCCCTAGCTAAGTCCACCCGTCCAGGGACACAGCCAGGGCACTGCTCTGTGCTGACTTCCACTGCAGCCAAGGGTCAAAATGAAGCATCTGCGGAGGCCAGGACTCCTTGGCATCGGACACAGTCAGGGGAAAAGCCACCCTGACTCTGCAGGACAGAGGGTCTAGGGTCATTTGGCAGGAGAACACTGGTGTGCCAAGGGAAGCGAGCATGATTTCTGGAGTGGACTACATGCATGGTCTGGAGTTCAGTAAACTGGAAAGTTTCACCCCCAAGTCTTAATTTAATCAAAATTGCTGAACTCTGTTCAATCTTCATTGTTAAAAGCAGCTTTAAAGCTGGGTGATTTCTTAGTCAAATGTATAACGAAGCTTTTACTTATCAATTTCTTTTTGGGAGGGGGCATGGGCTGAAATACATCTTGTGCTCAATAAACCTCCCCACATCAATATTTCAAAGCACTTTCTAGGTTACAATAATGACATTTCAATTCCATATACGCATACATAGAATATATATTTTTAAACAGAGTGGGTCTTAAGAGTATACTTGGAACCCTCGGAGTCCTCCATGGACAAGAACAGGGTGGCCCATGGACTTCCAGCCAAAGGCTCCACTGTGGGGCTGCTTTGGGGAGAGACTCACAGCTGGACTTCTCTATCCGACCATGCAATGTTAGCCAGCACCAATTACCCACAATGCTTTGCCCATAAGAGATAGAAATAATGGAACTCACAGGAAGAAACAGTATTGATAACATACACAGGCTTACAGAGGCCAGGCCCAGTAATTACCATGAGACAGAAGCCTACAGGTGGCGGTGCTTTGACTGGGCTGGGATTATTGATACATTACTGATACATCACTTCTTTTATAAGCATATGTAAAACGAGTGCTACTGAAAGTCGAAGGACAGCTTCCGGGGAGTCATGAACTCTTTCACTATCTCATCCGTGACCTCCTTGCGCCGGGCCTGGTGCTCTGCGATCAAGGGCTGCAGAACCTCTATGAGTGCCTTCTTGAGCTCACCGGTGAGCATGGCTCCGCTGGTGTAATCCTGCCCGGAGGGAGACAGCCACGTGAGAGATGGCTCCACATGTCCTGAGTGGCTCCTTCCTGCCTCGGGCACCAGCTCAGCCCACACCACCCATGCAGAGCCTGGCACGTGGGTGGCACTCAGAAGTGAGATCTGTTGTTACCACAACAATAACCTATACCTTCAGCTACACTTTTCCTAAAACGGCTAGAAACCTGGCTCTGACGATAGCCATGACTTGGCCTCTCACAGTGAAAGGGCCAATGGGGAGGGCAGTCCCCACCCCTACCGATGCTAGGGGCCATTCCCCCAGGCACTAAACAACAACAATTCCTGGCAGCCTTATGGCTTCTGTAAAATCTTGCTAATTTTTTTTTTTTTGAGATGGAGTCTCACTCTGTTGCCAGGTTGGAGTGCAGTGGCATGATCTCAGCTCACTGCAACCTCCGCCTCCCAGGTTCAAGTGATTCTCCTGCCTCAGCCTCCTGAGTAGCTGGGATTACAGGTGCCTGCCACCACGCCTGGCTAATTTTTGTATTTTTAGTAGAGATGGGATTTCACCATATTGGCCAGGCTGGTCTCGATCTCCTGACCTCGTGATCCACTCCCCCCACCTGCCTCGGCCTCCCAAAGTGCTAGGATTACAGGCGTGAGCCACTGCGCCCAGCCAAATCTTGCTAATTTTTTCTTTTTCTGATTGTACTGCATGCTCATTAAGCAAATTTAATAAAGTACCCAAACCACAAAGCAGCAGCAAAGTAAAGAAAAATCACCTACAAATTGCCCACCTGAAAAATGCCCAGAGGTGGGTCTCCCGCTAACATTTGGTAGATTTTCTTCACATTTCTTTCCCTGTGCATTTCATTTAAACATAGTTAACTCCTCCCTGAGTTTTCATTTGGTATCCTTTTTTCACTATCATAGGCATATTTTCCTGTGTCACTAAAACTTTTTTTTTTTTAAAAGAAATGAGGGTCTTGGCTGGACGCGGTGGTCACAGCTGTAATCCAAGCACTTTGGGAGGCCAAGGCGGGTGGATCACGAGGTCGGGAGGTCGAGACCATCTTGAATAAGACGGTAAAACCCTGTCTCTACTAAAAATACAAAAAAATTAGCCGGGCATGGTGGCGGGTGCCTGTAGTCCCAGCTACTCGGGAGGCTGAGGCAGGAGAATGGTGTGAACCCGGGAGGCAGAGCTTGCAGTGAGCCGAGATTGCGCCACTGCACTCCAGCCTGGGTGACAGAGCAGGACTCTGTCTCAAAAAAAAAAAAAAAAGAAAGAAATGAGGGTCTTGCTATGTCGCCCAGGCTGGATTTGAACTCCTGGGCTCAAGGGATCCTCCTGTCTCAGCTTCCCAAGTAGCAGGGGCTACAGATGTGTGCCACCATGCCCTGCATATGAACACTTAAAATAGTTCATGCCCGCATAATAATCCACCCTGTAACAATTCTAATTTAACGTTTCCTCTGTTGTACTGAGTCTGTGTTGAACTTTTTGCTATTATCATTTTTAACATCTTTGTGTGGAAAGCTTTCTCTTACTCAGGATTATTTCCTTGGAAAAAATCTAAGAATGAGAAAACCTGAGGAGAAGCTCTGAACATTTTTGGGCTCTTTGTACCCAGTACCAAACTGCTTCCTGAGGCTGTGCTGATAAACACTCTGCTCACTTGAGTGTGCCTTGAAGCATCTGCTTCATAATCACTGAAAATAGTCAATGGCAACACAAAAGCCCCTACTAATTCTATACTCAACTGTCTTAGCTTTGATCACGTTAACTTACATTTCTCTGATGACTAATAAAGCAAGACTGTTTTGGGTGGCTCCTAAATGAATAGTGATTTGTATCTGCTCTTTCGAGATTTGTTCATGAGGCTTCTGAGCCCAGGCCTAAAAACCATGAGGGCGAGTCTACTCAGTTTTCACCTTGTTTCAGTTGAGCACCTCCGACCAAGCCTTCATGCCTGGCTGTTGGAGCCTTCCAGGCCCCATGGGCAGGAGTGGGTGGCAGAAGGCGGCTGTGGGCCCTTGGGGTTCCCTGCTCACCTTCCTGATCTGCTCGAGCTTGTCGTCGTCCTCGAGGAAGAAGGTCAGGTACATGAAAGACACGTCCACATCACAGTTGCCCCCAAACTGCCTGTGCTCCTCGATGGTGTCTCTCCCTCCAGAAAACGCATGCTTATTGACCTGCACCAGAAGAGGACACAGACACGCTCCTCAGTCCTGCTCATCCTGTGCCTGGACACTGGCTAGAAGCCCAAGTGTGGAAGTCAGAGGTGTGAGTGCTGTCAGATTCTGGACCCGGGAAAGGCCAAGGCGCACAGCCGGTTGGGGGCGCACAGCCAGTGGGGGACCCACTGCTGTTCTTCCTGTGAGGCTTGGGTGTGAGCTACTGTGGGGCTCACTGCAGGAGAGGTGGGGGCAGATGAGCTTTGAACCCCCCATCCTCGGAGACACAGGAGAATAGAGTTGGGAAAGCCAAGGCACTGATTGAACTGAAACCTGGGACAGACAAGTTCCTCAGGTAACAAGCGTCAGAAAAAGGATGGGTAAGGCCAGACATGGTAGCTTGTGCCAGTAATCTCAGCATTTTGGGAGGCTGAGGGGGGAGGATCGATTGAGGCCAGGAGGTCAAGACCAGTCTGGGTAACTTAGTGAGCCCTCCTCTCTGCCAAAAAAAAAAAAAAAAAGGAATTAGCTGGTGTGGTGACGTGCGCCTGTAGTCCTAGCGACTCGGGAGGCTGAGGTGGAAGGATCGCTCAGACTCAGGAGTTTGAGGTTATAGTGGACTGTGATTGCATCACTGCACGCCAGCCTCGGCGACAGAGCAAGACCTTGTTTCTAAAATAATAAAAACTAAAAAAATAAATAAATAAAAGAAAAAGGATGAGTAAGTCATCCTCAGAGTAAGGGAGATGGCAGGAAGGGCAGCCTCTCTTAGGGATAGGTACTGCAGTGTTAATGGGGACAGGAAAGCAGTGGCCAGCCCCACACAGAAAGCATAACAAGAAGGCACAGGGTAAGGCAGTAAGGGAAGGCAAACCCACGAGAAGTGCTGTGCAGGGAGAGGGGCCTGCAGGCAGGTCTTCACTTACAAACAGGCAACACTGTCAGAGCTGAAAAACTCAGAAACACAATGACTTTTAGGAATTGTTAAAGATAATCACGGGGTAATTAAGGCTAATAAAAGCCAGAACAAATAGGTGAAACTCCTTCAACATTCTTTCAGTGAGCATCTGAGAAAATGTCACCCTAATTTTTTTTTTTTAGATAGGATCTCCAGTCTGTTGCCCAGGCTGGAGTGCAGTGGTGTGATCATGGCTCACTGCAGCCTTGACCTCCTGGTCTCAGGTTACCTTCCTGCCTCAGCCTCCTGAGTAGCTAGGAGTATAGGTGTGTGCCACCAGCCTGGCTAATTTTTTGGTATTTTTTGTAGAGACCAGGTTTTGTCGTGTAGTCCAGTCTGGTCTTGAACTCCTGGGCTCAAGTGATCTGCCTGCCTTGGCCTCCCGAAGTGCTGGGATTACAGGTGTGAGTCACTGTGCTCAGCCCCTTAACTTTTTTTTTTGTCACCATGCCCGGCTAATTTTGTATTTTTAGTAGAGACAGGGTTTCACCATGTTGGCCAGGCTGGTCTTGAACTCCCAACCTCAGGTGATTCGCCTGCCTTGGCCTCCCAAAGTGCTGGAACTGCAGGCATGAGCCACTGTGCCCAGTCTTAACTTTTTTTTAATGGGAAAAAAGGTGGGCAGAGTCAATAAATTCTAAGTTGTTATGTTTAGTAAGTTTCCTTAAAAGAATTCCAGAGCAGCCGGGTGCAGTGGCTCACACCTGTAATCCCAGCACTTTGGGAGGCCGAGGCAGGCAGATCACCGGAGGTAAGGAGTTTGAGACCAGCCTGACCAACATGAAGAAACCCCGTCTCTACTGAAACTACAAAATTAGCTGGGCGTGGTGTCATGTGCCTGTAATCCCAGCTATTTGGGAGGTTGAGGCAGGAGAATCGCTTGAACCCGGGAGGCGGAGGTTGTGGTGAGCCGAGATTGTGCCATTGCACTCCAGCCTGGGCAACAAGAGTGAAACTCCATCACACACACACACACACACATACACACACACACACACACACACAGAATTCTAGAGCAGAGTCCTAACTAGATAAGTTGGGATTGTGCAAAAGGAGCAGATGAGTGTTGGGGCAAAGGCGCCTGTCTCCATTTTGGCAGGGCATTGCTGAGAGGCTGGGCAGGGAAAGCAGCAGTCACGCGAGAGGCTCAGGCAAGGCCCATGCGAGGGGCTGGCGCAGTGGCTCACGCCTGTAATCCCAGCACTTTGGGAGGCCAAGGCGGGCAGATTACGAGGTCAGGAGATCAAGACCATCCTGGCTAACACGGTGAAACCCCGTCTCTACCAAAATACAAAAAATTAGCTGGGTGTGGTGGTGGGCGCCTGTAGGCCCAGCTACTCGGGAGCCTTGAGGCAGGAGAATGGCGTGAACCTGGGAGGCAGAGCTTGCAGTGAGCCGAGATTGTGCCACTGCACTCCAGCCTGGGCGACAGAGTGAGACTCCGTCTCAAAAAAAAAAAAAAAAAAAGGAAAAAAAAAGTTATAGAATGAAAAACTATGGAAAATACCAATAAACAGGAGGAAGAAAAAAACCACCTAGTAGTGGTGTCTCCTAGCATCTAAGTGCCTGATAGAGTCACTGCTATGTGGTGGCCATAGCCCTCCCTGCTGGGCCTTGGGGAAGAAGCTTCAGTGTCAGGAAGAAAGTCTGAGAACACAGGTCCTGGCTTCCAGGGGCAGTTTGAAGAGGATATTGAAAGGCCAGTTCCCAGAACTTTATCTGAGAGGAGAACAAGGAAACTGGTGTCTGCTGCATGTTTTTCAAGATGTGCTGGCGTCACCACCACCTGCACACTCCCCCTCCCCAGGCTTTTCCCACGGTAGGCACACAGCAGATGTGCCATCCGTGGAGGCTGTTAGGGTTATGACATGCATTTTATCCCCAACAACCCAATGACCTCTGTAGTGATGTCTCTATCTTACAGGTGAAGGAAATCAGGCCCAGAGTGTCAGGAACCTGCCATATGTGACAGGGATTGGCAGGACCAGGCTGGCTCCTGGGACACCAGGCTTCTGGGTGGAGCTCGAGAACTGAGGGGCTCAGTTCTGCCTCCTTGACGTGATCAGTCCTCAGTGATGCAGGAACCAGCCTACCAGGCCTGACTTACAGGAAAACAGATGGAGGGCTGACTTGGGGGTGGGTATGGAGCACTGCTGCCAGCAACTAAGATGATGGAAGTGGGTGACCAGTGTGACTCTGTGTGACAGGAAATGATGCCGAATGGACACAGCCAGCTAGGGTGGTAGTTGGAATAAAGTTAGATAACACAGGCTTACTGTGTGCAGGTGGCAGGTACTCACTCAGCAAAGCCACCTGAGTCGTCAGCACTGTGCTACTATTTTGATTTTTTTAATTTGAGAGATGGGGCCTCACTGTGCCACCCCAGCTGGGGTGCAGTGGCTATTCACAGGCACAATAGTAGCTCACTGCAGCCTTGAATCCCTGGGCTCAAGCCATCCTCCTGAGTAGCTGGGACTACAGGCACGTGCCACTGCCCTGCCTGAACCTGTTATTTTTAGGAGGCTGGAGCAGATGTGCCCTCTCTTTTCTAGTGTGGAGATTCTGATTTTGGAGCTGAAGTCGGGCACGGGGATTTAGAGTGAGGGCCTGGGCGGGCCCTGTTCTGCCCCACAAGAAGCCTGCAGGCCCAGTGACCGTCTGTAGGCCTCTGTTTTTCCTGACCTCATGCTAACTGCTCACCTCGAGGGCTCTACTGGTCCCTAAGTGAATGATAAATGTCCCAGATCCATAAACAAGTTTTTCTTTTTTCTTTTCTTTTTTTTTTTTTTTGAGCTGGAGTCTCACTCTGTTGCCCAGGCTGGAGAACAGTGGTGCGATCTCGGCTCACTGCAACCCCTGTCTTCCAGGGTCAAACAATTCTCCTGCCTCAGCCTCCCGAGTAGCTGGGATTATAGGTGCCTGCCACCAAGCCTGGTTAATTTTTGTATTTTTAGTAGAGACAGGAGTTTCACCATGTTGGCCACGCTGGTCTCGAACTCCTGACCTCAGGTGATCCACCTGCCTCGGCCTCTCAAAGTGCTGGAATTATAGGTGTGAGCTATCGCACCTGGCCATAAACAACTTTTTCCAAACAACTTCTCAGAAGCAAAATAAAACAGTGGACTTTTCCAATGGCGCTTCCCTCCCCACTCTGCACCCTGTGCTCCGGAAGTTTTGGCCAGAAGTGAAAGGGAAAGAAAAGTCTTCAATTATACCAGCTTCCAACTGAGTGGGGAGAGTTGGTGGAGGGCATGTCTTAGGAAGTTTTGATATGAAAGGCTTCCCCATTGTCAACCAGAACCTGCTTGGGACTTTCCAGAACGGTCAGGGGCAGTGACTCAGAGGGCATGTGACATGCCTCAAATACAGTTCCCAGCATTCCCACTGCAATCTTCTAGCCTGCAAACACACACTTGATTCCAAAGAAAATGTCAACTGCTTTGTGTAACAGTGAGGCAATTATATATACACTGGCTGTTGAGGAACCAGGCAACAGAACTGGGGCCATGCAAAATAAGGAAGCTCAAACTAACTTCTCCTTTTAGTTTCTCTAGTGATTTGTCAAATGTTTGCTGAATGCCTGCTGCATGCATCCCTCCTGGGGCCAGCAGGACTGTCCCGTGGATGGACGTTTCTCCGTTCTATGTCTCTCAGTGAGAACGCTCTCTGGGAGAAGACCAGCTCATAACCCCTGCTTGGTAATGGCTGCTCAGGGCCAGGAGAGCAGTGCTGCTGATTCCTGGTGGTGGAAACTTGGTCAAGTGGCTGGGCTTCTCTAAGCCTCATCATCTCATCTTTAAAGGGAATAGCACCACCACCTCCCAGTGAGAATGAAACATGAGAAAACATAAATAAGGCACCGGGTCCAGCCGCTGGAACACAGCTGATGATGAGAAATATACACAAATCTTTTCCATTATTTAATAACATCCACACTAATTATAACTTTAAGGAAATTGCCATGACTTTGCCTGCAGAACAGTGCTGATAAGAAAAGCAGAAAAGGAAAAAAAGAAAAAAAATTCAAAATTTTACCTAAATGAAAGGACACAAAACAAATTCACCTGATTCATGTGGGAAGGACAGGCTGCCTTGAGTTCTGCAGGGAGCAAAGTTGGCAATCCTGGAGTTCAGCATTGCTACGGTGGCTGGGTGGCTGAGGCCCAAAGCACTGCGCAGTGGTGTGTGTGTGCGTGTGCCCCCCAGGGCATGTTTCTGATCCCGCTGGCTGCCCTCTGCCTGGGCCACTGCTCACCTTGGTTTTGATCTGCTTGGCCGTGTCGGTGAGGAAGATGGAGGAGTTGGGGTCGCTGGCACTCATTTTGGTCTGGGCGCCCTGCAGGGCTGGGAAGAAGGTGGAGTGCAGCAGGGCTGGTTTAGGATAGCCGATCCTGGGGGCGACGTCCCTTGTCATTCTAAAGTAAGGATCCTGTGGGGAGAGTAAGGACCCTGATGAGGGCGGCCAGAAAACATGCCAGCTTTCAGCCATGAGCAGTCCCTGTGAGCATCTTCCCAGAAGGCTCTCATGCTTCCAACCAAAGAAATTCACTCCCTCCTCCCCTTCATCTTTTCCTTTTTTTTTTTTAAATTTTACTTCCAGTTCTGGGATACATGTACAGAACACGCAGGTTTGTTACATAGGTATACATGTGCCATGGTGGTTTGCTGCACCCATCAACCCGTCATCTAGGTTTTAAGCCCCGCATGCATTAGGTATTTGTCCTAATGCTCTCCCTCCCCTTGCCCCACTCCCCAACTTTCTTTCCTTTTTTTTGAGACAGAGCCTTGCTCTGTCGCCCAGGCTAGAGTGCAGTGATGCGCTCTCGCTGCAACCTCTGCCTCTGGGGTTCAAGCGAGGCGAGTAGCTGGGATTACAGGCGCCTGCCACCACATGTGGCTAAATTTTGTATTTTTAGTAGAGACGGGGTTTCGCCATGTTGGCCAGGCTGGTCTTGAACTCCTGGCCTCAAGTGATCCGCCTGCCTTGGCCTCCCAGAGTGCTGGTATTACAGGCGTGAGCCACCCTGCCTGGCTGCCCATCATATCTTTCAATACCTCTCCCCGCTGAAGAGTAAGAGGAACCTGCTGTCAATGCCCCAGACTTAGAGAGCCTTGCTTTTCTGCCTGCTGACCTGGTCAATGGCACATGGGATAAGGCACTGGATATCCGTCCTGTCTCGGAAGATCTGTGGGAATGAGTTGCTGAAGGAGGGAGCAGCCTGGATGGCAGGAAAACTGATCTTCCCTGAAAATGAGAAAAAGTATTTTTACACGTGAGATGAGTTCCTGTTCTGCTTAGTTAATAAAGGAATGAACAAAAACAGGTTTTCTCCCATTATAAAACAATCATTAAAATAAATCTAAAAAATACAGAAAAGTAGAAAGAACAAGCTGTACAGTTGCAATGTGTCTGATTTCATCCATTTTCTTTATATATTTTACTCTATGCATTTTTGTTGTGATTACACTATATTTGGTCTTTCCTTGGCTTTTTCTTTTCCTTTTTTTTTTCTCAGAAGGAGTCTCGCTTTGTTGCCAGGCTGGAGTGTGGTGGCTCGATCTCAGCTCACCGCTACCTCTGCCTCCTGGGGTTCAAGTGATTCTCCTGCCTCAGGCTCCCGAGTAGCTGGGACTACAGGTGCGTACCACACCCAGCTGATTTTTGTATTTTTAGTAGAGATGAGGTTTCATCATGTTGGCCAGCATGGTCTCAATCTCTTGACCTCGTGATCTGCCCACCTCGGCCTCCCAAAGTGCTGGGATTACAGGCGTGAGCCACGGCGCCCGGCCTTCCTTGCCTTTTTCATTGTAATGACTATCCATGTTGTTACTAAGTATATTCTATCCTGTCAATGTATCATATCATTTAACCATTCTCTAGCCACCTTCCACCTTTAATTATCAGAAGTTATGATGGCTTCCCTCTTCCCTCTTCCCTCTCCCCACGGTCTCCCTCTCCCTCTCTTTCCACGGTCTCCCTCTGATGCGGAGCCAAAGCTGGACTGTACTGCTGCCATCTCGGCTCACTGCAACCTCCCTGCCTCATTCTCCTGCCTCAGCCTGCCGAGTGCCTGCAATTGCAGGCGCGCGCCGCCACGCCTGACTGGTTTTCGGATTTTTTTGGTGGAGACGGGGTTTCGCTGTGTTGGCCGGGCTGGTCTCCAGCTCCTAACCGCGAGTGATCAGCCAGCCTCGGCCTCCTGAGGTGCCGGGATTGCAGACGGAGTCTGGTTCACTTAGTGCTCAATGGTGCCCAGGCTGGAGTGCAGTGGTGTGATCTCGGCTCGCTACAACCTCCACCTCCCAGCCGCCTGCCTTGGCCTCCCAAAGTGCCGAGATTGCAGCCTCTGCATGGCCGCCACCCCGTCTGGGAAGTGAGGAGCGTCTCTGCCTGGCCGCCCATCGTCTGGGACGTAAGGAGCCCCTCTGCCTGGCTGCCCAGTCTGGAAAGTGAGGAGCGTCTCTGCCCGGCCGCCATCCCATCTAGGAAGTGAGGAGCGCCTCTTCCCGGCCGCCATCCCATCTAGGAAGTGAGGAGTGTCTCTGCCCGGCCGCCCATCGTCTGAGATGTGGGGAGCGCCTCTGCCCCGCCGCCCCGTCTGGGATGTGAGGAGCGCCTCTACCCGGCCGCGACCCCATCCGGGAGGTGAGGAGCGTCTCTGCCCGGCCGCCCTGTCTGAGAAGTGAGGAGACCCTCCGCCCGGCAACCGCCCGCCTGAGAAGTGAGGAGCCCCTCCACCCGGCAGCCACCCCGTCTGGGAAGTGAGGAGCGTCTCCGCCCAGCAGCCACCCCGTCCTGGAGGGAGGTGGGGGGTCAGCCCCCCGCCCGGCCAGCCGCCCCGTCCGGGAGGGAAGTGGGGGGGTCAGCCCCCCGCCCGGCCAGCCGCCCCGTCCGGGAGGGAGGTGGCGGGGTCAGCCCCCCGCCCGGCCAGCCGCCCCGTCCGGGAGGTGAGGGGCGCCTCTGCCCGGCCGCCCCTACTGGGAAGTGAGGAGCCCCTCTGCCCGGCCACCACCCCGTCTGGGAGGTGTACCCAACAGCTCATTGAGAACGGGCCATGATGACAATGGCAGTTTTGTGGAATAGAAAGGCGGGAAAGGTGGGGAAAAGATTGAGAAATCGGATGGTTGCCGTGTCTGTGTAGAAAGAGGTAGACATGGGAGACTTTTCATTTTGCTCTGTACTAAGAAAAATTCTTATCCTGTTGATCTGTGACCTTACCCCCAACCCTGTGCTCTCTGAAACATGTGCTGAGTCTACTCAGGGTTAAATGGATTAAGGGCGGTGCAAGATGTGCTTTGTTAAACAGATGCTTGAAGGCAGCATGCTCGTTAAGAGTCATCACCACTCCCTAATCTCAAGTACCCAGGGACACAAACACTGCGGAAGGCCGCAGGGTCCTCTGCCTAGGAAAACCAGAGACCTTTGTTCACTTGTTTATCTGCTGACCTTCCCTCCACTATTGTCCTGTGACCCTGCCAAATCCCCCTCTGCGAGAAACACCCAAGAATGATCAATAAAAATAAATAAATAAATTAAAAAAAAAAAGAAGTTATGATGAATGTATTTTGATATTTAAAAGTGTTTAGTGTTTTGGATGTTGTTGCTGTTATTACTGTCATTAGTATTTGCTTAGACCTGCAGAAGCAGAACTTTTGACCTCTCTATGGCCCGACAGGTGGTGCCACGCCAGCCCCCACCAAGTGGCGGTACCCAGACCCTTGGGTGAGCGCAGAGGTTTCCGGGCCCTGGGCACGCGGCTGGCCCAGCGTGACCCTGACGCTGTGGAGCACACGCCGCTGTGGCTCTGGCTCCAAGCAGGGTGAACGCTCCTCACGGAGAGCCCCGGCAGCGCATCCCAGGGAGCTGGCTCGGCTGGCAGCTGACTGAAGGCCTCAAGGGCCTGCTATGCCTGAAGCCACGCACCAAACATCAAGTAGAGGAGGGGATCAGAAGGCCCAGCCACAAGTCTCAAGGACCAAAAGTCTAAAAGTCTACGAAGCCAATGCATCTGAAAGACACATGGAAATTTATGGAGAGGGCCATGAAGGCATGCACGTGGGAGGCAAACCATTTGCACATCTGCTGGGGTGGAGCCATGGAAGGAGAGCAGGGCAGGGGTGGGAAGGCTCCAGAAGACCTCGTGTCAAGCCCCTCATCTTACATGTGGGGACACTGAGGCCCAGGGAGACAAAGACTCAAAGGCCCTCTCATGGGCAGCAGACCCAGCTGTCCTTCTTCATCACCCCTGGGTTCCATCCAAGGCCACCCTACACTGACTGGGGTCCCACCAGAGCTGTTGGAACTCCAAAGTCATCCTTAGATTTTTCTTTCTTCTAAACCTTAAGACGGGTGACAAGAGAGGGACAGACTCACATCCTGAAGTGCAGCTTCACCCAACCCAGAGAAGCTGCTCAATGCATTACACTAGCTAGTCAGATTCCAGGACAACGATGACCCACCCACGCCTGGGCATCCTACTTAAAGAGACAGTTGCAAACGCTAACATCTCAGAGATATTTAAACCAGGCATGTGTCTCCTCCAGAACTCTGCTCCTTTTTGAAGGGTGCAGGGAGTGGTCCACAGCAGCAGTGGGCCTCTTACCAATGCAGTCGCTGTCAGTGAAGCCGAAAATGCCTTTCACTTGGTTGAAGGTAACATGCTTTTGAATCTTCACCACATTTTTGTAGAAACCTGAGCTCATCCTGCAAAGACAACGAGAATGAAATCCCAAACGGAGGGCGGCCTTCACTGAAGGCAAAGTCACAGTTATTAAAATTGGATGCCAATGAGTAGTGGCATGGGCCAGACTCGGGGCCACATTGTGGTCAACACGTAAGCACTGGGAAGGTGCCAGGAAGTCATCTGTAGGCAAAGATACCTGCATCAGGCAAAGCAGACACACGTTTACCTGTGGAGTTGACTGGGAAAGGCAGAAACCAGTGTGAAACCGACGTGAAGCAGACATACAAACAAGGCAAGAACACAAGCAGATTCAGAGACTTGCAGCTAGCATGAAAAATTTAAATTCTGCCAGGGTCAGCAGTTCAGTGGGCTGTGGAGCTCAAGTCTGGGAGCCCCCAGGAGCTTCTTAGCTGAGACATACTGTGTTGTGGGAGACCATCTGCTTGTTGTCGGATGAGCGTATGGATAGAAACCCACGGCCCGAGAAGGAGGAAGGCCTGTTTCAGTGCAGCTGGTCCTCCTAGTCTCTGGCCACTGCTCCCCCCTGCTGTTTGGGCAGAACTAACCCTATCCACAGCAACAGGGCTAGGCCACAGTGGCTGATTCAAGCAACCCAACTCTCTCTTCTGGATGGTGAGGGGTGTGGGTACCAGGCCTGAATGTGTGGCATCCATTCCACTACCAGAAGGAACTAGGCTGAAGAAGAAGCAAACACAGTGGGGTGTAGGGGTTTGGCAGAACCCAGAGTGGCTTCTTTTTTTTTGTTTTGAGACAGAGTCTCACTCTGTAGCCCAGGCTGGAGTGCAGTGGCATGATCTTGGCTCACTGCAACCTCCATCTCTTGGGTTCAAGCAATTCTCCTGCCTCAGCCTCCTGAGTAGCTGGGATTACAGCTGCTCGCCACCATGCCTGGCTAATTTTTGTATTTTTAGTAGAGATGGGGTTTCACCATGTTGTCCAGGCTGGTCTCAAACTCCTGACCTCAGGTGATCCACCTGCCTTGGCCTCCCAAAGTGCTGGGATTACAGGTGTGAGCCACCGCGCCCAGCCAAGTGGCTTCTTATATTGCATCTTTGTATTACTATATTCAGTAGCTTTTTCTCTAGGCCCTACCATGTGTTAGACACTACGAGGGAAAAGGGGGAAGGCTGGTGTCTTTTAAGTGTTTGCACCATGTGGCAGGAGCTGTGCTAGATGCTGCGTATGTGTCAATACTCCTAAAATCCCCTTCAAAGTAGTAGCATTGCCTCCACCTTACAGTTAGACTAGGCTCAAAGAAGTTCAGGGTCATAGTCACAGGCCCAGTGAGTACAGGGGCTGGGATCCCAACACAGATTCACCTGGCCCCAAAGCCTATGCTTTTCTCACCACATCTTATCCTTTAGAAGAGTTTAGACTTTTGGGGCAGGGTGGAGAACTACTGAATGTCTTTGTGCAGGTGGGGTGGGGTGTCAGGAGTGCAGGAACACTGGCCGTTTGTGCTGGGCGAAGCACAATGCTGGGAGGCCTGTAACGGTCAAGGTCAGTGCCAAGGCCTGTCCAGGTTGAGCAGAGGCAGCACGTGAGGGATGGACTGTGTCTTTCGCCTAGCAGCCGGCTGAGTTTCAGGCCCTGGGGGGCACTGGAGAGGGCGGGCGCAGTACTGTGAAGGGGCATGCCAGGAGAACCCAGCATCTGTGTCACCCACTCAGCACAATGGAAACAACAGAGAGCAAGAGCACAGCCAACAGCAGCACTGCCTGGAAAGATGCGGCCTTTGTCCTCCTGCCAAGCAAGCCAAGAACACCGCAGGCAGGGAGGGTCCCTCCTGGGCACCGCAGCAGGACTCACAGCCAGTAAGGACAGCAGCTGTCTGTCACCTGGGGAGATGGGCTGCAGCAAAGACTCCATGCGCCCTTGGGATTGAGGCACCTGGGACACCCTAACCCCTACAAGGAGGGAAAGTCTCCAGTACCCCCAAACTGTGGCAGGACTGTAGCTTCACGGCGTCTGACTGGTATTTCTGAGTTAGAGCACGCTGCCCTTTCTTAGAAGACTGGTCATTACTTGCTGCAAGCTGCTGCCACTGTGCTGGCTGCAGGGTGAATGCAGGTGCTGCACCGTGAGCACGTGTGATCCTCCCCTCAAGGGACGGCTGTCCCCCTGCACAGCTGGGACGGACCCATCACGCAAAGCAGCCATGCCAGTGCCGGCACATGGAGGCTTCTCACTGGCTGCAGTGAACACACCTAACTGTATATCACATGTGGCTGAACCACCAGTTACCCCAGGGAGGGCACCTGCTTTTCACTCTCAGACAGGGTTTAAAGTGGGAAGAGATTTTAGATTACAACA
The DNA here is from genome assembly GCF_000001405.40 of Homo sapiens. Lineage (NCBI taxonomy): Eukaryota > Metazoa > Chordata > Mammalia > Primates > Hominidae > Homo > Homo sapiens. The sequence continues at coordinate 100,349,161 of NC_000014.9, forward strand.
TTTACTGAGCACTCCCCAGGTGCCAGGCGTGGCTTGAAGCACTTTATATGCAGTGCAGGCACTATCATCTCCTGACCACAGTCTTCTCTACCCCTGCCCTTTGTCCCTATTATCACCATAGAACTTATTATCACCTGATTGATCACCTGTTAGCTGATTCTCCCCATTAGAAGAGAGGCTTTACACAGCTGCTGAGATAATGGTTTTGCTCCCTGCTGTACCCCCACCATGAGTCTGGCATATAGCAGATGTCCAATAAATATTTGTAGAACAAAGGAGCAGAGTGAAGAAAGCAGGCAGAGAGGAGCTCCTCCCATGCCCGGGCCACACAGTGGAAGGCTCCTCCCATGCCCAGGCCACACAGCGGACGGCCGTCAAGCAGAGCACTTGCAACCTCTGCTATGCTGCCCCCCACTAGCACCCAGCTCCCTTCCTCACAGGAACATGGAAGCTCAGAGATTTAAGGACTTGCCCAAGGGAACAAGACCAGGCAGGGGCAGAGCTGGGTCTGGAACACAAGTTTTCAGACTCCCAGCTCAGTGCCTTTGCATCCCTCAGGGCCCTGGGCAGGAAGGCCGTTCTGGGGCCATGTGCAATGTGCAGGGGGAACTGCACTGGCCTCCTCCCTCATGGAGGCCTCACCACCTCCCTCCCACTCAAAGAGGGCGATGGCTGGCTTTGTTGAATTTCCAGCTCCTAAACACCAGGAAGGAGCTTTATTAAGCCAAAGATATAGATTTTGAGTTAAATTCAAGAAAGAAAAGTAAAATGCTCAAATGTTTAGAAGAAACTCTTAAAGTAAAATGTTTGAATAGAGGATTTACCCTTTAAAATGTCTCTCCTCACTTTAGGTTCAATATAAAATGCCTTTCAAGAAAAGATATCATCGACCCTTTTGGTTGACATACTGTCTGGGTTTCATCTTTACCCCATGTTTGTAAGAAAAAAGGAAGTTCCCGACCAGGTGCAGTGGCTCACGCATCCCAGCACTTTGGGTGGTCGAGGCGGGTGGATCACTTGAGGTCGTTCGAGACCAGCCTGGCCAACATGGTGAAACTCCGTTTCTACTAAAAATACAAAAATTAGCTGGGTGTGGTGGCGGGCGCCTGTAATCCCAGCTACTCAGGAGGCTGAGGCATGAGAATTGCTTGAACCCAGGAGGCAGATATTGCAGTAAGCCGAGATCATGCCACTGCTCTCCAGTTTGGGCGACAGAGCAAGACTCCATCTCAAAAAAAGAAAAAAAAAAAAAAAAAGGAAGTTCTTATTTAGCGAAGGTGGAGGCTGGTCAGGAGCTGCAACCGCAGTTGCCAAAGAGACAGCACGAGGAATGGCGGCCTCACTCCACGTTCAGAGAGCGCTGAAAGTGGGGTTGCTCAGGTGGTGGTCTTTTCACATGGACTGTTCAAAAGTTCATCTACCCCATCGTGCATCTATTGGCTGAATCAGCTTCATGGACTATTATAGGCACTTGCTCTTGTCTCACCACCAGCATTTATATCCATCAACGAAGCGGCTCAGCTTTGCTTCTGCTGTGTCTGTGGGGCCCAGGAGGGGATGGGCCACAGAGAGCACAAATTCAGGAACTATGTGTCTTACTCAGCTAGTGGGGAGAGGGCCACACTGTACCAGATGTGGCAGAGGTAAGGCCCAGCCTGATGGAGGACCAGAGAGGGGCATCTAAATTTGGCTGTGGGGAGGGAAAGCTCCTAGGAAAAGGTGATGCTTGATCATGCCTTTGGAAGAAAGTGTAGGAATTAGCTAAGCTGGGGGTGGCAGGGTCAGGAGAGTGGGTGGGAATTCTGGGCAGCACAGAGCATGTACAAAGGAGAAGGATGTGGAACTGCAAGCTGTTCCACTGAGCTGGAGGTAGCAGTGACGCTGGAGAGGAACACAGGGCCAATCACGAAAGGGCTCGTGTGCCAAGTGAAAGGTGAGAATTCTCAATGTCATCTAAGGAGGAGAGCTGGGAAAGACCCGCAAGTGGAAGATGAGATTAGCTCTGAGTTTTAGGGAGATCACTGGCTGGTGGGGGCAGTGGTGGTGTGGGAAGAGGATAGCAGCTACTGGGCAATGCCAGCAGCACTGCCTGACTGGAAAAGGAGAAGCAGAACCCACAGTTGTCTCTGCAGAGGTTCAATCAGTTGAATCATTGTATGGAATGGGGTGAGAATAAGGAAATAAAGTGCCATGAAAATTATACTAACACGGCTGGGCATGGTGGCTCACACCTGTAATCGCAGCACTTTGGGAGGCTGAGGCGGGGAGGATCACTTGAGGTCAGGAGTTCAAGACCAGCCTGGCCAACATGGCAAAACCCATGAGTGAGACTCTGTCTCAAAAAAAAAAAAAAAAAAGAAAATTATGCTAATGATGACATCTATGTTCTTGTTTGATCCCATTTCATGGACACGGCTGCTATGACACACAGCCACTAAACCCAGGTGCCAGGATCTGGATCCCTGTCTATTTTCCTTCCTTCAAGGATGCCACAGGGCCTCCATGCTCACATGGCTGAACCAAGAGAAGTAATTTTAAAAGATCTAATAGGTGCTGGGCGTGGTGGCTCATGCCTGTAATCCCAGTGCTTTGGGAGGCCGAGGCAGGCAGATCATGAGGTCAGAAGATCGAGACCATCCTGGCTAACACAGTGAAACCCCGTCTCTACTAAAAATACAAAAAATTAGCCGGACATGGTGGCGGGCACCTGTAGTCCCAGCTACTTGGGAGGCTGAGGCAAGAGAATGGTGTGAACCTGAGAGGCGGAGCTTGCAGTGAGCCGAGATTGTGCCACTGCACTCCAGCCTGGGTGACAGAGCGAGACTCCGTCTCAAAAAAAAAAAGAAAAAGAAAAAGCTAACAGTTTTACTGGCTGATAGAAGGGCGAGATTTCCTATCAGGGTATACATTGCTCTCAATGGATATAAAACCACTACTCAGTTTCTTTCTTTTTTTTTTTTTTTTTTTTTGAGACAGAGTCTCACTCTGTTGCCCAGGCTGGAATGCAGTGGCATGATCTCGGCTCACTGCAACCTCCGCCTCCCAGGTTCAAGCGATTCTTCTGCCTCAGCCTCCCAAGTAGCTGCAACTACAGGAGCACGCCACCACACCCGGCTAATTTTTGTGTTTTTAGTAGAGATGGGGTTTCACCATATTGGCCAGGCTGGTCTCGAACTCCTGACCTCCTGACCTTGTGATCCACCCACCTCAGCCTCCCAAAGTGCTGGGATTACAGGCATGAGCCACCGCGCCTGGCTGCCACTACTCAGTTTTAAGGTCTTATAAGAGGGAACGTTCTGGGGATGCGGCTCTAAGCAAGTCCTCCTGTGCTCACTGCTCACCTGCCCCTTTAGTGTCCCTCTTATCCTGCCTCGGCATGGTCCCTGATGGTGAGCTAACATGGGAGGGCCTGCTCAGAGCCCAGCCTGGGCTGCAGGAGCATAGCAATGAACCCACTCCTCCTGGGGAATCACTTTAGGGGAGGAGTAACACGTCTTTGGGGAGTGGAGTAACATGCCTTAGGGGAGTACCATGCCTTAGGAGAGACCACGCCTTAGGGGAGTACTATGACTTAGAAGAGTATCTCACCTTAGGGGAGTACCACAACTCAGGTGCTCAAGAAATATTTGTTGAGCTAGATAGTATCCTTCTTGTGATGGTTGACCAAAGTCTTATTTTTCTAACACATTTCTTGGTAATCATTTGGGATGAAACTTGAAGGATTTTCAGAATGAAATATTTTGGTTTATTAAATGGCTGATTAAAAGAACTAGACTGAGGAAACTGTGTAACCACTGAGTCTTTTCTCTGTGAGGAAAAGGTGCGTTGAAAAGGAGGAAGACATAACTCTGGAAGACTGACTATCCTTGGCAAGAAACTGCAAGGCAGGACTTCCTGGCACAGCTGAGGATGAAGATCTGAGATGCCATCATGCTGTGGCTGAGCCCATATTTTAAATTTCTGTAAATGTAATTATGGAGACAATAATCGAGTCTTTAAGATACTGATATCACTTAATCCTTTCTATGTACATACACAGCTTTTCACTTTCAAAATTATTGGTAAATAAAACCAATAAACCAGCTCATAGCATTTTTTTTTCCTTTTTGAGATGGAGTCTCGCTCTGTTGCCCAGGCTGGAGTGCAATGGCGTGATCTCAACTCACTGTAACCTCCACCTCCCGGGTTCAAGCGATTCTCCTGCTTCAGCCACCTGAGTAGCTGGGCTTATAGGTGCGTGCCACCACACCCAACTAATTTTTGTATTTTCAATAGAGATGGGTTTCACCATGTTGGTCAGGCTGGTCTTGAACTCCTGACCTCGTGACCCGCCCACCTCGGCCTCCCAAAGTGCTGGGATTACAGGTGTGAGCCACCATGGCTGGCCACTCATAGCATTTAATAAAGGAAGAAGAACATTTACTAGGCCTTAAGACCATTTCAGTTGTTTCGAATTTAGCTGTGGTCATGACAACTTGACATCCTCCTCTACCTATTGAAAAGGCAGCCAGACGTTTTCTCCTTACCCCATGTAGTCCAGGTCAGAGAATATGAAAGTCTTGTTGATGTCAAAGCCACAGGCGATGATGTCCTTGGCATTCTCCACAGCATAGCTATAGGCCTGGTCCAGGGTCAGGTCCTTCCACAGATACTTCTCGTCATCCGTCATCTGGATGACCAAGGGCACGTTAAATACATCCTGGAGCCACCTAAAGAAACACAGGGGGAGAAAGCTGACGTCTCATCTCCCCTGTGGAGGAACGCCATCGTGCATCTGAAAACACAGCTCCTACTTACAACGTATGTTAAAACTTCCTTGCCTACAAAATCACAATTTGAATTGTGATATGAATTTGACTATGGATAATGATAAGGTCTACTACCATTTATCGACCAGGTGGCCCTGTGTGCTCTGTGTTAGCTGCTCTACACACTTTGTTTTGAAGCTTTACAGTAGTTCTATGAGGTAGGTATCTTCATTCTCATCTTGCAGATGTGGAAACTTAGGCTCAGAGAAGTAGCAGGCCCATGGCCATGCAGACAGGGAGCAGGATGAGAAGAGGAGCAGGCCTGGCTGACTCCAAAGCTGCGCTCTCCCCATCACTCCATGGTCCTCTAAAGTGAGCCCAGGAACAAAGTGAATGGAAGCCAAAAAAGTGCCAACTCTTGACATCTTGGTTGCTCAGCAAATGAACTAGCATGATCTTGTCAGTTCTAAACATGGTTTATAAGCAACATTCTCAATTCACTAAGAGAGTAAGAAAAGCCATAAGATCCAATACTTACTTTGTGAAAATAAATGGAATGAGGTGACCTACATGCATTGCTTCAGAAGAGGGGCCCCGGCCCGTGTACAGATAAAATGGCTTCTTATTTTCATAGGCATCAAGAACCTGATTCATATCTCTAAAGGAAAAAGGAGAAGAGGAAGAGTGTGATTTTCTGAGAAAAATATCAAGGCACTAATGCACTTTTGGAAATGGAAAATATAGACAGAGACGAAACAACATGGATAATAACTAGAATTTGTTACCTTTGGTGCTTATGATATAAATATAGACAGGAAACTTCTACTGAAATGGTTTCTCCTGTGAGTGTTTTAAAAGACAAGATGTGTAGGTTTGGAATAATGTGTTTAAAAGATGGATCCAGCTATGCAGTTACTGGGACTCCTGGAATCCCTCCAAACATCAGTGCCGACATACTGTGAGCTTGGTACACTTCCCTGGGGATACCAGGCCAACACCATATGATCCTTGCTCAGAATCACCCAGCCCCGAGGACTCTCAGACCAATACCAGGCAAACTGCATGGGACCAGACAGTCCTGGCTTAGCAGGGAAAGTAAGAATTGTCCTCTGGGAGTTCAGAGGTCAAGTGCCCAGTTGGAGATCTATCTGGGCCCCTCAGCCAGCTTGGGACTAGGTATCTTCATCTGCAAGTCACTCAAGAGTCATCCCCCTCCCTACCAGGCTGCTTCCAATCACAGCTGCCTGCGCCCCACCTCCAGAGACTGATTCAATGGATCTGAGGTGCTCTCTGGGAATGTGTTTGTTTGTTTGTTTATTTATTTATTTTTGAGACAGAGTCTCACTCTGTCACCCAGGCTGGAGTGCAGTGGTGTGATCTCTGCTCACTGCAACCTCTGCCTCCTGGGTTCAAGCGATTCTCCTGCCTCAGCCTCCCGAGTAGCTGGGCATAGTAGGCACCTGCCACTATGCCCAGCTAATTTTTTGTGTTTTTAATAGAGACGGGGTTTCACCATGTTGGCCAGGCTGGTCTCAAACTCCTGACCTCGTGATTTGCCTGCCTCGGCCTCCCAAAGTGCTGGGATTACAGGTGTGAGCCACTGCGCCTGGCCGGGAATTTGTATTTTTAAAAAGCTCCGTGAGGAGTTCCAATGTTCAGCAGGGTGGGAAACCAACGCTCGAGGATGAATGTCCTTTGTTTCTGGGTAAAGTGTCCCCAAATACAAGAGGAATAACTACCTTTTCCAGAGGTCTGGATAGGAGAATCTAGAGAACAGTATTCTGAAAGTGACTTCTCCTTATATTCCCCAAGCCAAGGGTCAACATTGCTTATCTCTGGACAGATACAATTGTGGGTGTTCTGGTTTTTGGGCTTAGTTTTCATTTTTTTTCCCCATGAAATGCTCACATACTGCTTTTGAAATAAGGAAAGAAAATAACCCATAATTTTGGAAGGAAAGAATCCTTCTTTGGTTCTCACAACTAACCATATGGGCTTACAGAAGAGAAAAAAATGTAACTGTGCCACGAGCTGCTTTTCTTGTGTTTATGTGGAGCATCTGAGAACTCACTGTGTGCTCGGTCCTGGGGTGAGGTGCTCCTGACAAGCGTGCAGAAATTTACTGGGTTCCAATTTTGAGATCATGTTTTATGAGGATGGATTCCAGCAGAGACTCATTCAGCTACTAAGGGAACCCAGTTACCTGCCCACCACTTGAAGCTTGACTGTGCATAGTAGATCTCATTTAATCCCCAATTTTACAGATGACAAAATTAGACAGAGGGGCAGTTTGAAATTTGAGAATGGGCAAATGACTCAGGTCCTATGCTTTCCTAAGCCAAGAGGCTACAGTATTACTATACTGCAGTTAATAAATAAGTCACAAAGGCAGTGAGAAGAACCATGCCATGCTAAGATAAAAAATGCTGACTACAAACCAACAAAATTAGTAAACTTTGAACCAAAGTGACTGGGTGTGTGTGTGTGTGTGGGGGGGGGTGTGGAATAAAAGAGAAGACTCAAACGGCCAAAATCAGGAATATAAGAAGGGGTATTACTACTGACCTTATAGGAATAAAAAGGATTACTACATAAGGGAATACTATGAATAACTGTATACCAATACATTAGATAACCTTGATGAAATAGACAAATTCCTAGAAACAAACTACTGAAACGAACCCAAGAAGAAATAGAAAATATACACAGATCTGGAACAAACAAAAAGACTGAATTAGTAATCAAAAAACTTCCTACAAAGAAAAGCCCAAAACCCCATTTTCACTGGTAAAGTCTATCAAATGTTCAAAAAAGAATTAATACCAATCCTTCCCAAGCTTTTCCAAAAAAAATTGAATAAGAAATACTTCCCAACTCATTCTATGAGGCCAGTATTACCCTGATACCAAACCAAAGACATTAAAAGAAAACTACAGACCAATATCCCTTATGAACACAGATGTAAAAATCCTCAGCAACTCACAAACCAAATCCAGCAACATATAAAAAAGATTATACACTATGATTGAAAATAAATTGATTTTCAACACCATGATTAAGTGGAATTTGTTCCAGGAACGCAAGGTTGATTAAACACGCAAAAACCTATCAGTGTGATACACCATACTAATAAAATAGAGGCCAAAACCCACATGATCATCTCAATAAACACAGAAAATGCATTTGATAAAATCTAACATCTTTTCATAATAAAAACACATGTTGAAGGGTATATAGAAAGCCCACAGCTAACATTATACTAAATGGTGTATATTCAGTCTTTACTGAAAGTTTTTCCCCTAAGATCAGGAATAAGACAAGGATGCTCACTTTCACCACTACTATTCAACATCCTATTGAAAGTTGAAGTCAGAGAAATTAGGAACGAAAAAAAAATCCAAATTGGAAAGGAGGAAGTAAAACTGTCTCTAATCATAGGAGATACAATCCTATATGTAGGAAATCCTATCGAATCTGCAAAAAGAAAAAAAGCATTAGCGCTAATAAACTCAGCAAAATTTCAGGATATAAGATTAATACACAAACATCAATTGTATTTTTTTTTTTTTTGAGAGGGAGTTTTGCTCTTTTTGCCCGGGCTGGAGTGCAATGGCACGATCTCGGGTCACTGCCACCTCTGCCTCCTGGGTTCAAGTGATTCTCCTGCCTTAGCCTCTTGGGTAGCTGGGATTACAGGCGCCCACCACCATGCCTGCCCAATTTTGTATTTTTAGTAGAGATGTGGTTTCACCATGTTGGTCAGGCTGGTCTCGAACTCCTGACCTCAAGTGATCCACCCGCCTCGGCCTCCCAAAGTGTTGGGATTACAGGTGTAAGCCACCGTGCCCGGCCATCAGTTGTATTTCTATATAGTAGCAATGAACAATCAAAATGAGATTAAGAAAATGCCATTTAGAATAGCATTAAAAAGATAAAATTCTAATGAATAAATCTAAGCAAAGAAGTGCAAAACCTATACACTGAAAATTACAAAACATCAATGAAAGAAATCAAAGAAGTGAAAAGACATCCCATGTTCATGGATTAGATGAATTAATATTTTAAGATGGCAATACTCCACAAATGAATCTACAGATTCAGTGCAATCCCTATCAAAATCCTAGCTGCTGCTTTTGCAGAAATGGAAAAGCTGAAATTCATATGGAAATGCAAGGGGCCCAGAATACCTAAACAATCTTGAAAAAGAACCATGTTTGAGTACTCACATTTTCTTATTTTTTTTTGAGACGGAGTCTCACTGCCACCCAGGCTGGAGTGCAGTGGCGCGATCTCGGCTCACTGCAAGCTCCGCCTCCCGGGTTCATGCCATTCTCCTGCCTCAGCCTCCCGAGTAGCTGGGACTACAGGCGCCCATCACCACACCTGGCTAATTTTTTGTATTTTTAGTAGAGATGGGGTTTCACCGTGTTAGCCAGGATGGTCTCAATCTCCTGACCTCGTGATCCGCCTGCCTTGGCCTCCCAAAGTGCTGGGATTACAGACATGAGCCACTGCGCCCAGCCAAGAATAGTCTTTTCAAAAAACAGTGCTGGGACAATTGGATACCCACAAGCAAAAGAATGAAGTTGGAGCTGTACCTCACAAATATACAAAAATTAACTCAAAAAGGATCAGAAACTGAAATGTAAGAGCTAAAACCACAAAACTCTGAGAAGAAACCATAGGTGTAAATCTTCACAACCTTCGATTAGTCAGTGGTTTCTCAGATATGACACCAAAAACACAATCAATCAAAGATAAAATAAACTGGACTTCATCAAAATTAAAAACTTTCATACTTCAAAGGACTATCAGTAGAGTGAAGAGACAACCTATATAATGGGAGCAAATATTTGCAAGTAATATTTGAATAAGAAACTAGTATCCAGAATATAGAAAGAACTATTATAACTAACAATAAAAAGACAACCCAATTAAAAAGTAGGCAAAGGATCTGAATAGACATTTCTCTAAAGATATAAAAATTGTTAATAAGCACATGAAAAGATTCTCAACATCCTTGTCATTAGGGAAATACAATCAAAACCACAATGAAATACTACTTCACACCTATTAGGATGGCTATAAAACACAACAACATGGAAAATAACAAGAGTGGGTGAAGATGTGGAGAAATGGGAAGCTTCCTATGTTGCTGGTGGGAAAGTAAAATGATACAGTTGCTGTAGAAAAGTCTGTCAGTTCCTCAAAGAGTTAAACATGGAATTACTATATAAGCCATTAATTCTATTTCGAGGTATATGCCCAAGAGAATTGAAAACATATATCCACCCAAAAACTTGTATACAAATGGTCAGAGCAGCATTGTTGATAACCAAAAAGTGAAAATAACTCAAACGTCCATCAACTAATGAATGAATAAACAAAATGTGAGGTATATCCATTCAATGGAATATTATTTGGCAATAAAAAGGAATCCAGTATGGATACATGCTACAACATGGAGGAACCTTGAAAATGTTATGCCAAGTAAAAGAAGCCAGACACAAAAGGCCACATGTTACATGATCCCATTTATATAAAATGCCTAAATCTAGATATAGAGAAAGCAGACTAATGGTTGCCAGTGGGGAGGGAGAAATGGGGGATGACTGTTAACCCATTTATGCCTACCTACTGTTCCAAAATTGGAATGCTAAACTTGTGGGAGTTATTGATATCTTACTGCTCAAGGTGATTGCCAAGGTCTGATTTTTCACAAAAAATTTTTACAACTTCTGGCATAAATGGGTTAATGGGTAGAAGTTTCCTTTTGGGGTGATGAAATGTTTTGGAATTAGATAGTCTTGATGGTCTCACAACCTTGTGAATATACTAAAACCCACTTAACTGTACATTTAAAAAAATAAGTTTTATAGTATGTGAATTAAGGAAAATTTTTTATTATATTCCACCCAGAAAGTGGGTTGAGCAAGGCCTGGAGTTCTTTGCAGGTAGAATTTGAAGTGTTTGGGCAGACTGCTGGGCTCTGTCCTGGGGTTGTTCTCCTGTAAGCGTGAAGTGCCAGTAGAACAGAACAACCCTACATCAGATCATAAATTCCATGGACACAGCTTCAAAAAGGGGGCTGCCTCAGCCCAGATAACTGTAGGTTGGGAGAGGCAGAAACTCTTTTGGAACCTGCCCATATCTTGACGTTATCTGCGTGGAATTTACGGCCTAAGGTACAGATAATCTGTTCCATGCATTCTCTGTTGGTTTGTCTGTTGGTATTGTTTATGAGCAAGTCAATACAATAGGAGGAAGAGGGTTTGGAATTTCAGGAAGCCTACTGTTTGTCATGTGGGAAATGCTGATCTTGGACATATTATTCTCTTTTGTTTTCATGACATTTTATAATTTCTTTACAGCCTGTAATCTGGGAAGAATCTCACCTGCTATTAATATGATTCCCACCTTGTGAGGTGGGCAGTCTACAAATGAAAAAACTAAGAGCCTGAGGGTGATGGACAAGCATGATCCCACAGTGGGTTACTGACAGGACAGAGGATGGATCTCAGTCTTACCACAGCTGGCCATCACTTTTCCCACAGTACCAGGTGGCTTATGAAGAGAGTGTCTTACGATTTTTTTGAACTAAAAGAAGAGGACAGGTGAGAAGGCCTGTGGTGAAGAGCCCCTGACCTGTGTGAGAAGAAGATGCCTCTGCGCAGGAAGTGGTGTGGTCTTTGGCCGGTGGCTCTCTCTATTCGGTTTATTAGCTCTTTGTCAATTTTACTACTTCCAAACCGAACTGGAAAAAAAGAAAAGATGACTTTCTTAGGTGGCAGGAGGTTTAGTGATCAGATATTACTGAAATGAAGATGAAAAGTGAGTGATCCATGCACAATCTTAATGAACACAAACCTCTTTAGGCCTTCTGCTAAAGGTCCTTACCCCCAACATGAAGTAAAAGGTCTTTGGATTAAAACAACAGCTGAGATCAACACAACCAACAAAACAGGAAATAAATTACAACACAAAATGCTGTTTTGCCTGAGACTGGGTTCTGATGGGAAACATATTCAGAATGCAGTCCAGCTAGCAACTTTTGACAACAAAATATAAACATATACATATATAAATAGGTATATATATATATATTTGTTTATTAAGGTAAAATTTATATTCATTGACAACCATGATTTCTCACATTCTTTATTTGTTGAACTGAATTAATGTCGGTCTTCAAGTGAATTTTCCCTCATTGATAGTCTATACTGAAATCATGGAAAATGGCTTTGACTTAGATGAAAACATTTCAGTTCTGTTTCTTCTCTGATAATTAGCAATGATCTCAGAGTAAAGACTTCAATGGAATGGCAACAGTCTTTCCTGAGCAGGAAGGCCCTCAAGGAAGGGCATGACAGTAAGAACTTGCCCGATGTGAGAAGTCACTGCTCTTAAGCTGACTTCCAGCCTTCTAGGTCCATAGTCAGTATCACTGGAGGTGAAACCTAAGTAATCTATGATTGACTTGTAGCCACTAAATGTTATAAATGGCCATTTCAATAGACCTTTCCCAAGTTCTGAAGTGCTCAAAAAAAGGGAAAACCTTCTATTAAGCTGTCTACTATAGATCATTATTTTGAAATATATTTTATATTGTTATTTTATTTTAAAATAATCCTTTGGGAATATAATGCACAACCAAAAGATTTTAGTATCCATTTTTTCTTGGCATTGAAGCTTCACTGAATTTATGATTAATTCAAAATTTAAAAACATCAATGGAATCAACTCAATGGGACCACTTCTAAAAGTTGCAGCTTTTTCTGGGAAGAAAGCAGAGGACGTACCAATGAGCTTATCGTAGTCTATGCCTTTTGCACTGCTTGTCTGTACTGTCCATGGGTCCACAAAATCCTCTTCAGCTTCTGTGGCATCTGGGCCATGATTACTGGTAGGTGCTGGGTTCCCTGGAGGACAGTCAGCCTTGTAATCCTCCCCCGCGGCAGCTTTGTAGCTCATTTTTAATGACACCAACATCTTTACTGCAGAATCAATTTCATCCTGAGAGAGGAAATAAAAGGGATGGCTAAAAGTATTACTAATAGCTGATATGTGCTGAATGCCTATTCTGTGGCAGGCACTGTGTTAAATGCTTTTACACGTGTTACCTTAGTTAGTGTCACAACCCTACAAGGCAGGTATTGTTGTCACTGTCCTTTTCCAGCTCAAGAATCTGAGACTCAGAGAGGTAGAGGAGCTTACCCATAGAATCACAGCAAGTCATTGGCTCGAAAACACTTCATTTTTATCTGTTATTCTAGTGCTACCATGAACACTTTGGGACAGTAGCAGTGACACAATATACACTGTCATTTATGACAAAGTTCATATGCTAAAGATTTCTCAAACACCACTGATGCCAGAGAACGTGTGTGACAAGCTCCTTTAATTGAGATTCCTGGAGTTCTGCATTGGAACTAGTTTTTACATACCACACAGGTTGAGATGAATATTTACGTTAACTTAACCAATGATGCCACTAAGGATAGTAAGAGCAACTAAAACAGATAAAAGCAAGGACAAAAAATGTAGGCTCTCAGGTTATAAATTAAGGAGGGATTCACTGGGAAATAGTTACATCATCACATTTTGGAGTCTTATCAAACTATCTTGAAAAAAAAAAAACAAAGGTAAAATGTACCCTTGGGTAGTCTGGAAATGTATTAAAGACTCTTTTGCAGGAGTCCATAGTGGCCACCCCTGGAAGCCTGGTGTTTAGAAAAGCAGGCCTAATTAAGCTGATTAGTCATGCTATGCCCTAAAGCTCTATTCTGGTAATTGGCCTTGCTGGATTAGATCACAAACAAAGAATATACACAGCCCAATTTGCTTACCAAGGGAAATACAAACATTTCCACTTACAGTTTATACAGAACATTCTTTCTTTTAAATCTCCTTAAATTCCTTTTACCATATACAGAATGTTCTATAAACACCAACCTCCATTCAGAGATAACTATTCCATCAGATATAGCACTTGGGCCATAAAGGACTGTGATTCTGGAGTAATCTGTGTTTCAAACTACAAAATTATCTGAGACTCATCATTAAAATGAGCCAGATTTGTGGAATCAGTAACCCAATGGATACGATTCATAGATGAGATGTTTGCCCAGGTTAGATAGTTAAGTATGTTCCACCCATCTCATTTCTGTAGTACCTAGGCTCAGTACTTGCAAAAAATAACAGTTTAGTACGTATAATCTATCCAATTATCTATGGGAAGGCTTACCTTGCTTTGAAGTACACTGCAGTCAATATCACTTAATAACTAGCTTTGTTGACATTTCATACTCTATCTGGTCTAATTCTGCTTGTAACTAGGAGGCTCTGCGAAAGTCAAACATTTAACCAATGTCCCTGCTCAAGGACCATCTGCATTTTGGAATAGCACCAAAATAAGACAAGCAGGCTTACCTTGTCTATTTTCTTATAATCAGTCTTAATCAGTGTCTGAACCAGGACACTGAAACAGGATTCAAAAGCTGATGTTAGCTGGGTGCAGTGGCTCACACCTGTAATCCCAGCACTTTGGGAGGCCAAGGCGGGCGGATCGCCTGAGCTCATAAGTTCGAGACCACCCTAGGCAACATGGCAAAACCCTGTCTCTACCAAAAATAGAAAAAATTAGCCAGGTGTGGTGGCACACACCTGTGTTCCTAGCTCATCGGGAGGCTGAAGTCAGAGGATTGCTTGAGCCAGGGAGGCAGAGGTTGCAGTGAGCCGAGATTGCACCACTGCACTCCAACCTGGGTGATGAAGTGAGATCCCCACCCCACAAAAAACCCAGAACATCAGTTTTTTTTAGACAGGGTCTCACTTCAGTCTCCTGAGTAGCTGGGACTGCAGGTGTGTGCCACCATGTCTGGCTAATTTTTAAATTTTTTGTAGAGACAGGGTCTCACTATATTATCCAGGCTGGTCCCAAACTCTTGGCCTGAAGCGATCCTCCTGCCTTGGCCTCCTAAGTGCTGGGATTATAGGCATGAGCCACGGAGCCTCGCCAAAAGCTGATGTTCAGAAAAAAAAGCCAGACACAAGACTGTATTACATACAGTTCAAACCCAGGTAGAGCTACCCCTGGTGGGAGGAGTCATGGCAGAGGCTGAGGCGCGTGAGGGTGGCTTCTAGGTGCTCTCTGCTTGCTGTTGATTTGGGTGCTGGTTACACAGGTGTGGTCATTTTGTGAAAATTCAGTGAGGTGCCTGCTTGTGCTTATGATCAGCATGTTTTTCTATATGAATGGTATATTTTGATTTTAGAAGTTACTTAAACAAAAAGGAGAAGAAGAAAAAGGCTCTGCTCTCTTTCTTAATACCTAAGACCTAGCATTGCTTCTTTAGTCCTGCTCAAACTATTTCCCCTCACAGCCCTCAGATGCTGACTTATTTCCCCCTAGGAAACTTGCCGCTTTAATGAGCTGCTGCTACTGAAGGATGTGGATCTTATTCTTTAGATACACTGGAGCAGAAAAGACCTTCAAGGTCCATGGCCTAGATAAATGGCAGGAGAAGAAAGAGCTCAAGGTGCCCTCTCTTAGAACTGGCACTCCCAATGTGGCTCACACTATTTTGCTAAAAGTTAATTTTTAAAATTTCCAAAACATCAAGTGCTTCTACTACCAAGACATTTCAGGGTCAGATACAAATGTACTTCTGAATTTTTCACCACTTAACTCTGGTCTCATTGTGCAACCTCTGATGTCTTCAACGTGTGCCAGCCAATTGCATTAGTCAAATAATACACTTGGAAGAGTTATTATAAAATGTATTAAGTTGACTAAAATAATGAACATAACTGCAGTCACTAAGAATTACTAACTAAAAACATTTACTAAATGTTATTCAAATTTAATATTAAATGGACAAAAATACCACTGTCAACTTCCCAAAATGATGGGCTTACATAACCCCACTGGGTCTTTTATTTATTTTATAATTTTGTTTTAAAACAACTTGGTTTAATCGTTTGAGGCCTACCTGGTGAGTAAATCTCTTTCTGTAAAAAAGTAACTTTTTTTTGACATTACTTTCTTTCAGTACTATTTATTTCATTTAAAATATGAGCTGGGTGCAGTGGCTTGCATCTATAATTCCAGCAACTTGGCAGGCTAAGGTGGGAGCCCAGGAGTTTGAGGGTGCACTGAGCTAGGATTGCACCACTGCACTCCAACGTGGAAAGAGCGAGACCCTGTCTCAAAAAATACACACACACACACACACACACACACACACACACACACAAATAATGATTTAAATCAGGGTCCCAAATAGTCAAAGTAAACTACTGGGGAATGTGAGATGGTTGACACAATCTGGTGACAAGCAAGGTGTTTGAAAAGATAACAGATAACAGGAGTTAAAAGTGTCGGAAGTCGGGCCGGGCGTGGTGGCTCACACCTGTCATCCCAGTACTTTGGGAGGCTGAGGCGGGCGGATCACCTGAGATCAGGAGTTCAAGATTAGCCTGGCCAACATGGCAAGACCCCCTCTCTACTAAAAATACAAAAATTAGCCGGGTGTGGTGGCGGGCGCCTGCAGTCCCAGCTACTTACGAGGCCAGGGCAGGAGAATCGCTCGAACTCAGGAGGCAGAGGTTGTAGTGAGCCAAGACTGTGCCAGTGCACTCCAGCCTGGGCGACAGAGTGAGACTCAGCCTCAAAAAAAAAAAAAAAAAAAAAGTGATGGAAGTCATGGAGAAGCCGGAGTGGAGTCACCCCAGAAGGAAATGAAATGCTTATGTTCTAGTTAAAGATGCGTATTGATGATGATATTTCTGAAATCTACTACAACAAAAGCAGAGATCTTCTTTTTTTTTTTTTTTTTTAAAGCATAATCCCACAAGGACAAAGGAAACAAGAAGAGGATGACAGCAACAAGGTTTCAGAAGCCAGAAAGCTGATGAATGATCAGTGCCTAACAGCATGAGAGAAAAACAAATGCTAAGACATCATGGAAATACTGGAAGGTGACCGAGTGTACACTGTTACGGAATCACCCAAAGGTTCGGGCCTTAGTGACCTTGCGCACTTACAGGAGTGGGGGCAGGAAAGCGGGTTATGAAAACAGGAGCGCTGGTTGAAGTCTCTTCAAGAAGCAGTTATTGAGAATCCCTCTCCCCTCGGCCAAGGGAGTGTCACAGTTTCCCCTCCATTCCAAGGTTTCATGTCAAGAGAGGACAGAGTTACAGGTGCCTAGACTGGGGGCAGTCTGCACAGTTGGGGCACTGGCAGCACACAGAGAATAGGGAGCTTCGGGGAAGGATCCCACAGCCCAGCCCTTCTCTCCCACTCAGCCGTAGAACTCTGGCAGCGGGACTCACCCCCTCTGAACAGTGGACTGGGGGAGCTTTCTCTGGGGAATCTCACTTAACTTTAAAGAAAAGATCTAAAGACCTTGACACGAAAGATTCCCCAACAAAAGGGGAGCAGCCTGGTCACTCTCCAGGAAGTGGAACCTATGTTGATAAGCTCTTCCCCAATGAAGAGTGCATCCAGCAGCTTTCAGTGCACCCCCCAAAACACCAGCAAATAGCCAAGAAACACCAAACAGTTGAGAATTGCCTCTAATATGAAAGGCAGGTAGAAAACAAATTAAGATGGAAGAAACTGAGGTTATAAAGGATGTAGAGGACATATGGAAAACTACCATTAAGATCTCAGAGAGAGAGAGTTGAGTGTCCTGAGAGGTCAGATTGCTGTCAGACATGGCCCATGGACATGGACATGAGCATGGACATCGTAAAATGGAACTTCTAGATTACAGACAACGGAAGACAGAAGGGACACCATTAGAAACTATCCAGAAGAAGCTGGCTGAAAAAGGGCTAAGGGATCCGTGGGGCCACAATGAAGCTTGAAGATACATGGGTGGCTTTGCAAAGAGTGTTTCCTTTTTTGATGTATTGTTTAAAGGATTCAAATGGGGATTTGCTGCATTTGTGGTAGCTGTAGGAGCTGAATATTACCTGGAGTCCCTGAATAAAGATAAGAAGCATCACTGAAGATAATACCTGGAAGTATCATAGTGGTTTCTTAACTCTCCAAAATAAGATTTCTTCACTGTAGCCTACTCGTCTGGTTTGTCCCTTACAGAATATTAGTAAGATTTAATACAGTAAAATAAGATTAAAAAAAAAAATCTCAGAGAGAAAAGGGTGGTACTGTACCTATGAGTCAGGGCAGAGTGCTGTGAGGAAACTTCAGGGAGCATACATGCTCCTGGAAGTTAAAAATGATAGCAGAAATGGAAAACAATAGGAGGGTTAGAAAATCAGAGAAACAGTCTCTGAATTAAAAAAAAAAGTCTGTGAAGAGAGAAAACAGAAGAGATCAAAGAAATCATGATTTCTGAGAATTAACGGCCATGAGTTTCTAGTCTAAAAGGCAGGCTGAGTGTGGTGGCTCACGCCTGTAATCCCAGCACTTTCGGAGGCCGAGGTGGGCAGATCATGAGGTCAGGAGTTTGAGATCAGCCTGGCTAATATAGTGAAACCCCGTCTCTACTAAAAATACAAAAATTAGCCTGGTATGGTGGCGGATGCCTGTAATCCCAGCTACTTGGGAGGCTAAGACAGGAGAACTGCTTGAACCCAGGAGGCGGAGGTTGCGGTGAGTCGAGATTGTGCCACCACACTCCAGCCTGGGTGAAAGAGTGAGATTCCATCTCGGGGGGCGGGGGTGGGGTGGCAAAAAAAAAAAAAAAAAAAAAAAGAAAGGCATACTGAACCTGCATCCCATGAAATTTCAGAACACGGGAACAAAGAAGATCCTGCTAACTTCCAAAAAGAAAAAACAAAGGAATGGCAACTGACTTCTCTGCAGCAAGCCCAGAAGCTAGGTGCCAATAGAGCAGTGGCTTCAGCATTTCCAGGGGAAATCACTTCCATGCTAGAACCCTACACCCAGCCTGGCTATCAATCATGTTTTAGGTAAAATAAATACGCTTTCAGATGGGCAAGATCCCCCTAGAAATATTTCCTTTGCAATATTTTTTTCAGAAACAATTGGAAGATTTGCTCTGCCCAAAGAGTAAAGCAAAGAGGAATAAAGATGCAGGAGCAGGAAACGGGGCACCCAATCGACAGGGGTGAAAGAACCCCTTGGGTCGACAGTGAAGAAAGACGCCAAGATGGGCAGTGTAGGAAGCAAGAGCCCCCACTTCAGAGGGAAGCAGGCAGAAGGTTTTGGGAGAGATCGCCTCAAGAAGATGAACTTGATAGACTAGTTGATGTGTGTTGAAAGGAGATTCACTGGACAGGGAAAGGGCTTGGAGATACATTATCATTAGTATCATTGACATAAAAAAGTCAAGCAAACAGATATTAAGACAAATATTAACTCCAGAGAAAACAAAAGCTGGGCGAGAAAGTTAGAGTACTCATTCTATCCGTGATGGTTCAGCTGTCCACGTCTATTTCCATGGTCATAATAATGTCAGTGTACAGATACTGACCTAACTACAACTGCAATACAGATGGGGAGACTGCCTGGACGGGAAGTGGTTGTGAAGGTACGAATGCTTCATTTCCACCTGAAAGACCCCAACTTGAAAATCAACAAGGAACAATATGATAAGCAGAATATTTACAGATATGGGGAGTACATAACCAAAAGATCGGCTAAAAGAATTGAGCAGGAAATAGGGAGAGGTGGGCTGGAGGGCCACTGTATTTCACAAAGGCTTTGAGAACCCCTGACTCTTTAGACCACAGGCATCCCAATGTTGATAAAGGAAAAATACATTTAAAACTATAACCAAGGCTGGCGTGGTGGCTCATGCTGGTAATCCCAGCACTTTGGGAGGCCAAGGTGGACAGATCACCTGAGGTCAGGGGTTTGAGACCAGCCTGACCAACGTGGTGAAACCCCCATCTCTACTAAAAATACAAAATTAGCTGGGTGTGGTGGTGCATGCCTGTAATCCCAGCTACTTGGGAGGCTGAGGCAGGAGAGTCACTTGAACCCGGGAGGCAGAGGTTGCAGCAAGCTTAGATTGCACCATTGCACTCCAGCCTGGGAAACAAGAGTGAAATTCCCTCTCAAAAAATAAAAAATTATAACCAAAACACCTCAGTCATTGAGGAAACCATCTATTCTAGAGGAACACAACCCTACAGACTTGGGAGGCTCAGCTGCCTTCGTGGAGAACCCAGCAAAATCATGTACCTTTGACGCATTTCCCGCTTTGAGGGACCTTACGAGCTCCCCTTGTGTGGCGATGCTGTTGAACAGCTCCAGCAGAGATGCGGGCTCACTGTTGGGCATGTTTGCTATCTCTCAGGAACTACGTTCACAGCCGGCCTGAGGTCAGAGGATTTGTTCAGCAGACGAGTCAAGACTGGGGTGGGGGCGGGGAAGGAGAGAGAGGAAAAACCAGAGGTTAACACAACATCGCGGCTGTTTTTCCTTTCCTGTATTGAGTCCTTTTTTCCGAAAAGGTTGTGAGGTGAGTTACAGTAAAGGACATAGATAATATAATAAAAAGAGAACCAGAAATTTGGGGCCATGAAGAAGAGGAAAACCATCAAATGCCAGTGATGAAGACTAAAGGAGTGGCTAGGATTTACTGACTTAAGGTGTGAATCTACTTGACTAGGAGGGGCCCTCCTAGTCAAGATCAAGTTTGCATCTGGTGATGCCCCTGTGCCCCCACCCAGTGCCCAGAACACAGGAGGACTCCTGTTTGCTCAGGGTATAAATACCAATGTGTTTTAATGAACTTAAGTTCATTGCTAAAAACTTTTGGCAAATTACTATTTGATTTTTTTTTTTTTTGAGATGGAGTCTCGCTCTGCCACCCAGGCTGGAGTGCAATGGTGTGATCTTGGCTCACTGCAACCTCCACCTCTGGGGTTCAAGCGATTCTTCTGTCTCAGCCTCCTGAGGCTGCCTGCCACCATGCCCAGCGAATTTTTGTATTTTTAGTAGAGGGAGGGTTTCACCATGTTGGCCAGGCTGGTCTTGAACTTCTGACCTCAGGTGATCCTCTCACTTCAGCCTCCCGAAAGTGTTGGGATTATAGGTGTGAGCCAAGGCACCCATCCTCTATTTGTGGTTTATCTTAATTGCCTTGGGGATGAATTCTTGGGCTTTTGCAGCCATAACTAATATATCGCTGAGCAAATGTCTTCCACTGCTGGTCAGCTGCTCTCAGACAAAGTGAGCTCTGGGGTGGAGGACAGGGCCTTACCTGTCCTAGGTTCCACATGAGGTAAGGACTGTCTCCAGTCTGTCCATTCCACGTGCTGCCTTATTTAACTACAAGCCTTTGCAGAAGGTGTGTCTGCACCTCCTATTAGTCATGATTCATTATAACCCTTGCAGGAAGTGGGGACATGGCAGACAGAGACTGTATCGCCATCAAACCTTTCTTGGCTCAATCACTTCCTAAGAGTCAAGTTTCCTAACCTATAAAATGGCGCCACCAGGAACTTCATCTACCCCAGGCTCTTATGAGAACAAAATGAGAAAAAAAAGGCATGGTAGCACTTTGTAAACTGTAAAGCAAGATGTAACTACGTTACGAGTGCTGTTATTAAATTTCTTGTGTTTCTTAGGATTCCAAAGATTGGCTGAACTCCAGCTTCATTTTAACTTGCTGTAAAACCTTGGAGAAGGAAAATGACAAGGCTAGTGCCTGAGCTGCTAACTTTGAACACCTCTGTACCTGTTATTGTTCTAAGCACCGTATATGTATCAATTCACTTAAGCCTTGCAGCAGTCCTATGAAATAGATTTGTAATCTCCATTTTATAGATGAGGCACAGAGGGGTTAAAAAAAACTTGCCCATGGCTGGGCATGGTGGCTCATACCTGCAACCCTGGCACTTTGGGCAGTATAGTGAGACTCTACAAAAAAATGAAAAAAAAAAAAATTAGCTGGGCATGGTGGTGGGCCTGTAATCCCAGCTACTTGGGAGGCTATAGCAGGAAGATCACTTGAGCCCAGGAGTTCGAGGCTTCAGTGAGCTACGTTTGCGCCACTGTACTCCAGCCCGGGTGACAGAGTAAGACCCTGTCTCTAAAAATAAAAATAAAATAAAATAAAACTTGCCCATGTTAACATCACAAGGAAATGGCAGAGATGCGTTATAGACTCTAGTAGTTTGACTCTAGAGCCTACACTTTCAACCATTATCTTACAAATGACTTATCTTTATGAACCAAACATATACATTTGTGGTGTCATTTATTTTACTCTATCCTATCCATTTGTTAAATATTTGCTTTAAAAGTACGTAAATTGGCTGGGTGTGGTGGCTCACGCCTATAATCCCAGCACTTTGGGAGGCTGAGGTGGGTGGATCACCTGAGGTCAGGAGTTTGAGACCAGCCTGGCCAACATGGTGAAACCCCGTCTCAACTAAAAATAGAGAAAAATTAGCTGGGCATGGTGGCGCACACCTGTAGTTCCAAATACCTGGGAGGCTGAGGTGGGAGAATTGCTTGAAACCAGGAGGTGGAGGTTTCAGTGAGCTGAGATCACACCACTGCACCCCAGCCTGGGTGACAGAAAGGTTCTGTCTCAAAAAAAAAAAAAAAAAAAAGTAGGCCAGGTGTGGTGACTCATGCCTGTAATCCCAGCACTTTGGGAGGCCAAGGAGGGTGGATCAAGACCAGCCTGGCCCACATGGTGAAACCCCATCTTCACTAAAAAT
The DNA here is from genome assembly GCF_000001405.40 of Homo sapiens. Lineage (NCBI taxonomy): Eukaryota > Metazoa > Chordata > Mammalia > Primates > Hominidae > Homo > Homo sapiens. The sequence goes on from NC_000014.9 coordinate 100,371,579, forward strand.
ACAAAAATTAGCCAGGCATGGTGGCATGTACCTGTAGTCCCAGCTACTTGGGAGGCTGAGGCATGAGAATCACTTGAACCTGGGAGGCAGAGGTTGCAGTGAGCTGAGACCATGCCACTGCACTCCAACCTGGGCAACAGAGAGAGACTCTGTCTCAAAACAAAAAAAATTCCAAAAAGTATGTAAATCACGGGTGCTGTGAGCGGTGGCTCACAACTGCAGTCCAAGTGCTTTGGGAAGCAGAGGCGATTGCTTGAGCTCAGGAGTTCAAGAGCAGCTTGGGTAATGTCAGGTCTCTGAGCCCAAGCTAAGCCACCATATCCCCTGTGACCGGCACGTACACATCCAGATGGCCTTAACTGATGACATTCCTTCACAAAAGAAGTGAAAATGGCCTGTTCCTGCCTTAACTGATGACATTCCCTTGTGAAATTCCTTCTCCTTGCTCATCCTGGCTCAAAAGCTCCCCTGCTGATCACCTTGTGACCCCTGCCACCTGCCCGCCAGAGAACAATCCCCTTTGACTATAACTTTCCTTTACCTACCCAAATCCTATAAAACGGCCCCACTCCTATCTCCCTTCCATGACTCTCTTTTTGGACTCAGCCCGCCTGCAGCCAGGTGAAATAAACAACCTTGTTGCTCACACAAACCCTGTTTGGTGGTCTCTTCACACGGACACGAGTGACACGAGTGAAAGGTAACATGGATAGTGAGACCCTGTCTCTCCAAAAAATTTTTATAAAATAAAAAAACAAAAATTGAAAAAAAAGTATGTAAATCAAAACTTATTTAATTCAATGAAACTATAATACTGAAAACCGGGACAGGACAGCAGCCAGTTTCTTTCTCCTCCTTGATGAGAACCACCTCAGTTCCCAGAAAGGGAGGTTTGGTGAGATAACTGACTCAGATAAGAAAGCATCCAGTTTAGGGAGGAATGCCGGAGTACCCTCTGCCTAGGGCTAGAGAGAACTCTCAGGCTCTCCCATTCCCTCCCCAGCAACAAGCTGAGCAAATCAGTCGAAATCCATTTCTCTCTAAGGTCTCTGTCCATATCAAATAACGATCAAACTCATGAAAATTACTTCTAGCCACAAATCATCAATCATCATGTCCAGAAACCTATCCTGAATTCTCCCAACTCTCAAAGCTGGGTGTTACTCTATGTGCCCTGCAATAGCAGACAAGAGGCTGATGGCTCCATTACCAGGGAGTAGCTAAGCCAGAATCTGATTCCCAAGCCCCCTTGCTCATGTGCTCTCTCAGAATCCCTGCTGCTCCCTGCTGCCTGCCTGCCTGCCTGCCTGAAATGTCTCACACCCTTCTCTGCCTGAACTCTGCTGATTGATTATCTTTCCAATTTGAACCTCAGCTCTTCACAGCCTCTCCTGACACCTATGCTTCTGGGAACAAGTTGGTTGCTCCATCCTTTGTGATCCCCAAACACTCCTTTAGTAACTTTATGAAAGCACTCACACTGCAGTTTAGTTATTCATGTCTTCCCCAGCAGACAGCAAAGGTAAGCCCTGGGTTTATTCTTCCATGTACCTCTAGTACCTGGCACACAGCTTATCAAAAAATATTTACCTAATGAATGAATCTCCTTAGTCATCTAGTTCAACTTTTTCCTCTAAGGTTTATCCTTAGAATGTCTTTACTTGTTCCAGTTGAAGACTGATTCCCCCAGCTGGACTTTAGATGGCCTCTTGTTTAACGTCCTGGTACTGAGTTGAGCTTTCCCACATCTAAGGAGAGCCAGGCTGGTCTCTTGGGGTCTCCTCCAGGTCTCCCAACCTTAGTCTGTTTTCTTCACCCTCTGCTAACATCTGCCCACCATCCTGGTCACTATTTTTGGAATTCCTTTTGGTTTACCCTGTCCTTCCAAAAAATGTGGTGCCCCGCGTGAAGGCAACAAGGCAGCAGCAGTAAGGTTTTGAAGTCAATCAAGTATAAAAATTATCCTTAAAAATTCCAGGGGAAAGTGCCAGGTAGAATGCCTGAGTGATCCCAGGACAGCCAATCTCCCACTGCAATAGAATAGATAACTGTTTCTTTGCTAGAGGATCAGCTAGATAAACAGGACTTGCATTTAGGGTCCATGTTGCAGGGAAAAACATGTGTCTATAAATATCAGAACTCCATTTAAGAAGCACATGGGAATGAAATTAGACTGAGGAAATAGCAGATGATCATGATCACAAGGCATATACTTTGCGTGGGAATCATCCACACTATTGAAATCTTGTGTGTGTGTGTGTGTGTGTGTGTGTGTGTGTGTGTGTGTATGATGCAACTTTCTGTGTGGTCAGAGACAAGGAGAATGGAACTACCATCTTCCTCATTTCACGCATTTATGAGTTTACCCCATTTCCTGTGTAAATGTTCTTCTTCCCCCTACCTATTGACATCCTCCTTTATTTCTTTGTTGACTTTCAGAATTGAGTTGAACTTCAGAGGTTTTTCAACTTGGAGTTCAGGAACATCTGAAATTACATTAATGCTTGCAAGTACATTGGTATGTACATGGTTTTGAGCAGTCTCCTGGCTTTCTTACCTTTCGAAAGGAGGCTGAGATGCCAAAAGGTTAAGGACCATTGTCTTCAGTGTTTACCACATAAATTGCAAATAGGACATTGAGACTTTGTTAAGAGAAGTAGATTCACCTGTTTAACAAATAGTACACTCTGAAACAAAGAAATGCAGTTATAACCAGTGAAGTACTCTATTATCTTCCCTAAACAAAAGTACTGGGCGTGTAAAGAGCAAAACTGCCTACTCCACAGCAGATCACAGCAGACCTTCAAGGAGAAAGCTAAAAAGCCTCTTGAAAATTAACCCCCAGTTCCCCCTTTTCAAGAACTTGAATCTTGTGCTCATTCTGAAAGTTTCCACTGTGGTGGAGGAGCATAATAGGCACTTAAAGAAACTGGGTATTGTATTGGGATGAGGAGTGGAAAGGACTATAGAATTGTTTAACAGAACAACATGATAAAGACTTGGGTTGCATCAAAATCATCTCACAGAGATCAGGGCACGCTGATTCTGCAATCTGGGGAAGGGTGGCATCAAGACAGCCAATTCTGGAGCAGGTGAGAAGAGAATGTGGCCCAGGAGTGTTTCTGGATCCCTGGAATACCACCAGGAGGTAGAATACCATCCTTTCTATCTTGGCCCCAGAGTGTAGGTGACAATACCTTTGGACTGGCAAGTTCCCAGAGGACAAGAAAATGACTTCTTTAGAGCAAGGATTTCTTGACACCTTTTGGGACCCATCATGTTCCATTTTTTTTAAACACTAAAAGAAAGATTGCTTTCCCCGCCAAATAACAGCATGAACATTATCTTAAAAGGCAAAGACATTAATTTCTATGAAGCCAGGCACGAGACACTTTTGGGTGTCACAATAAGAATGACAATACGTTCTGATGTTGAGCACAGAAGGAGGGTGCATCAGTGAAAATTATGACAGACAGCATGACGGTGCTGAGAGGCAAGCTACGGATCCAAGCCCGCGACTGCTCAGCCAGGATCTCTGTTCCCTATGGGAGCAGTGAATCACCTGAACTTTGGGTCAATGGAAGAAGTAAAATGCATAACACCCTAATCCTAAGACACAAGTCCTGACCCCCTAAACCAAGGTTTTCAGCACTTTGCTAAAAACACGAACAAGCTCTAAGCCTGGCAAAGATGGCAATACATACCCAGGTTGTGGAAGACACTGCAGAGGTGGCCACTGGTCACGCTGGGCAGTTGAGCTGCTGAGAGTGCCCTGCCCAGCCAGAAATGGTCTTTAATACTCTTCCCCTCTTTCTTTCAGTTTCCCTTCTGAAAAAAGATGCTTTTGTCTTTCGTTCTCCCCACCCTGCATTCAGCTAAGGGTTTCTTATAAATCACCCAGATTCTCAGAAACACTTGAGCTCTTGACCAACCTTCTTGATGAGACTGTCCAATCAGGGGTGGGTTGCCTGGGGGGCCAGGTTGAGACCAATGAAACCCTCTTGAGAATCGAGCCATTAGCTGGTCATTGCATCAGCCACCCCTCACCCCCCGCTGGCCTCCAAATAACCTCCCCACCCTCTTCCCGTTCCCCACCCTCAGCGTCAGTGTGACTGATTTTGTGTAGTCGTGGGCGGTGGAAAGAGAAACTGTAAATTCCCCGCATCTGTTCACCGAGGCGGCACAGTGCAGTGGAAAGATCAGGAGTTCTGGGGTCACAGACGCCTGGGTTTCAATCCCAGCTTGGACTTATTCGAAACCTTGGGCAAGGGTCGCATTACTTTTCTGCTTCCCCTTCGGTTTCCTCATCTGTGGAATGGGCATGGAGAAGCCTGCTAACATTACCGTTGAGGGGACTAAGTGCAACACTACGCAAAGCCTCTGGCACATGGCAGGCGCTAAATAAAAATGGGGGCCTCTCTCCTCGGGAAAAGCGAACAGGCGGAGACGATGAAGGGTGCCAGTGGGAAAGGGAGACGGGGTGGGTCGGCGGCGCTCAGAGGAAAGGGGCGAGGGGTCGGTGGCAGGCTCCGCGCCTCACAGTGCCAGAACGCGGCGGGCAGCAAGCCGGGCTCTAAGGATACTCCCGGGAGGGCCAGGCCACTGGGCGCCGCGCCAGCGTCCCTCCATCACTCCCTCCCTTGTTTCCTCACTCCGCCCCGGCCTTACTCCCCTCGCTTACCCTGCCCAGCCGGGCCAGTCAGCGCTCCCGGCTCAGCAACCGGCTGTCTCCTGGGCGTCCGTGGAAACGCCGTCCGGACGGAACAACTTCCGGCCCGACGGCGCCGTCATTGGCTGTTCGCGCGGGGGCGGGGCAGAGGCCGCCACTGATTGGCTGGCGGCCGCGGCGTCGCGTCGGAACGTGACTGGATGGTAGTGTGCTGGCCGGTCTGCCTCCGGGAGAACCGAGCGCTTCCGGTGCGTGTGGTGAGCGGCGGGCCCCGGGCTGGAGGGGCCGGGACTGGGCAGCGCCTAAAGCGCCCCGTGCCGCTTAACGCGGTCTCTCATAGCCGCTCGCCTTCCTTTCACTTCCTGTTCCTTCAGAAAGCGCTGTGCCTTGGACCAACCTTACTTCTTACTATTGACAGCTCAGCTAACTCCTATTCATCCTTCAAAACCCATCTCTGGTCGTATCTTGTTTGTTGCTTTCATCGCTCTGGGGCCTCCGGGGGGATCTGTGTTTTGTGTTTGATTTCCACCCACACCAGACCCAGCATAGGGCTTGACAAAGAGTACGTAATCAGGAAATGTTTGTTGAATGGGAATATCCTATTTCTTTTACTTCCTAGCATCTCCCCCTCCCACCCGTTTGCATTCCAGAAATATTTTTAGACGCTGGGCATTGAATAGTGAACAAAACACAGAAAGTCCTGTCCTCATGGGGCTGACTTGCTGATAGTGACTGTCAGAGTCACTCGCTCCTTCCTTAGACTCTTCTCCAGTGTCCCTGCCTTCCCTTCCATCTTACTGTCTGTTCCTCTTCGTTTAATCCCTCATCTCCTTCCAGAGGGAGCACGGGCACCCTGGTGGTGGGAATCTGGGTGCATGGTGGGTGGTGCCTGGGCAGAGGAGTTGAGAGTGGCCTCGGGACCAGGCTTAGCATTTAGAGAACAGAAATGCCAAATTATTTGCAGTGCACGGTTCCATTAGTTTATAATTAGTCTTTCATATTATATTAGTTCCATTGGAGATGAGCTGGCTGGCTGGCTTTAGAAGTTGTTGTTGTTGTTGTTGTTTTTTGAGACCAAGTCTCGCTCTGTAGCCCAGGCTGGAGTGCAGTGGCGTGATCTCCACTCACCGCAACCTCCGCCTCCCGGGTTCAAGCAATTCTGCGGCCTCAGCCTCCAGAGTAGCTGGGATTACAGGCGCGCACCACTGCACACGGCTAAATTTTTTTTTTTTTTGTATTTTTAGTAGAGACGGGGTTTCACCATGTTGGCCAGGCTGGTCTTGAACCCCCGACCTCAGGTAATCCGCCCTTCTCGGCCTCCTACAGTGCTAGGATTACAGGCGTGAGCCACCGCGCCCGGTCGTTTTATTTAAACTCTGGCTTTGCGTGTGGAAGTTGTTACCTGCCTGGAATGGGCTGCGAACGGGGGCGGCATTACTAGAGGAGGCTGACTACAGACATTTATGGAATGATGACCTGACTTGTAGACCAGTGGAACCCTCAGGCGAATGATGCCACTTGGGGGAAAGGTGTGGAAGAGGTTGGGTGGTTGATTCCAGGGGACATAGAAACCCATTGTCTAGAAGAAGAGATGGGTAATAGGCTGTCTGGAATGACTTAGAAAAGGACTTGGAGGGAATCTGTTGATGCTGACCTGACTCCACCTGTTGGGGGATGGAGGCGGAGCTTGGCGTGTTTGATTAAGGTTGGGTGCACTGGGTTTTCTTGGAAGTCGGTCTATTGCCTGAGCGTTCTGTGCTGTTCCACCGCGCCCTCTGCTGTCCTAGGAGTGCCTAGCACCCTTCTTTTTCTCTGGATTGTGCTTGGTGCTAACAGCACAGAAGTAAAAAATTACCAAAGCACTTCTTTCTGGGAACTAATTGATAACCATGTATTGTGTATGATGGTTCAGAATTTCAGAAAGATTTTTTTTTTTTTTGAGACGAAGTTTCACTCTTGTCGCCCAGGCTGGGGTGCAATGGCGCGATCTTGGCTCACTGCAACCTCTGCCTCCTGGGTTTAAATGATTCTCCTGCCTCAGCCTCCCGAGTAGCTGGGATTACAGGCGTGTGCCACCACGCCCGGCTAATTTTTGTATTTTAGTAGAGACAGGGTTTCACCATGTTGGCCAGGCTGGTCTCGAACTCGACCTCAGGTGATCCGCCCACCTCGGCCTCCCAAAGTGCTGGGATTACAGGCATGAGCCACTATGCCCTGCCCAGAAAGATTTTTTTTAACAAGTAGAAATTCATTGCAGTGTGAATCTGTGTGTTGGGAGTGAAATGGGTGGATTTGGATCATGCCCTCAGAATTGCTCCCTGCACACTTGGGTAGACGGACACCTCAGGACCTTAGCCTTGTGCTGTGGGCCTGTCTGTCCAGCTGGCTGCTACAGAGATGGGATACCTGGGGGAAGAATGTTCCAGGCAGGCCGGGCGCGGTGGCTCACGCCTGTAATCCCAGCACTTTGGGAGGCCGAGGCGGGCGGATCACGAGGTCAGGAGATCGAGACCATCCCGGCTAAAACGGTGAAACCCCGTCTCTACTAAAAATACAAAAAATTAGCCGGGCGTAGTGGCGGGCGCCTGTAGTCCCAGCTACTTGGGAGGCTGAGGCAGGAGAATGGCGTGAACCCGGGAGGCGGAGCTTGCAGTGAGCCGAGATCCCGCCACTGCACTCCAGCCTGGGCGACAGAGCGAGACTCCGTCTCAAAAAAAAAAAAAAAAAAAAAAAAAAAAAAAAAAAAAAGAATGTTCCAGGCAGAGAGAAAAGAGGGAAGGGCTGGAGCACAGGGAAAGGGTGCAGGGGAAAGTGGCAGGCCTTTCCCACCATGGATCCTGGACGTCTTTTGATTTCAGTATTTTCAGACCTACCCTCGTTCATGATGATGAGCATATGTTCTCACTTGTTGCTAATAAGCAGTGCGGCAGGTTTTCTTTATACATTTATCTTCATGGATTTATACATCTAGCAAACATATGCTAGTATTTGTGTAGGATAAAGTTCTACAGTGGGGTTGCTGGGGTGAAAATGATGTGTTTAAACTTGTAACACATATGACCAAAATGGACCTTCCAAAGGCATTTTTAAAGTCCTGTCTCTTTCTCTGTAGGCATTGTCTCTTCAGGTCTTCTTTTTTTTTCTTTTTTTTTTTTTTTGAGATGGAGTCTTGCTCTGTCACTCAGGCTAGAGTGCAGTGGCATGATCTCAGCTCACTGCAACCTCCACCTCCCGGGTTCAAGCAATTCTTCTGTCTCAGCCTCTCAAGTAGCTGGGACTACAGGCGCCTGCCACCATGTCCGGCTAATTTTTGTATTTTTAGTAGAGACGGGGCTTTGCCATATTGGTCAGACTAGTCTTGAACTCCTGACCTCAGGTGATCCACCAACCTTGGCCTCCCAAAGTGCTGGGATTTCAGGTGTGAGCCATCACGCCCAGCCTAGGTCTTCTTTTATGTCCTTCAATAAAAGTTTTAGTTTTCTTTCCTTTTTTTTTTTTAATTTTACTTTTTTGAGACAGAGTCTCACTCTGTCACCCAGTCTGGAGTGCAGTGGCACAATCTCGGTTCACTGCAACTTCCGCCTCCTGGGTTCAAGTGATTCTCCTGCTTCAGCCTCCCGAGTAGCTGGGACTACAGGTGCGTGCCACCACGCCTGGCTAATTTTTGTATTTTTAGTAGAGATGGGGTTTCACTATGTTGGCCAGGCTGCTCTTGAGCTCCTGACCTTGTGATTCCCCCCGCCTTGGCCTCCCAAAGTGCTGGGATTACAGGCATGAACCACTGCACCCAGCGCTTTTTTCTTTTCTTTTCTCTTTTTGAGATGGAGTCTCCCTCTGGCACCCAGGCTGGAGTGCAGTGGTGCAATCTCAGGTCATTGCAACCTCCACCTCCTGGGTTCAAGAGATTCTCCTGCCTCAGCCTCCCAAGTAGCTGGGATTACAGTTGTGTGCCACCAGGCCTGGCTAATTTTTGTATTTTTACTTGAGATGGGGTGTCACTATGTTGGCCAGGCTGGTCTCGAACTCCTCACCTCAAGTGATCCGCCCACCTCAGCCTCCCAGAATGCTGGGATTACAGGTGTGAACCACTGCACCCAGACTTACTATAAGTCTTCATGTAGGTCTTGCTTATTTTTTACAGATTTACCCCCAGCTATTCCATAGTTTCAATTTCAAAAATTTTATCTTCTAACTAATTGGGCCTGATATGTAGAAAAGCCTTTTTTGTTTTTGTATTTATTCTTTTTCTTTCTTTTTTTTTTTTGAGTCAGAGTCTCGCTCTTGTTGACCAGGCTGGAGTGCAGTGGCACAATTTCTGCTCACTGCAACCTCCGCCTCCCAGGTTCAAGCGATCTCCTGCCTCAGCCTCCCGAGTAGCTGGGACTACAGGTGCCTGCCACCCTGCCTCGCTACTTTTTGTATTTTTAGTAGAGACGGGGTTTCACCATGTTGGCCAGGCTGGTCTCGAACTCCTGATCTCAGGTTATCCACCCACCTCGGCCTCCTGAAGTGCTGGGATTACAGGCGTGAGCCACCACGCCTGGCCTGTGTTTATTCTTATGAGTGTTGAGTTATTGGATTTCCTAGGTGACATGGTTTCTTATAACTACATACATATTCTTCCATGCACATTTTCTGACGGTTGACCTTGTTTGATCTTAGGTGGTTTGGCTTTGAATGACAGCAAGAACTCTGTCTTTAATGGCTTCATTGGTAGCGTATGATGATTCGGACTCGGAGGCTGAGACAGAGCATGCAGGAAGTTTTAATGCTACCGGCCAGCAGAAAGACACTTCTGGTGTGGCCAGACCACCTGGGCAGGATTTTGCATCTGGTACACTGGATGTGCCCAAAGCAGGGGCACAGCCCACAAAGCATGGCTCCTGTGAAGACCCAGGGGGCTATCGCCTTCCATTGGCTCAGCTTGGGAGAAGCGATTGGGGATCTTGCCCCAGCCAGAGGCTACAGTGGCCCGGGAAGGAGCCTCAAGTCACCTTCCCCATCAAAGAGCCTTCTTGTTCTTCTCTGTGGACGAGCCATGTTCCAGCCAGCCACATGCCCCTGGCAGCTGCCCGCTTTAAGCAAGTAAAACTCTCCAGGAACTTTCCCAAGTCATCTTTCCATGCTCAAAGTGAGTCTGAAACCGTAGGTAAAAATGGCAGCTCTTTTCAGAAGAAAAAATGTGAGGACTGTGTGGTACCCTATACTCCCAGAAGACTAAGACAGCGGCAGGCATTAAGCACGGAGACAGGCAAGGGTAAAGACGTGGAGCCACAGGGGCCCCCTGCAGGGCGTGCCCCAGCCCCTCTCTACGTGGGCCCGGGAGTGTCTGAGTTTATTCAGCCATATTTGAATAGCCATTATAAAGAAACCACAGTTCCCCGGAAAGTGCTTTTCCACCTGAGAGGCCACAGGGGCCCTGTCAACACCATTCAGTGGTGTCCAGTCCTTTCTAAGAGCCACATGCTTCTCTCCACTTCTATGGATAAAACTTTCAAGGTAAGACTTGAATGAAAACTTCTGCTTTCAGATGCTCTTAGGAATACACTGCTGGAATAATAGTGAAGTGGAGGGAGGTTACAGGCTGAACTTTTTTTTGTGTGCAGATTTCTGTAATTCCCTTTGTTGCATTCCAGAAAGGGTCATCTGTGGTCAGCTCCGGGTTGTGGGTTCCTTCTGCCCCAACCCTTCCCTGATGCTGCCTTGCTCAGGTTACCAGAGGATACTGTTTCTTATCCCTCTCGGAGGCCGTGAGGGAGGAGGTGAGAGTGATTAGTGGGAGAAGAAAAGCAGGCCCAGGACCAAGCCCTGGGGACTGGGGACATCCTCGGTGACCCTGTGGAGCATTGAGCCATGCCAGCTCTGTGCCTGGTGCTGTGCTGGTTTCAAGGGCTGTTGGGAGAGGTAGGTAGACCCAGCCCCTGGTGTCAGGGCTTGCACAGTGAGGCGGGAGCCGTGGACAAGTACACAGACTCAACCCTGAGCTGTGAGGACGGCCCCCAGTAGGACACACAGGTGCTCTGGGAGCCCAACGGGAGGGTTACCAGCCCAGCCCGGCAGGGCTCAGTGAAGGCCTCCTGAGGAAGGGGAAGGTTCGCTTGGGGATGGGGGCAGAAGGGCGTGCTTGGCTGCAGGAGCCCTGTGTATGTGTTGGCTCCAAGCATGAGGGCCTGGGAGCTGGCTTCAAGCATGTGTGGGTGAGGGACTTGAGGCTGGGGAAGCAAGGTCAGGGAAGGTTGCACGTGCCCTTCTGGGGACTTCTGGTTTTACATGGAAACTCTTTTTTGCATTGTCTTATTTATTTTACAGGCTACTGAAGTGATAGTAATGTAGTCCCCCAGTATGGAGGTACAGTGTGATAGGTCGTTGTGCCCACCTGGGACCTGTCTCCAGCCCTTCGAGCTGTGCACTGCATCCCTCCTCTCTCTCCTCGCAGCTAGCAAAGCACCTGATATGTAGCGGGTGCCAACTAAATGCTAGCTGAACAGAAAGCTCTTGGAAAGGAAATAACTTCAAGGGACCTGGCTTCACATCCAGCTTTGCTGCAGAGTAGCTAGCTGGTCGACCACTGGCCGGCTGCCTTCCTGTGGAGTCTAGTGTCTCATTTGTAAAAGGGCAAAATCATACCTGGGTCATGTGCTCATGTGAGAAAAATGCTGAAAAAGTGCCTTGCACAGAGCCAGGTACCTCATAGGCGCTCAGTAAATGGTGGTTCCCTTGCCCTTGTTTCCTCAGAGTTCTGGAACCAACTTTCCTACATCTTTTCTCTTGCAAATTACATTTTGAGCTTTTCTCCCTCGGAAACATTTTCTTAAGTGAAGAAAGGAAGCTCCAAGTATAGAGATGTCTTTGAAATGAGCTGAATTGATGGGTGGCATTTTTAAGTGGCGAACTGGAGTCCTGAAGTGGCTTGTCTGTGCTCTTTTCTAGCAAGACTCAGAGTCCTGTGGGAGAGAACGTCATATTCTCTCTTCAGCCTGGAGTTCCAGGATTTTCCACTTAGGTCTTTGGTGCTTTTCCTGCCATTCCGGGGGCTGTGAAGTGTGCGCGGAGGCTTCTGGCATCCCTGGCGTGGATCACAGCATGCTGGGATTGATCCTGTGGCCCCGGGGCTTCTCTGCTCTCCTTCCCAAGTCTGCGCTGCAAGGGCTGGAGGATGGGAAGCCCATCTGGAGGGTTGCTGGTGGGCCTGGGCAGTGTCTGACTGGCCCTGGAGTTCAAGTGGTGGCCCTTGTCCTCCCTGTGCTCACCTTCCTGTTGAGGCCTTCTTTTACCTGCCCGCTCACCTCTGGAGTTCTCTCTCCTGATGGTGAGGGGCAGACCTGGGGCCCTGTGGGACTGGCCTTCGCCTGGTGGCGTGAAGTGCTCCCTGGGCCCTGCTGGCAGAGTGGCAGCTTGGGTCACTTTTGCCTGGGAAATTTAGATTTCCTAAACAGAAGCATCCCCATGGTAGTTTTTGAGCAGAGAGCACCTGAGTAGAGGCATTGATTTCTGGCCTTGTGGAGTAGACAAATGTGCCAGGCACGGTGCCACTGGGGACGTGGGGGGAGAGACGTTTCTGCCCCCATGGAGGGGAAACTGTGAGCAGCCAACTAACTGTGACACCTCATGACCAGAAGAGGGCGCAGTGGGCCCAGCTTGGAATGGCAGTGAGGGTGGCTCAGACTGAGGGACTGTGGTAGGAATGCCCTGCTCCTGGGCGATTCAGAGACCTGGGTCCGGGTCTGTGGGGCTGCCCTGGGTGGGGCCAGGCGCCGCAGCTGTGCCCGCCTGTCCCGAGGAGACTGTGTGTGCTGCAGGTGATGACACTGGCATGGGCCCCTTGGGCTGCCAGGCAGCTTCTGGGGAGCCCCACCCACTGCACTGTGCACCCTGGGTTCCTTCCCAGGGCAGAGCACATTTGCTGTCATGAGGTTGGGCCAGGGTCAGCATGGCTGCTAGGGTTGGCATCTCCTGACCCTCTTTTTTTACTGTGGTGTCGTGAACATTAGGGCTTTTATAAGCCATAGATACAAATGGTGGGCCAGGGCCCTCTCTGTTTTAAGATATTTGTCAGTTTTCAGTGATGGGGTTATTTGGCAAATTGGTTTTGGGCAAATTGACTTTGAACAACTTTTCAGTGTGAAGAGTGTATGGCAGGGGCTGGAGGAGCCAGGATGGGAAGACAGATTGGGAACCGGCGGGGAGCCAGGCAGGAGCTGTGGCCAGAAGTCCCGGCTGAGGCCTCAGGCTTGCTGGGCCACCAGGTTTGTGCGTGGCCTGGCTGGGAGGCACATGGTGTTCTTTTCCCTCCTTGGTGTCAGAGGTGGGGCAGCATGGCAGATCTTGGGGACCTGGTGATCTGGGGAAGGCAGTGTGTGGGTGTGGGTGGTGGGTCTGGAGTGGGGATAGGGCCTCGGGCACAGGCAGGAGTCCTGGCTGGCTGCAGCCCAGTCCCTGGAGGAGAGGAAATGGTGGGTGCAGCATGGAATGAGCTCAAAGAGGCGGGTGCAGCAGTACACCCTTCCCAGGGTGCTTTCCCCCTGCCTTTTGGTTAAAATCTGCCAGTGTCTTCTGGGCCCCTGCTGGATCAGGAAGGAGGGAAGAGCTTGGGGGCTGGGTGACAAGACCTGCTTGGGTCCTTCCTCTACGGCCAGCCCCTTGGTTGCGTGGTCTCTGGCAAGTTACCTCACTTCTGAGCCTTCATTTGAGTATCTATAAAGTGGAGAGAATTAAACATGCCTCGCTGGGTTTTTGTGAAAAGTAAACGATATTAGTTGTGAATCACCAAGTGCAATGCCTGGCACATAGCAGGCACTTAGTGTGTGCTCGAGTTCCTGCTTTTCCCCAAGAATTTCCTCCTTTCCTTGACTTGTGCTCATGTCTTATTTTACGTAAGTAGCCATGGAAGCATATCAGCTTCACCTACTAGACTTTAAGCTTCCTGAGCCAGAACCCATTTTTATATTCCCCAGCATCTGGCACAAAATTGTGTACATGTTAAGTGATCGATAAAAATTAAAACAAATTTTTTGGATTTTATCGCAAGCCTTTGGGAAGGGATTGTCTTTTGAGTGGATAAATCATATTCGCCACTAGGGTGCACAGTAAGACTTAATATAAGCAGCTCATCCAAGCTTCTAGAATGTGGAAGAATCCTTGATTCAAGGTAACATTTACTGAAAAATGATTTCTTTCTGATCAGGAGAAAAACAACACAGTCCAACTTATTAATCTAAAGAACATGGAGTGCCAGTTCCTTCATATCCTTAAAACGTAGCTTCGGAATTCATACATTTCAACTGGACACATTACAGTGGAAAGATACTTATTTTAATATGTTCTAAATGTTCTGTGAGCTGTAAAATATGCTTTTATTAGTTTTGAAAAATTTACAGCTAGAGAAATTAAGTAAAATAAAACAATGACTCATAATTCTGCACCGCTGCTCTTTCCTGACGATCCCTTCCTCCCCTTGTCTGTGAACGTGCTTGTTTTTTTCATAGCTGTGATCCCAGCACGGATACCCTTTTATATACTCTTTTCATCTCCCAGTGAACTCTTTTGGCTTAACGTGTTTGAACACCCACTGCACGTAAAGGTAGAAATTCAGACTTTGATGCCTTTTTTTGAAGGAAAACATGTACGTGGCCTGCGTTAACCAAAAACACAACCAGCCGTTATTGAATGCTCCCATGTACAGAACCCTCTGCCAGGCACTGAGAGGGAGTCCCAAAGGAATAAGACCTTTGGGTGGGTGACAGAAGACCCACCAGGGACCTTCTGTACCTGTATGAAAACCTGCAGTTCTGAAACACAGAAGGTTTTTAAAGAAAATATATGAATTAGATGTTGTTTATTTGCTTTACAGAATAATTTGCTCTAGAAATTCTTTCAGTAACAAGCTTCCTTAAAATACTTTGAAAAAAAACCTTTTAATTTTTGACCATGAATGTAATAGATGCTTATTGTGAAAAACTTTAATGATGCAGGAAATATGAAGTATGAAGGAGAAACAGAAATCATTGATAACTCCCAACCCCAAGTCAGTGCCTCATTAACATGAGGGGCCTCCCTGGTCGGGGGCCCTACATTCCTATCTGTTTACATAATTGGGCTTATTGCATAGTATGTGCAGTTTTGAATTCTTCCTCTGCTGCCCAATCTTCTGTAACGTGTAAGGGGAATTTTTCTACCTTATTAAAAACTTTTCCCCAAATATATTTTTATAACTGTCTCAAGTTTCATACTTTGCTCCATCATTTCCATGTTGTTTCCTATAATTTCCTGCTTTTGTTTAAAAAATAATCAGTATTACAGTGAATATGGCTATACATAAATATTGTCTTTTTTTGCTGCCTTAATGCAGTTAAGATGGGCTTTGAGGCCAGGCGCGGTGGCTCATGCCTGTAATCCCAGCACTTTGGGAGGCCGAGGCAGGCGGATCACGAGGTCAGGAGATTGAGACCATCTTGGCTAACATGGTGAAACCCCGTCTCTACTAAAAATACAAAAAATTAGCCGGGCGCGGTGGTGGGCGGCTGTAGTCCCAGCTGCTCGGGAGGCTGAGGCAGGAGAATGGCATGAACCCAGGAGGCGGAGCTTGCAGTGAGCCCAGATCGCACCACTGCACTCCAGCCTGGGTGAAAGAGCGAGACTCCATCTCAGAAAAAAAAAGAAAAAGATGGGCTTTGATTTACACCCAGGCATTAGCTAAAGCCCTTGTGTGTGGTGAGAGTGGGACCTGATTAGATTGGCAAACCTTCAGTACCACTGTTGTACTCCTTGGCTCCCATGCCAAATCTTCTGCTTGGTAGCTGTGTGACTTTGGGAAAATCACTTAGCCTCTCTGATCCCCTAGTTCCTCACTGGTAAAATGGGGATAATTGGTAAATGGCCACCAATTAAGGTTGTTGCTGTAGAGCTGAAATGAGAAGATCCAGCCTAGTGCCTGACAAGGGAGAGGCTGAGGAAGCATGTTTCTGATTCCCCTGTACCTGTCTTGATTAGTTATAAAACAAAGTGTAGAAAAGACAAATCACCCAGAATCCTCCAACTTACTGTAACTCTTGTTTTTTGTGAATCTTTTCATTGTCTCTATGCACACGTTTTTAAAGCGTTTCAATCTCAGTGTTCTTGAGATAAATACTTTTAGAATCTAAAGAGTTTGAGGATTGTCTGTGCCAAGCCATTCATGCACTCCCTTTTCATGTACTGAACACTTGGCAGGTCTGTGTTGGAGAGCTGGTTCCCTGTCCCCAAAGTGGTCACATTTAAAGCATGGATGAGAGGATGGAGAGCGCTAGCCATTGCTGAGTGCTTACCATGTACTAGGCATGTTCTAAACGCTCCGTCTCCTCTTCATTACAGGCCTGAGAGGCCACTTCTGTCCTCATTCCCATTTTACAGATGAGGAAATTGAGGCACAGAGAGGTCAAGAGACTTGTCCGTGGTCACACAGCTAGTAAATGATAGAGGCAAGCAGGGAAGCTTCAGACTCAGAGCCTGAGCAGAAAGAGCTACCACCACTCACGCTGCCCTCCTGCCTCTGAGAATAAGGGATGGAAAAGCGCATCCCCTTCACCCAGGTGGTGTCCAAGCTCTATCCCAGCTTCCAAATTTTGTGGTTCTGTTAAGGGACATACAGAGAAGAGATGATTTCTGGGGTGGTTTGGATTTGCATTTTTATGTATCACAGGATCCTGTTGATTTATCATTGTTAGTGAATCTGATTACATTAAGATATCTTAGATGTGCTTTGTAGAAAGTGATCTATTTCACATTCAAAGACAAGGGATTTATGGCTCTAAGTGCCAGAGTGAGGGTTTATTTCAGTTTTGAAAGAATTATTCTTGATGGATTTTACAAAATGAGATTGAGAAATGATTTGATGTGTGGAGTGAGGAGTTGTGGAGCATTATGCAGATGATTGGCAATTTATTCTAAGCACGAGGCAAATCTATTGGCAATGAGAGGCGCAGCTGGGAAGGAGGTTTGGGTGGTGGTAGTGGGCCTTTGGTATTTGGGGAGTGAATGATTAACAGTGCATCCAGGGTAATTAGATGAAGGTGAGGAGAGAATTGGTGATGTGTGTGTGCGCATGTGCGTGCATGCATAGCGTTCATCTGGTTCATTTGATAGAGGCCCATAGAGGGGAAGACACGCCCGAGGACACACAATAGGTGTTTGGATGCTTCCTAGTCTGGACACTATATTTGCTTCTCTTCTTTCCCACCTTCCAGAGGACTTTCAGAATCATCTGAATTACCCCAGGATTGGGAGTGTGGGGCTTTAGACTGGTTGGCAGCAGAGCTGCCGAGCCTCTGGGAAGAGCCATGAGATTCTGAGCTGGAATCTTCTCTTCGTGGGAAGTGAAGTTTTTTTGACACTCCTCCTCCCCCATGTGAAAGCCGCGACATTTCTGAGGCCAACAAATGAGACATTTCCCAGTTCCAGTTGCCTTACAATCTTGTATCTTACAGAAAAAACCTTGGGTTGAAGAGGAATAAGAAAAGGAAAGTGTAGCAGAACCCAAGCTGTGTTTTCTGCTTTTTAATAACTTCATTCCATTTAACTTAAACAGTTCAGTGTACCAAGGGCGGGGCCTTGTGCTCGCCAGAAGCTGACAGGAAGAAAACAGCCGTGTGAAGGTGCAGCCTCTGTCCTCGAGAAGCAAGCCTCATTCACTCTCATCCCATGTCATTAAGGGAAGGATAGAGCAATTTGGAAAAATGCTTTTAATGTAATTGAAAAATGCAGATTGCAAAATTGGCGCACTTAGGAGTCGAGACAGTCTAGTAAATTATTTCTTGTTGCTTTTAAAACTCGGAGACAGTAGACTCTTAAAGGTGCTTGTCTAATGCCCAGTGATGGCCTGTGTCCAAATGAGTTGTTTTAGATTTAATTTGTTTTATCATAAAAGTGGTAAAATTTTGGGAAAAAATGCAAGAAAATGGCAGAAATTAAAAGATAAACCATAGACCCTTCATTCAAGCCTAATGACCATGAACATTTTGCAAGCAGCGTTTCCTTCTAGTCTTTTTTCCCTACATATATCAACTAGTTTTAATCATATGGTAGGTACTTTGTTTTTGTAGCCTGCATTTAAAATCATAGGGTGGTCATTTCTCCCCCAGATTGTTAGTATTATTTCCTCTTAAGAGAAGGGTTAGGTAAGTCATTCCAACCTTTTAAGGTTTCCTTCTAGCTTCTGCTGTTTCTTGTCAGGTGTTTTCTTTTGTCTATTCTCCCAGATGAACACAGCTCTCATGCGGACCCCTCATATACTGGGGGGAGTGGAGCAAGCCGGGGGACAGAAGCCCTGAGGGGCAGTCAGAAGGTACATGTGAGTGAGACCAACTGTGTCAGCCCAGGATAGCTGGAAGCCTGCCTTCACCTGGCCTCCCCTCTGGCAGGCTTCCTGAAGTTTCCTGAACTTGGCAGAGGACAGCGTACCTTGATCTTCTACGTGGAATACTGTGATACTGGCTGAAATGCAGGGAGGACCAGAAGGGCTTTAGAAACCTACAACCAAAGCGGCCCTAGAACTCTGCTTTGCCAGGGCTTGTGGGGCTGTTCCAGGCCTGCCTTTCCTCGCCAGGATTGGGGCACTGGGGAGCTCGGCCCCCCCATAGAACGAGGGCCATACAGAGATGAGCGGCACCCTCTGGGGCTGCTGCTGCTGAAGGTCGTTGACTTTGCAACTCTGATTGCTTGGGCATCCTGGATGTCCCTGGATTGAGCGTCTCGGTTTCTCCTCTTTATTTCTTGGCCTTTCTGTTTTATTTTTCTGGGGAATTTCTTCCACTTTATCTATCTTTCAATGCTTTTTTTGAATTTGTATTTCTGCTGTCATAAACTTTCAAATTGAAGAATAATATATATTCAGGGAAGTGTTCTGTCATGTTTTTACATTCCAAGAGCTGTTTCTTATTTTCTGAATGTTCCTTTTTTTAATATAGCATATTGTTTTTTATTGTATATTTACAAGGTCTTTTCTTAGCTCTTTGAGTTCTTTGAAAGTTTTCCTGTTTTCTGAAATGTTTGTCTCTTTCTTATCTCCTTTGGTCTTTTTTTGTTTTGGTGTCTGTGTTCCATGTTAGAGATTTCCTGCTGCTCATTCCAATTAGGGAGGGAGGACCTAAAAAGCTGACCTGACCAAAAGCTGTGTGTGTGTGTGTGTGTGTGTGTGTGTGTGTGTGCATGCACACGCCCTTGTGTGGGGGCAAAGGGACTTTGTTTGCAGCGGGCCGGATGTAGGGTTATGAGGCAGCAGGCTGGCGCTCATCATAGGAACCCACTTGTGATTATTTTTATGTATTTCCTTGAGCCTGGTCAGCTTCTCAGGGAGGTGTCTTCTCTGGGTGGGCTCTTGGCCTGCTGCCAGCCTTCCGGCATCTGAGCTGGGGAAGAGGGTCAAGGTCTCTGTGTTTAGTGTGCAGACTGCACTCTCCATCCTGTCCTCCAGCTTGGTTTTCTCACTGTCCGGCACATCTTTTCCCACCAGTGTGCAGATCTGTGCCGCTCTTTTTGGGGGCTGTGTAGCGCTCAGTGTCTGACACACACCATCATTTATGCGTAAAAGTGGCTGCGTCTTCTCACCCTCCACAGCGGCAGAATTATTACCTTTTGAAAATGTCTGCTAATTTAATGGTGTCTTGTTTGAGAACCAAGTGAGTTCATTTACGTACAGCTCTTTTAGAACGGGCCGGCACTTCGTTCATTCTAAACAAGCATTTGTTATCCTGATTCTTGTCCATTCATCTCCTGTAGTCTTAGCGTTTCTCTTATCTGGGCAATTTACGTACTTACAATATTGACCTTTCATCATATTTTACCCTCTTCCCCCCCAGGGTGTTGTGTGATGTTGAGTTTTGGTATTTCATGTATTTTTTTTTAACAGAGAAAACCTGACATTTTTCGCTGTCAAGTCTCTGGCCCTTTCCCTTTGTAATTGTCCATGGCTCTAGAGCATGGCATGTCCTCCCCCACCCTGAGATCTGATAAATCGTCACCTATATTTGACCTTCATCTAGTAGTGATTAGCTTGAGCCAGTTTCAATTCTCGTCAGTGGGTCCGAGGCAGGCCCTGCGCCACCATGATGAATGTGTGCGTGGTGCCAGGGATCGATGGGCATATTAAGGAGCAGCGCCGCGGTCCCCGGCAGCCAGCTTCGTGATGCTCCCCCACACTGACGCTGGCTATTCATGATTTAAAATGACCTTCTTCCCATCCGGCTTATTCCGCAGGGCATGGGTACGCCACAGCTTCCTCAACCTTTCCTCAAAAAAGAAATGTTGTTTTTGACCATAAAAGAAATGCAATCTGGAAAGAACAGAAAGGTATAAAGAAGAAACAAATTGCCCATTTTCTCTCCACCCAGAGGCAATGACTGCAGACTTTTTGGTATATTTTCATCCAGCCTTAAAAAAAAAAAAAGATTCAACATAGTTGAGCTCCAACTATACATCTAATTTAAACCCTTCTTTCCCTCCACATACTGCAGTAGCAGTTTTTAATGCTGTAATTTATTGCTTTGGTTTTTAGTGTGGTCTCCAAATCCCTGGGGGGCCTCAAGACCCTTTCAGGGGGTCAAAACTATTTTCATAATAATACCTAGGAGTTATTTGCCTTTTCCATTCTCCTTCTCTCCTGAGTGTACATGGAGTTTTCCAGAGGCTATGAGGCGTGTGCTTTTGCAGTGGATTAAATACAGACGCAGCTTTGAGAACCCAGCTGTCTTGTATTAAGCCAGACATTAATGAGATCTGCAAAAATGTAAACAATGCCTTCTTACTAATTTTTCTTGGTCTTGGAAAATAGAGTTATTTTTATAAGAATGTGCTATTTCTGTTAACATGTGGGGGGTTTGTTACTGTTACTTTTACATAAATTAATAAATATTTTAAAATGTCCTCAGTTTTCACTTCTAATACGCGAAGTACCCATAGCTATAATCCGAAAAAACAACAGCTCTTTGGGGTCCTCAGTCATTTTAGACAGTGTAATTGAGGACCACAGTTTTCTTTACATCTGTAATTACATTTTGGGGAATCTCACTATTGTGTTGGTAAAAACGTCAGCACATCCTAGTTCTGGGATAAGTGAGTGGGTTCTTTTCCAGCCACGTCTCTGTCTTCTTCTGCTTGGTTAGCTCTCCAAACTGTGTGATGAAAACGTGATCCCAGGGGTCCAAGCCTCTGTCACCCTCTTGCCCCTTCTCCTCTGCCCTTCCTTTGGCCCTTTGTGGAGATGACTCAGCAGCATTACAAAACCATAAGCAAAATCCACCAACTCGACCATACACTGAAATTATCATTATCCTTTGAACACCCTCCCATCCATTTCTGGTCCATACGGGCTGTGTTTGTCAGAGTGTGCGTGCAGCTCTGCAGCCTGTCTTTCCATTTAACATTCTCTCCCAGCCCTGCCCGCGCCACACTGTGCCACCAGCCGCCTCTGCGTCTTTGGAGGGCCGTCAATTTTCACTGGTTCCATGACGCTCTATCGAGTTGATTAACTGTAATTTACTTAGCCGCCCTTGGACACTTAGGTGGTTTCTAATTTTTGCTATTATATAGATAATGCTGAAGTGGTTATCTTCATGCATGAAACCCTTTTCTGTTGGATTATTTCTTTCGGATTGATTCCCAGAAGTGGGACTGCTGGGTCAAAGGGTTGTACATTTTCATGGGTCCAGATACGTCTCTTGTCAGATTGCTTTCCAAAAGGATTATACCAATTTGCACTGCCACCGCAAAGCTTGCGGTGTTGGTAATAACCAACTATTTTGCTTAACTATCATGCCTAGAATTTTCCCTTGAAGCCCCAAGGGGGCAAAGGCCCTTATCTAAGTGAATGTGATCTGTAATTATTTAGACTAACACCAAAATTGCTTTCAGAACATTCTTAACCTGCTGAGTTTAGAATTCTAATTTGAATACATGCTAGCATTAAAAGTTTCACAAGTAGCAATTTCTCTCTCCCTACTCACAGTGTATTTACACAGCCTGACAACTGTAGGGAAAATGAAAGAGATTTTATAAACAGAAGTGCTCTCTTTCTGAACTAGTTGAAATGTTATTTTGAAAGGTACAAAAACACAAATTAAAACAGATTTTCATTGTCACCTTTGCTTAGAAAAGTTGTTTGTTTTCGTCCTGGGCTTCTTTTCATGTTCTTTTCTCTCATTCAAGTGTGTTCTGATATGGTTCTGATACGGTTCCGGTACCTGGGTGTCCTGCTGTGTTGCTGTTAGCCCGGGGGCGGAGGATTGGTGGCTGTCATCAGGTGCTGGCAGGGCTGCTGTGGGAGGGGAACGAGGTGTATTCGGGTTTGCTCCCAGGGCAGAAGTAGGACAGATGGTGGAAGGTGTGTCTGTGGGGGGAAGAGGTCAGCACATGGTGAAGAACTTTCCGGTGCTCAGAGCTGGGCAACTCGGGCAGTAGACTACTTGGAAAGGGAGCGAGGGCTGTTTTGCCTGGAGGGGTGTAGTGCAGGTTGGAGCCCATGTTGCTGGAGGGCTGGGAAGTAGATGCAGGCATTGGGTCAGCCACTCAGACCTTGGGCTCCAAGGCCGTTAATGGCTTGAGTGTCCTGTGGTCAGGGCCAAGATGGTGGCTGTGAGCTGCTCTGCCCTGAAATACTGCACTTTACTGCACTTGGGGCCCCGCCTGAGTGGAGCACAGCGCTCCACACACTGCGTATTCAAAAGAGAGTCAGGCACATTCCTCCTCTAATTTCTCTGAGCTTCAGCATTCTCATCTGTGAAATAATTATCTCACAGGGCTGTGAGGATCAGAGGAGGTTAGATGTGTGAAACCACTCTGTAAACGATAACGCTCTTACAAATGGAAGGTATTATCAAGAACTCCAAGCCGGGGTTTATTCTGTGATTGCCTCCTAAGCCGTGTTCCTAAGGGTGTGAGGCTTGCAATCCACTTTGCCTCCAGTTGCCTTGATTCGTTGATCAAATAATCCGGTGCGCACCCAGTGACCCCAGCAGACTCTTGAGGAGCTCAGGTCCCTCTAGGTGTGGCTTCTTGTCTTCCAGTCCAGCAGTGTGACATGGCTGGCAGTGGTTGAGGTGGTGGACTTGGGGGATGGCTCAGCTGATGGGCCTTGTGACGTCTCCATGAGCCAGGCTTCTGGACTTGCTGCTGTGTGGCCTGTGAATTCCTCGGGCCTTGCTTTATGCTGTCTCTGCTGTGAGCAGAGAAAGCACTCAGTGGCAGTGTCAGCAGGGCTGTTCCTCACTTCTTTCTTCATTTGGTCATCTGTATGGCTGTCCAGCCATCAGTTAAATTCTGGCTCTTTGCCAGGCCCTGGGATCAGAGGGGACCAGACCCACTCTTGCTGGTAAAAGGTGAATGAGGCACAGACATCAAAGCAGACTTGAGAGGGATGATGAGAAAGGCCCTCCAGGGCTATCTGTGCTGGGAACAGGAATATATGGGAGAGTGTGCTAGGTCTGTCAGTGCTGGAGGCAGAGGACAAGAAAAGCCTCAGGGAAGGGGAAGGACGAGTTGGGTCTTAGAAGATGAGGAGCCAGGATTTCGGGGCCAGCCTGGACAAAATAGGGAGGCCTATCTCCACAAAAAATTAAAAAATTGGCTGGGTGTGGTGGCACATGCCTGTAGTCCCAGCTACTTGGGAGGCTGAGGCGGGAGGATTGCTTGAGCCCAGGAGGTTAAGGCCACAGTGAGCCATGATTGTGCCACTGCACTCAAGCCTGTATCTCAAAAAAAAACAACAACAATGAAATCGATGAGGGGCAGCCAGGTGGGTGGGGAGGACAGCCCTGTACTGTGCATGCTGTGGGGCGGGGACAGTGAGGACGGCCAGGTGAAGTGCTTGGGCTGGTCATCAGCTTTAGCCCTGGATGGTCAGTGGCCCAAGGCCAGATGGCGCTTCCTGTACTTGTGCTGGGTCAGGCACCACACAGGGGTTTACATCTCATTTGCCCTCAGCTGGGTAATCATCAGAGCTCAGGGAGTCTTATTTCGGTGTTCAGTCCCAGCCCCTGTGCTTTCTGTGTGGCTTAGGGTAAGTTACTTAACTCTCTGGACCTTAGTTTCCCCATCGTAAGTCAAGGACAATAACAGCATCCACCTCAGTCTTCTGAGGATTAAACAAGAGAACCCACGGCAGACTCTCAGGAGAGTACCAGGCGTATGGCAGGCACTCCATAATGCAAGCTGGCAGCAGCATCAGCATCCGTATGCCCCCTTTACAGATGACAAAACTGAGGACCAGAGGGGCGTATTGAAGGACATGTAGCTCCTAAGCACGGGGCTGGCATTTGAACTCACCTTTGCTGCCTCTGCTTTCTGGGATTGTTCTAGTCACTTCCCTGCTTGGGGGCTCCAAAAGTGTAGTCGTGTAACTGTGGCAAGGCCTTTAATCTTTTTGTGTCTTAATGAGCTCGTCTGTAAAATGGCAGGAGCTCTGATATAAGTTCCATGAGGGCAGGGAATTTGTTTTCTTCCCTTGTTTTATCTCCAGTTTGAATGAATAGCACCTGCTCAGTCGACCATGCTCTTTGTGGGCCTACTTGAATTTTGGGATGTAGAGAATCTTGGAGGGGTCCAACTGCACTCCCCCACCCACCCCTCACCTCCAGTCTGTGCAGGAGGCATCCCTGTGGGGATTCGGGATTGGTTAAATGTCGCCAGGTTTGTGAAAGGGCTTTGGAAACTTTGCTGGGAGCTAAATCAAAGTGATGATTGTTCCACATCTGTGAAATGTTTTTTTTTTTTTTTTTTTTTTGAGACGGAGTCTCGCTCTGTCGCCCAGGTTGGAGTGCAGTGGTGCAATCTCGGCTCACTGCAAGCTCCGCCTTCCGGGTTCATGACATTCTCCTGCCTCAGCCTCCCGAGGAGCTGGGACTACAGGCGCCCACCACCACGCCCGGCTAATTTTTTGTATTTGTAGTAGAGATGGGGTTTCACCATGTTAGCCAGGATGGTCTCGATCTCCTGACCTTGTGATCCACCTGCCTCAGCCTCCCAAAGTGCTGGGATTACAGGCGTGAACCACTGCGCCCGGCCGAAATGTTTGTATTTACACTGTCAGGTAATGGTCATGGGCTTGCAGCTTGTACATTTGTTTATTATTTATTTATAAATCTTAAATCCAGAAAGGACTTGAGGAAGCCTACAATAAAAGATACAAACACAGTGAAGCTATTAAAGCAAGACAGACCATGAAAAGCCACCCCAAAAGGAGAAGGAAGCCTGTCAATCAAGCGCAGAGCTGACTGCTGTTCCCAGCTGGTGCCTTGCGTCTTGTTCTGTGTGCTGTGTTCTCGCAGACCCAAGGCAGGTGGCACAAGTTTGCCCAGTTCTTGCTGTCCAAGAGAAGCCAACACAAGTGGCCTCACAAAGGCATGTGGGATGGCAGGACAGTAGTGCTCAGAGGAAAGGCAGTTAGCTTCTTGTCTCAGCTGCCCAGGGAGGAGATGAAGATCATAGGAGAGGCCAGGGGAAATCTCTGTCCGAATCAAGCTAAGGAGAGGTCACATGTTCTTTCTAGGGTGGGCTGTGGCAGGGCCACAGGTCCCTGGGCCAGACTGCCAGAGTTGTTTTGCTCTTTTCTGTGCCTTGGTTTCTCTCCTGCCAAGTGGCTGTAACAATACCTATCTCACAGACCTGTTGTGAGGATAAATGTTGTGGTTTTGGCCAGGGACCTTGCAAAGTGCTTTTGTTAACCTGACCTGTATGGTCTGTGTTTCTCATGGTGAATGTTGTATTTCTCAAATGGCTCAAGTCCTTCAACTCAGGTCCCCGAGTTCAGAGGAGATGCTGCTGGAGGGGTGGCAAGGTGGGGTCTCCCCTCATGCCCTTGGCTCTGTCCATACTGACGTTGTCAAGTGTGACCTGTTTGTTATTGCCTAAAAACACTTAACGAGTTCAAAGCAAAGGGAACATACTTTTTAATTATTTCTCTGCTTGTCTCCAGCAATGCTGTTGTCAAGGAAACCAAAACCTTTGGAAAGCTTTTCAGCTTCTCGGTCGGAAGAGGATACTTGTACAGTGCGTATATTGTCGGTGGAAATGGACCTGTCGTTCTGTAACAAAATCTGTTTCTTTTAAAAGGGCTTACTTCCTTCACTTCTTACAAATGGACTCTTTTTGGCCTTTTAACAGAAGATGGAAAGTTGTTACTGGTATTTTCTCTTTTAAAGAATTGCCTGCATTCTTGACATAGTATTTCATTCATTCAACATCTGTTGTGAGACTTGGGTGCTAGGGATGGGAGTGTGATACAGAGATGAATATAGCCTTTCTGGAAAGGCTCCTGGCTCATTGAAAGAAACAGGTGGACAGATCATTATAGCGCAGCATCATGACTGCTCTGAAGGGTGTTGGGTAAGGTGCTCTGGGGCATAAAGAACAGCCTGGGAGGGGCAGTGTCAGCAAGTCACAGGAGTCCTAGAGGATGGGTAGCCATTGCTCAGCAGCAAAGCGATAGAAAAGCATTCCAGGCCAAGGGAACAGAGTGTGCAAAGGCAGGGAGGTGTACAAGAGCATGCTGCCATCAGCAAACTGCAAGGTAGCTGGACGAGGCTGGGCATTGGATGCATAAGGCATGAGGAGCAAGACAGGCTGGAGAAAACTTTTTTTGTTTTTGAGACGGAGTCTTGCTCTGTCGCCTAGGCTGGAGTGCAGTGGTGTGGTCTTGGCTCACTGCAACCTCTGCCTCGCAGGCTCAAGCAATTCTCCTGCCTCAGCCTCCTGAGTAGCTGGGATTACAGGTGTGCACCACCACACCTGGCTAATTTTTGTATTTTTGGTAGAGACAGAGTTTCACCATGTTGGCCAGGCTATCTCCAACTCCTTACCTCAAGTGATCCACCCGCCTTGGCCTCCCAAAGTGCTGGGATTACAGGCATGAACCACCACACCCGGCCTGGAGAAGACTTCTGATCAGGAGTGGGGAGTGTGAAGAGGTTGCAATACATGCTCTTCGAAGTGCATTCCATTTCCGCCTGACAGAGCCTTGCTTCTTGACATGCAGAGGCATGTCACTCCTTTTGTTCTTGCTTCAGAGGGAAGGGACACTGCTAACACGCTGGAGTTTAATAATTTACTTTTGCTGCAGGAGTATGGCCTTCCTTGTAATGTTTCAGCCAGCATTCCAGTAAAATTTTATGATAGTTAAGCCCTATCGGAGCATTGGTTTTATATGAAAAAGATAAATCATTGTTAGAAAAACAGGAGTCTTAACTTTTAAACACCCCTTGTTATTTTTCTTGTAAAACTTTAAAAAATAATTTCAGATTTATGGAAGAGTTATAAAAATAATACAGAGAGTTCCTATGTACCCTTCACCCAACTTCTTCGAATGGTAACATCTTGCATAACCTGGTGCATTTATCAAACTAAGAAATTAACATTGGTACAACTCTGTTAATTAAACTATGGACTTTATTTGCATTTCACCAGGTTTTCCACTAATGTCCTTTTTCCGTTTCAGGATCCAATCTAGGATGCCATATTGCATTTAGAGAGCTCTTGCTATTTAATAAGTAATTTGTTTTTTTGGGGGGTGGACTGGGCAGTAAGGAATGGACTGGAGCTTGTCCTGGCCACTAATTTTGAGTTCCCTGTTCTGAGCAAACCCTGCACATCCTGGCTGATGTCCCATATCAGGAGACCAGAGCCTTGAAGCTACAGTTAAGCTCGTACTGGATGTCTTTTGGTTTTCAAGACTTGCTTCCTAGTTCAATCATGAACAAGACAAGCAGAAGATTTGCACCTTAATGAGGCTTAAAGAGCACTCACTTATAAAGTGCCATTAGTGACTTGTCCTTAATGGTAGCTGTTTAGTGATAACAGGTTTCTCATTCCTTTTTTCTTTTTTTTTTCTTCCTTTTTTCCTCCTTCTGGATTTAACCCAGCCAGCCTTTTGGGCTAATGTTGACATTAGCTAGAATTCGAATTTAGACTGCTTACCACATTGATGTTTTTACACAACCTTCCTGTGGTTTATCGGATAATTGAGTGTGTCTTGAGGCAGTAACTGAGTTGAAATGTGTTGCATTTAATGAGTGAAACTAGAGCATGCTTTGCATACCGATAGATGCACATCTGTAGGTGATTTTTCCGACAAAAGTCCCAGCCTAGGACGTTTCCTTCCATTCCTTTCCCTTCCTTCTCTTGCATTTCCCCCCTTTTCCTTTCTCTCTCATCCTTTCTCTCATGTCTTTTTCGGTACTTTTTTCACTATGCTCTCCTTTGGCCTTGCACCTGGTCCTGTCTCCGCCTGCCTTTTCTCCTTTGCATTTCCTCCTTTCCGTCCCCCTGTGCCCCTCTCGCTCTCTCTTGCCAATTCCCATCTTCTATGCCTTTCCCTGCAACAGGCCAGTGAAGCTGTTGCCACGGAAACAGAAGCCCAGCAGAAGCTCTGTTCTGCTTTCCGGATGCTTCTAACGATGATGACGCAGATAATATTGATTTCTAGAATCAGCTAAGCCCTGGCCTGTGGCCTCTGGAGTCCCTTCATTTTCCAAAGGCCAAGCTGATGCCACAGCTCATCATTCTGTTCAGTAGATGGTCATTTTTGATTTCAAAATTGAAACTTCAAAATTTTGAGTAATCTACTTCCCTGTGGCTCCAGAAGACTGGGTGCAACCATGTGAAAAAGACTTACTTGAATTTACTTACATTAACTGAGGGAAAAATACCAGATGAGGAGGGTACGGGTGCTGCAGGTTCCAGGAATAACTTAAGTTACACATGGGAGAGGGTTAGATGCATTTGTTGAATTACTGGGCTGAATGACTGCTTTTAAAGGACTTGGGGGAAAGAGAAGTACAGTTGAGGCCTTAAAAAAGATACTTAATTCAATGAATGTTCAGTGAGGACTGGCCATTTCTGAGACATGGGGTCAGGTGCTGTGGGGCACCAGGAGTGTGAAAAGCACATTTCCTCCTCTGGAGGAGTGGCTTTTTAAGTGACAGAGCTGGGGCATGTGTGTCCTGTACCGCAGTGACATTCCTTGATACTTGTCATGGTGATCCAGTGAGTGCAGCTGTTGTCAGTTCTGCCGTACAACCCACATGGCTGCACATTAACTGGGCTTTGTGGTCCCCTCGGAGGGCTGTTGGCGCCTGGTCCTCAGTGGAGCTGGTTTATGATGGTGGCAGCCTTGCTGCACCTTTCCGGGTTTGACTCAGGCCCAGCTTGTTGGCATTAGCTAGGATTTGGAGTTTTGCCATTCAGCCAGCACCAGCTAATAGCCCAGCAAGGAAGAGTTAGTTCATGGATTATATTTAAGTTAGTACTTATTCCCAAAGGTAACTTTGTTTAATAAAAACCTTAAGCCCTTATTACTGTGCTTCTGGGTATCCTGGCTCCAGTGTGTAAAAATAAGACTTATAAAATTCAAACATTATTTGTGAAAATGCAAAAACATTTTCATTAATACAGGGCATGATAAAAAGCAAAAGGCACTTTCCATCTGTGGCTAAGTGGTCTTTCTGCACTGGGGTCTTTTTGTTTTCATAATCACTTTGCGCTTATTTAAATATTGCCCTTTCAGTCGTGAATTTTAAAGGGAGGAAGCTTTGGTGTGTGAATAACTTTACAACTACCCACAGTATTTCCATCCAGTTGCTATGACTTAAGTTGATAATGGACCCCACACAGTAGTCACTAATGGATGATAATCTAGGAGTGTTTTTGTTATTGTTTTTATTTTAGAAGAAAGGTTTGAAATTAGCATAGTAAATCTCTGTGGGATCTTTGCAAATAAAAGAATGTTCACGTTAAAAACAATTTTCAAGAAAGATGTATGGTAATGAATAAAACATCAGTGAGTGAAAATAAGCGTGTTTAATTATTCAAGTAGAAGTAGTAATTTAAACTAATTATTGCTTGCGGATTTCATAATTCAGTTTTTGTCTCACAATAATATTTCCTCTGGGCCTCCGGGGCGCGTCGGCGGCTGCTCGCTGTTCCTGGGGCGGGAGAGACCTCCCCCTCCCCGTGGCTGCAGCCTCTGCCCCACCGAGCCAGAGCCAGAGAGGCCCAGTTTCTGCTTCTGCCGGCCTCCTCGTGGTCTCAGTCCACATCTATCCCCCTTGCACTGCCTCATTAGGCATTTCCTTGCTTATCACCTTCTCTGGTTGATTCGGGCATCTCAGACCAGTTCTGTCCATTGAGGTCTGAGTGTCGTGGAGGCTGGTCCCCTGCCTCCTCCCCGGTGTCTTAGACTTCCTTGGCAGGGGTGGCCCTGAGCACCCTGCCCATGTCCCCAGGAGGCAAGTCCTTGCCGTTCAGGGCTGCCTCAGGTTGGATCCCCTCCAGGAGGCTCCCCTGCCTGGGGATTGATCACTTCTTCCTCCCCAGTGCTTTGTACCAGCAGGTTCTGGTGGTAGTAAGAGAATTACAGAGAGAATTTGTTGGTTGACATTTTTCTTTTTTGGGCTTCTTTTTACTTTGTTTCTGATCCTAAAGGAAGAAAAACATATTCATACAGAGGAATGGAAAAGTACCAGAGAGCCTGAGAGGCAGTGGGGAGGACACTTCATCCCCTGGAACTTGCACCTGGCTTCTCTGCTCCTGGGTGGCTCTGCACGTGTCTTAGTTCTGCTCATTCTGTGTATGCAGGCACTTGCCATTTTCTCTGTGGAATTTGAGGGCTTGGATGTGATTTTTAGCATGGACACTTTGGAGGGGCTCAGTTACATTCTCCTTGGTGCACCTCCTGGGGTACAACTGGCATTAGCAGGTGCTGATGAAGGAGTAGGAAGTGCTGCAAAGCACTTTTGCTCAATCGTGCGAGGCTTTTAAAACCCAGTTATTACTGCTACTCCCATGAATGCCCATAATGGCACAGGAGGTTTTCTGAACCTTTCTTTATTGCACAAATGCTCCTGGAACAGATCTTGACAATTCAGGTGAATTATTATTCTACCCCTCAGAAGGTAAAGGGAAAGCTTTCTGTTTGTAACTTTTTCTTCCCAAGTGTCCTCTGTCAAAAGGTAGTGACATCTTCTCTCCTGATATGTGACGTCCATTATTACCTCGGTATAATCATAAAGCTCACACCCAAAAGCTTTCCATCCAGCACGTCAGAGGGACAATCTTTATTTAAGACACACTCCCCCACTTTTCTTTGTTATTGCTTTCTCCTAAAAAAAAAAAACAAAACCAAAAAATCAAAAAATTCCCTTGGCTTTAAAGGCATGATCTGGGCTAGGAGTGACTCGTTCTTTTGCAAGGTTATTGTCATAGGCAGGAACAAGACAGGTGGGACATGGGGGTGGACAGAGTGATGCGCTGTCAGCCAGGGGCCAGGGGTCCAAATGGGGTTCTGTCATTTTCCAGCTGAGCCCTCGGCAGGCCAGGCAATTTCTGGGTGTTGGTTTCCTCTCTTGGCAAACATAGAGGCTCAACTGTGTTCTCTGAGGCCCTTTTAAGCTGAGTAGTTTTGTGATCTCCAAACTAACTGTAGCTAAATGAGGTAATGAGAGAATTACAGGTGTCCCCCAAACTCTTCCTGCAGAGTAGTTGAAATGAGCATTCATGATTCTGAATCGGTTTTCTCTCCCTGTGAGCTCCAGAGGAAGTCATTAAGCAGAGAAATTACTAACACCTCGTGACCACCGTGGAGCAGAGCCAGGGGCACGAAATAAAATGCCATAGGGATGAGACCCGTGCAGCCAGCCAGCACTTAGGGAGATCTGCTAGGAGGACACCCTTAGGTTGTCCTCCTGAGGGTCCAGCCCTCTCTGAGGGGTTGACAGCTGAGCTTCATTACGTTCTTGACCCTGTCTCGCTGACCTCAGGGCTTCTGTATTAGCAGTGTCCAACAAATGGTTGTTGGGGTGAATTAAATTTTCTCTTATGGATAGTGTCCTATCCTTTCTACCAAGTAAGCTTCCTCTCGGGGAAGAGACCATTCTTCTTTATTTCTTTGAAAACTGATTTTTTAAGAATAGAAATACAAATTGGTATTTGATGTACAGAGAAAAATGAGTCGTGCTCCCATGCTCTGGATCTGGAGAGGCCACATCTGGCTCATCTCTGGATCCTAGGGAGCATCAGCCTTGCCGTGGGAAGCAAAGCGGGCCTGGGCTGCCTTGAATTAGAATGACCTGGCTGCCTTTCCAACCAAAGCACATATGGCCAAATGTTGGGAGAGTGAATTGGAGGCAAAAGCCTTTGGAATTATTGGGATCGTTGGGACTCCTGGGAAGGAACTGGGCAGATTTGTGTTTGAGCCATGGCTCTTTCTACCCTAGGTCTGGGGAAGGTCCTCTGCTTCTCCCCCACTGTTTCTTGTAAAGTGGTGCTGGCATGCTTAGCCCGCAGGGCTGTTGTGTATGGTCAGGAGATAGCAGCCCTGAGTAGTGCCCAGAGCTTAGCACAGATACAGCAACTCTGGTTCCTTTGAAGATGGAAAATGAATATGTATCATTTGGCAATGATAATGTAAAATCAGTGTGGAGGTGTGATTCCATTAATAGATTGCTGATGAACTCAACTTTTTAGGAGCCCGTTTGTTGCTTAGAGTGAAGCTGGCTGGAATGAGGCAGAATTAGAATGACAGGCCCACTCTTCTAATTGAAATGCACATGAAGTGCTTGGCCCTCAGACTTCCATCGAGATGATTGCAGTGATCAATATTCCAGTTTGCTTGGCTGGCAGCTTCCGGGGAATAAGAATGGATGATGGACCCAGGGAAAGTACTGCCAAACAGAGCATTAAGTTAATTCCTGTTTGCCTGGGTTCTGGCCTGCCTGATGAAGTGCCTTGAGTAGAATGAGGCAATGTTGGTGTGGACTTTATCATGGGCTGTACCCAGTATCACAAGAGCTCAAGGTGGCTGCTCCCTGACATTCACTTTTGGTAGCAATTAGAACTCCCATTTGCTGAGATCCTACCATGTGTCCAGCCCAGTGCTGGGCCCCATACGCACATGATTGGTCCCCCTGAAACCTCTGAGGTGCCGATGGCATGCCCCAACCTGCGTCCAAGGACCTGGGGCTGAGAGGGCCTCAGGGCACGGTGCTGCAAGGTGCGGAGCTGGGAATGGAGTCCAGGGCTGTTTGCTCCCAAAGTCTATGTTCGTTCCACTCTCCCACGCCAGCCCGTAAGTGTAAAGCAGATGTTTGGAACCTGGGTTCTCATTTTCCTGTAGAATCAGTGTTATTCATGGCAGTGAGGGCCTGGTCTCAAAAGCTGGGTTTACCACTGACAGTGTCATTTCTCATGTGGTTTTCACCTTGACCTTACCACCATGGGAGGCAGAGCGCACACCCCTCTGGTGTTCCTGGCTGGGAAACAGGGGCCCCTACCTGTGGGCTGCGTGGGCCAGGAGGGTCAGCAGGCCCTTGGGGGAAGTGCAAATGCATCCTTATCTCTGTAGTGCTTCCTCCCAGGCATAGGGTCCGCTGGAGGCCTGGCGTTCCCATGGGGCTCACTGTGTGTGCAAATGTTCTGTCCCAGTTCAGTCTGCTGACTGGGAGATGCTGACCTGACTCTGTTTCTCTAGGGCCATGATCCTGACTCTGAAATGCCAAGTATACACCCCTCCCTCCTCCTGCCTGCATTCTCCTTCTGCTGTTACATGGGGGCATGCACCCCTCTCCCCTGCAGCTCTGGCCTCTGCTGGGCCCATCCCTCCTGTGAGTGACATGGTTATTCCTTGTATCATTGTCTGAACTTGGCACTGGTGTGTTTGGGCCCTTCCTCTTAACCCTCCTACCTTGTGTCCCCATGCTAGTTCTGTCTTTCCTGTGCTCGCAGAATCTGTCTGTCCTCTTGCCCCCACCTCAGAGGCTTCTTCCAGTCTCACCCCCTCATTCTCAGAATTGAATTTTTTATCTGTGGAAGGTGGCAGCTGGCAGCCAAACCAGGAGCCTAAGTCTTGGGCAAAGCTTCAACAAGGATGCTGAGCTCAGGGGCCTAGGAATCCTCTCTCTGCCCCATCTTTTTTTTTTGAGATGGAGTTTTGCTCTTGTTACCCAGGCTGGAGTGCAATGGTATGATCTCAGCTCACCGCAGCCTCTGCCTCCCGGGTTCAAAGGATTCTCCTGCCTCAGCCTCCTGAGTAGCTGGGATTACAGGCATGCACCACCACGCCTGGCTAATTTTGTATTTTTAGTAGAGACGGGGTTTGTCCATGTAGGCCAGGCTGGTCTCCAACTCCCGACCTCAGGTGATCCACCCGCCTCAGCCTCCCAAAGTGCTGGGATTACAGGCATGAGCCACCATGCCTGGCCTCTCTGCCCCATCTTATAGGCACCCTGGGGCCTAGGATGGGGCTGGGGTGCAGGGGATGGGGAGGGAGGCTGGGCCCCCTGGAGGATCAGTAACTCTGTTATATGTCTTCACTATAATCTCATTTTGGGCTGCACTCTGCTTTTGTTTTTGTTTGGGAGCCTGCTTGGAGGCCAGCACTAACAGAAACATGCAAGGGCAGAAGCAGAGCTGGCCATCGGGAGGTGGGTGGCCTGCAGGGCCTAGCTCTGTGGCGCATGGATTGGTGTGTCAGTCGCCCTTCCTGGCAGCAGCTCTCAGTGATTAGGCTTGGAGGAGCCTTGGCTTTAAGTTCTCTTTGGGGAAGGGCGGATATTAGTGCTTAAGAAACGCCACTCCCGAGGAAACCCACCTGGATGTTTTTCTCTGTAACTGGCCATTTGGAGACAGGGCCAGGCTGTGCATAGGCTTTTGAGTTTCTCAGGTGCCTACATGGGGCTCAAAATGATGATGCAATCAATCCGTTTCTTGACTTTTGGGCCTGGGTCCAGCTCAGAATGGAGGTGTGCTCCATGGGCTTGCCTTCGGAGAAGATGGTTAGCAGGGCTGTGGGAAGGGATGTGTGGTGGACAGAGGTACAGGCTCCCCAAGGCTTAGAGGCTTCAGAAGCCCATGTCAGGCACGTGGGGCCCAGGTTCAAAGCAGAGGATGGAGAAGGGAGGGTTAAAGCCTTCCTTCTGACGTTGATATGTGTGTCTCAGCACTGGGACCTGGAGCAGTCGGCTTCGGAGGCCCGTTGGACTGTTGAATATTGATGGTGTGGGTTTGGCTGAGGAGCATAGGCAGGTGTGTTTGCCATTCTTATGTACTCAGGAGGGGTATGAAGGGCAAGTCAGTGGCACAATTCAAGCAAAGTGCTGCTGTTACTCGAGCATTTGCTGTGTGCCAGGATCTTCACACGGACAGCCTCAGTTTTCATAGGAGTCACTTTTAGGCATTTTATCTCCATTTTGCAGTTGAAGCAATTGATACTTAAGATGGTAGTATCTTTGTTTAGTGTGAAGAGCCAGGAATTGAGTGGGGAATGCCCTTATGGCAGCAAGACAGTGGCACCAAGTCCTGCCTAGGTGGCTTGTCCAATGATCAGAGTCCAAGGCCACATTGCTACCAAGTGGCAGAGCTGGAATCAGCGCTACTCAGCCTCACACATTTTGCTCCCTGTGCCTCTTCAGAACTTCGGCCTGTCACATGTGTGCAGCTGTGGGAGCCCAGATTGTGAGTTGATCAAGGTCAGGGCCACACCCTGCACTTCCTGCCTGACACAGAGTAGGTGCTGGACAGACATTTGTGTTGTGAAAGAGTGAGTGAGTGAATGAAAGACACACCATGGGGATAGAAAAATAAGGGGCAGGCCCCAGGGCGGTTGGCAGATGTGAAATGTGGTTTAAAGACTTGGCAGTAAATCTGTGGCTAGGCCCCCCTTCTCCTTTCATTCCCTTCTTCCTTCCTTCTTGGGATTCAGAATTGCTCTCTGGGCAGAGGGCTGCGGAGCAGGAGCGAGGCTGCAGGTGTGAGAAGGACCCCGCCGTGCCAGGGCAGCCTCAAGGAGCTGTTGAGCGAGTTGAGCCCAGAAGACAAAGGTCGCTGAAGTCCTTCCAGGAGAAGAAGATCAATGCCTGGGCTGAGCCTGCGGTTAACATCTTAATAGTAACCGGAGAGTTTCTGAGAGATTAGGTGATGATATATACTCAGAGCTCAGACAGTTAATTTGCATTGTGTCCTATATTCCTGAAAAGTTGCTTTCAGATTCTTATTGATGTGCTCACATTTTTTGGGGTAATTGTCCTCCTTTGACATTAATAACCCCCCTGTTTACTCTCAGGCTCACATACCTCTCAGAGTCCAGGAGGCAGTGAGGGAAAGCTTTTAATTCAAAGCCCTATCCATCTTCCCAACTCAGGTGAGATGGGGACTAGAAAGTCGGTCTGGCTGAAGCTAAGTGAGGCCAGCCTTCTGGGTGTTGGGTATCAGGTTCTGGACGGGGCTGGCAGTTGTGTGTGGGGCTCATGGATGGTTTTAGGCCCTTCTGCCCCCTTTGTCAGTGTGCCCTTGTGGGAAGCCGGTGCGTTTCCAGGGGAGCTGCTGGAGGCTTCTTATGGCATGCAGATCAAGGAAGACCTGTAGACTACATGCACCCTGGCGCTCTGGGTATGTTGTTTCTGCAGGTTTGGGAGGCAGCTGTCCTCCAAAGCATACAATTACTAAGAACAGGGACCATAGTTTCACACTTCAGTGCCTAAACAGGCCCTGACACCCAGTTTGGCTAGGTTGAGTCTGGGTGCCAGAGATTAGAGCTGGGATTGGAGATGTAGCCCGTCCCCGTTCAGGAGCCTCTCACGTGTATTGCCTCTCACGTGTATTGTCTGTGAGTGTGCTGGGCTCCCAGACACATATGTCACAGTGAGCTGTGGGAATGACCCTTGACTCCTATCCTGATGGGAGTGGGAGAGGGTGCAAGAACTGGCCCTGGAGACAGGGGAGGGGTTGTGAGAGCCAGAGCACAGATGCCTGCACACCAGGCACTGGGGGCGGGGGTTGGGATGGAGAGTGTGGTGATGGTAATGGCCTATAGTCGTGGGGGCTTGGGGACTTCTGAGGGATGTGGGTAAATCTGGAGTTTTTCCTATAGGAACGGGGAGCCATGGAACGTGCGTGAAGCGGTGTGTAAAACTGGAGAGAAAAACCCTAAGGAGACCTCATCGGACGTTCCTGTGATAATCTAGGCCTCAGGACAGGCAGACTGGGATGCTTGTGTTACCCCTAACTTTAGATTACTCTCCCACTGCTCCCCTCCTTCACTGTAGATTCCCACAATTTCAGTATCAATGTAATTACAATTTAGGGGCTTAGAAACTCCTGTATTTATTGAGAACCCACTTAATTTACATATATTGAGTTTCAATATTGCACAACTCTGTGTGGAGGGGTTAGGGTGGAGGAGACCTGAGATGACAGAAGGCCATGTTCTCTAGGGATGGTCTGCAGCCCTCAGTGCTGTCTCTTTTCCCTCCAGCGCCCCCTCTGTGCCCCCCTCCAATCCCTGCTCCCCCCAGTCTCTATAGCTGAAGGCTAGGACGAACTGTGGGGTTGTGAATATTTACGCAGGCAGGCATAGGACTCAGTGACGCAGCTGAGAGCCACGCAAGTGTTTGGTGACTCATCAGACCTTCTCCAAAGACTTGTGATATTTTTCTCCTCTGAAGGGCCGAAAGCAATTTGCAGTTAATGATAGTATATGACGCCAGAAGAGTACGCAGACCTTCCGGCTCATCTTTTCTGTGCCTTGGGTGTTTTGTTTTTGAAAAAACCTATGTGAATTATTTTCCCTTTAGTAATGTTTATTTTATTCTGATTATTAAAATAATGTATGCTCATTGTAGAAAATACATAAATGCATTAAATAGGAAATAAAATGCATGAATTATTTTTCCATTACAGTGTTATTAGGAATGTTTTGCCTGTGCAAAGGAGATGTGGAGCGCTAGACTTATTTTATTTGAGGTGCTTGTCGAGATAACTGAGATCAGTGGGTTGCAGCCTGTGCTCTGGGGACTCCAAGGGCTTCATAGAAATTTCTAGAGGCTGCCTCCAGGGTGGGGGATCTGGGGAGCTTGAGACTCACTCCCAGGTTCCTCCCTCCAAACAACTCTGCCGTTTTCTGTCTCATGACTGGGCCTTCTCACAGGGCTGCCTTTGAGCTTATCAAATTGGAGACCCAGTGATCCGGCTCCAGCCTCTCATTTTACAAGTGAGGAGTTGCAGGCCACTGGTTAAGCGTGTCTGGCGCAAGGTGATGTGGTAGCTTAGGGCTGGTCTTCATGCGTTGTAGGCCTGCATTGCCTTTTAGTATATGAATCAGTTAGGAATATTGGCATTTTAACTTTAATGCCATTGTCACAAGCTATGTCACCATGCAGAGGACCCCCCCCCACCCATCCCAGGAAGCTGATCGAGGGTCTTTAAAGGGCTCTCTTTTGAGGGAAGGGGACACCTCAGAGCACCTGGCACTTGAAAAGATGAAAAGTAAGAGCCCCATCATTGCTGTTAGGCACACAAAGGAGGAGAAATTGCTGTGGGTGATCCCTGGTTGTATGAATATTGAGAAGAAATTAAGTAAAGGCTGTGTTTCCTGACACTGATGTATTAGAACATGGAGTAACTTTCTACAGGAAATTGGAACAGGGATCCCTTTAAATTGAATTTGAAGCTGTGAATAGCAAACCTGCACTTGGCCCTGTGTGTCCTAATGCAAGTTAAGTAAGCAGTTTCCTGGGTGAGAGTTAAGTACTTTAGGGATATGGGTTAATGTTGAGGCCAATGTGGCTCAAGTTAATAAATTGCCTCTCGCGTGTATTGTCTGTGAAGATGCAGAAGAGTAATTTGCTTCCTGCAGAGCTGCTCCAGAATTCTCATACTTAGTTTATTAGATTTTTGGCCCAATACATTTTTTCCCTCTCATTGGTTTTGTTGATAATAATTACTCACCCCCTTCCATCTCTCTATGGATTTCTCTTGGTTTTAATTGTTTTCAGTAGCCACAAAAGTTTACCATTTCAGAAAATAAGTGTTTTAAAATAAGAATAGTCTTGGCCAAACCCCATCTGAGTTTCCAGAGGGAGACAGTCAAAGCTCTATTGTTAAAGTGATTCTGGGGGCAGTGGCCACTGAGATTAGGAAAAAGCCAGCGCTCCCTTCGTCAAACACGTCAGTGCTCGTCCCTGGCCTAGGGAGCTCTCTGGGAACTGGCTTCCTGAGGTTTTTACATATGCTCTGGAATCTGGAGTGAGGGTGTATGCGTCAAGGGCCTCCCAGGGAGACGGTGGAGGATACAGAGGACCGGCTCCCCCATGCTGCTGGTGTTTAGTTCTTGACCCTGTGGGCTCAGGGGGTGGAGAGAACATCGAGAATTGTACCCACCACTAGGCACCATGTGAGGGGCCAGCAATACCTAGCTCACAGTCTAATAAATCAGTTAATTAACAGGGTAATTATAAGTTGCACAGTGGTATTTCCTGGGAAATGGAGAAAAATGGCTGGGTGGGTAGGGGAGAAGACAGCATGCAAGCTGAGGTTGGAAGCCTGAGGAAGACATGGGTCCGTCCTTGCACGGAGGACAGCCCGTGCCGAGGCTGAGAAGAGCTTGGTGTGTGGCAGGAGGTGGAATGCAAGGCAAGATTTGTCTTCAGATTATTCCTTATAAAGAGAGTGTTCACTTTATACTTGGGTCTTTTAGAATTTTCTTAAACTACAGGACACTCACTTTTGGATGCGAAGTTTAAGCAGATTTTTTTTTTTTTTTTTTTGATACAGAGTCTCACGCTGTCGCCCACACTGGAGTGCAGTGGTGCAATCATGGCTCACTGCAGTCTCTACCTCCTGGGCTCAAGCGATCCTCCTACCTTAGCCTCCTGAGTAGCTGGGACTACAGGTGTGCACCACCACGCCTGGCTAATTTTTGTATTTTTGGTAGCAATGGAGTCTCGTCATGTTGCCCAGGCTGGTGTGGAACTCCTGAGCTCAAGCAATCCGCCCGCCTCAGCCTCCCAAAGTACTGGGATTATAGGTGTGAGCCACCCTGCCTGGCAAAGCAGATCTTTTGATACTTTGTCCAGAACATAATTGGTTTCAAATATTTACCCATCACACATTTAAATAGTCTCTGGTAAGCCATTTAATGGTAGATCCATTCCTGAAGGCCATGTTGCTTTGTGCTAGGCTCAGACCCCAGCTTCCTAGCTCTGTGATGCTGGGCAAGCAACCCCAAGGTGCCTCTGTTTCCCCATGTGTAAAACAGAGAAAATAGTACAGAGGGTCTCATGCTCTTGGGTCACAATTCCCTTAGTGCCACTGTCACATTTTTCACAGCACTCCTAGGCCAAAACAAACAACTTAATTAACAGTCCTGTTTACTAAGGAGTGAGGACCAAACAACTTAAATACTTATGTTGTAACAACACCTGTTGGTTCTCAAACATTGGAAGTAGGTTGGATGCTGCCACCCTCATGGTCTGTTCCACATTGATTTTCACTTGCTTTTTGCTTTTTTTTTTTTTTCTCGAGATAGAGTCTTGCTCTGTCACCCAGGCTGGAGTGCAATGGTGCAGTCTTGGCTCACTGCAACTGCTGCCTCCCAGGTTCAAGCCATTCTCCTACCTCAGCCTCCCTAGTAGCTGGGACTACAGGCACCCGCCACCACACCCAGCAAATTTTTGTATTTTTAGTAAGACAAGGTTTCACCGTGTTGGCCAGGCTGGTCTCAAACTCCGGACCTCAGGTGATCCACTCACCTTGGCCTCCCAAAGTGTTGGGATTACAGGTGTGAGCCACCATGCCCTGCCTGGTTTTTGCTTTTTATCACGGCAACTATTGAAAACTCAGCTTTGCAGAGATATGATGTCATCTAAAGAAATGCAAAAAGATCTAATGTTGAATGTAATGTTGAAACCTCAGCTAGCAGTCTGCATGTTGTCTAGCAGATATTGCTGTTTCCCTTAAAATGGTAAAATATCCCAGCCTGGGCAACATGGGTGAAACCCCATCTCTACAAAAAATAGAAAAAATTTGCCTGGTGTGGTTGTGGGCTCCTGTAGTCTCAGTTACTCAGGAGGCTGAGGTGGGAGGATCACTCGAGTCCAGGAGTTCAAGGCTGCAGTGAGCCTTGATTTTGCCATCGCACTCCAGCCTGGGTGACAGAGTGAGACCCTGTCTCAAAAAAAAAAAAAAAAAAAAAGGTAAACTATCCCTTGGTGCGTTATTCGGGAACTGTGGTGATAGTATTGACGTGTTTGGTTTAGTGAAGATGAAGGAAATGGTGCACGGAAAGTGCTGAGGGCAGTGCTCGGTATTAGGTGCTCAGGAATCATTGTTGCCCTCAATCTCAAGGGTTCCCTTTAGTAGACCTAGAAACGTGTCTTTAGGAGTGGTGAAAACACGGCTCTTGGAGACGTCTAGGGAGAGGTGCATTTAGTTGCTTCATGAGATGACAGTGGAAATATACAGTCTTTCTGTGTTTTGTAGTAAGTGATTGTAAGTATGCATGTGCGTCTACGTTAATAAGTTAAACACAAATACAGACATCCAGTTGTTTCTTCAACGTCTCTACATGTATATGTGTTTAGGTATTTGTCTCTAACCTTTCAGTTGTGTTTTTAATCTTCTTGTTGGGAAAATGGGTAATGTCTCTGTGGTTTGCCTTATATTTGGGATATTAGCAAAGGGGAGAGTGTTTTGAGATGGGGTTGATGCCACAGGCAGGCCAGATCACGAAAGGCCCTGGTAGGACACAATAAGCCTTAAGGTTTTATTCAGAATGAAATGGAAAGCTGCTGAATGGTTTTGTTGTTGTCGTTTTTGAGACAGTCTTGCTCTGTTGCCCAGGCTGGAGTACAGTGGCGCGATCTTGGCTCACTGCAACCTCCACCTCCTGAGTTCAAGTGAATCTCCTGCCTCAGCTTCCCAAGTAGCTGGGATTACAGGCACCCACCACCAGGCCTGGCTAATTTTTGTATTTTTGGTAGAGACGGAGTTTCACCATTTTGGCCAGGCTGGTCCCAGACTCCTAACCTCAAGTGATCCACCTGCCTTGGCCTCCCAAAGTTCTGGGATTACAGGCATGAGTCACCACAACTGGCCTGAATGTTTTTAATTTTTAAAAAGGTAAATTAACTCTATGGAGATATAACTTAACAATAAAATGCAGCCCTGTAAGTACACTGTCAGATGAGTTTTGACAAACCTGTATACTTATGCAACCATCGCTCCAATCAAGGCACAGAACCTTTCCCCTGACCCACAGTGTTCTGGGTATCCTTTATCAGCCCATCTGTTAGTTCCACCCCCAACCTCAGCCCCAGGCAGCCACAGATCTGCTTCTCTCATTGTAGGTTGGTACAAAAGTAATTGCGGTTTTTGCCATTACTTTTTTTTTTTTTTTTGAGACGGAGTCTCGCTCTGTCGCCCAGGCTGGAGTGCAGTGCCACGATCTCGGCTCACTGCGACCTCCGCCTCCCGGGTTCACGCCATTCTCCTGCCTCAGCCTCCCGAGTAGCTGGGACTACAGGCGCCCACCACCACGCCCGGCTAATTTTTTGTATTTTTAGTAGAGATGGGGTTTCACCGTGTTAGCCAGGATGGTCTCGATCTCCTGACCTCGTGATCCACCCACCTCGGCCTCCCAAAGTGTTGGGATTACAGGCGTGAGCCACCGCGCCCGGCCTTGCCATTACTTTGAATGGCAAAAACCGCAATTACTTTTGCACCAACCCAATAGTTTTTCCTGTTCTAGAATGAAATATGTAAATGGAATCATGCAGGGCGTAGCCTTTAGTGTCTGACTTCTTTCACTTAACAGAATGTTTTTGAGATTCATCCACGTTCAGCCATTTATCCCTTTTTATTGCTGAGTAGTATTCCATTGCATGAAAATACCAGAATTTGTTTATCCATTCTTCTGTTGATGGACACATTTGATTTGTTTCTAGTGAGCCGTTAGAGGTAGTTCATTTTTTTTTTTTTTTGAGATAGAGTCTCACTCTGTCACTCAGGCTTGAGTGCAGTGGTGCAATCTTGGCTCACTGCAATCTCTGCCTCCTGGGTTCAAGTGATTCTTCTGCCTCCGCCTCCCTAGTAGCTGGGACTACAGGCGTGCACCACCACGCCTGGCTAATATTTTTGTATTTTTAGTAGAGACGAGGTCTCACTATGTTGGCCAGGCTCGTCTTGAACTCCTGACCTCGTGATCCGCCTGCCTTGGCCTCCCAAAGTGCTAGTGCTAGGATTACAGGCATGAGCCACCGCGCCCAGCCTAGAGGTAGTTCTTTTTTTTTTTTTTTTTTTGAGACAGTCTTGCTCTGTCACCCAGGCTGGAGTGCAGTGGTGCAATCTCGGCTCACTGCAGCCTCCGCCTCCCAGGCTCAAGCAATTCTCCTGTCTCAGCCTCCCGAGTAGCTGGGATTATAGACGTATGCCACCATGCCCGGCTAATTTTTGTATTTTTAGTAGAGATAGGGTTTCCCCATGTTGGCCAGGCTGGTCTCGAACTCCTGACCTCAGGTAATCTGCCCGCCTTGGCCTCCCAAAGTGCTGGAATTACAGGCATGAGCCACCGCACCCGGCCGCCTAGAGGTAGTTCTTAAATGAATGTTGGTGTGGACTGGACATGTTTTCATCTCTCTTAGGTACATATTTGGGAGTGGAACTGCAGGCTCATATGGTAATTGTGTATTCAGCTTTGTAAGAAACCACCTGCTTTGAGCAACGAGGTGACACCATCTTATTTACATCTTTAAAAGTTCCCTTTATTGAGGCTGAGGCAGGAGAATCGCGTGAACCCGGGAGGCGGAGCTTGCAGTGAGCCGAGATCGCGCCACTGCACTCCAGCCTGGGTGACAGAGCAAGACTCCATCTCAAAAAAAAAAAAAAGAAGAAAAAAAGGTCCCTTTATTTCTAGATGGAGAATAGGTCACGAGGGGCTGGGGTGAGAGCAGGGGGAGCAGCAAGGGGGCAGAGGCAGCTGTCAGGTGAGCAAGGCCAGTGCTTGCTGAGGATGATGGGGACAGT
The DNA here is from genome assembly GCF_000001405.40 of Homo sapiens. Lineage (NCBI taxonomy): Eukaryota > Metazoa > Chordata > Mammalia > Primates > Hominidae > Homo > Homo sapiens. The sequence continues at coordinate 100,415,056 of NC_000014.9, forward strand.
GAAGGGGCTAGCTCTCACGGATGGTTGGGGACAGGATGACTGAAGCTTGGTGATGAACTGGATGATGTTGGGAGTCAAAGATGATTTCAGGTTTTGGCTTAAGCTACTAAGGATGAGATGGTGCTACTCATGGAAAAGAGAAGACCCAGGAAGCTTTGAGCATGTTAACTTAATTTCTCTGAGGCTCACTTCTATTCTGTCCAGCAAGACAGGCAAAGAAATATTAGTTTTATTTCTAAACTAACCAGAGAAGGGGAGGAAATGGCTCAGATGGGCAATAGGCAGTCTAAAGTCATATGTGTATGGGAGGTACGTAGGCATGCTGGTCGTATGTGCACAGTACCTGCACAATTCTCCATGGGTCTGTCATATTTCTGCACAGTCTTCTGAGCAAGCCACGAACAGCTGATTTGCTCTGGCCTGTCTTTTCAAGGATGTTTGAATAGCAAGCAGCCTTGGAGAGTAGAGACAGCATCTCTATCTGGAACAGATTTATTTTTATTCCAGGATAACAAAGACAATGTCTCCCTTAGGAGCAGAGGTTGGGCAGGTTTACCAGCAGCTGCTTATATAAGATTGGGGCATCCTAATGTCAGGACTCCTCTCTGTAATGCATCCCACTGTGTGTACAGGTAACACCTTGCCTTCATGGGATCGCTATGGGAACTGGGGCTTAGGGAACTGGTGCAGCAGTGTTACCCTGGCTACTACTACTGCTGTGAGTAATAAACTGTTTTCAGTCTCTGACCCAGGGATCTCATGCCTTCTGCTAGTATGTATGAAGCTGTGGCAGGCTAACTTGGTAGTTTGCTAGCAGAGTACTGTCTCAAAGCCCACACAGTTCATGACAGTGCCTCTGGTTGCCAAGCACGATTGGCACAGCTGGTGTCCTCCCTGCTCTGCCGCTGTCCTTCTTTTCTTCTGCATCTCTGTCAGTGCACTGCCACCTGAATCTTTACTGAGCACCTAGTAGGTGTCAGGTCCAGGGGCAGCAGATAGAGTGGGAAGCCAGATATGGTTCTAGCCCTCACAGAGCACGTGTCATTCAGCCTCTGCTGTCCAATCAGCCACTGAGTTGTGACTTCTCTACTTAGAGGTAGTTCTTTATCAAATTCATCTCATTCCTCGCTGCCGTTTGGTTTCTCCCTGTGAAGGGTATTCATTTTCATGGTTGTTTTAAGAGTAAGAGGCAGTACAAGGGAAGTGCCTGGTATAGTTCCTGGTAATCGTAGATGCCCAAATTGTGACTACTGCTGTTGTAATTTCTATTATTACGTATTCTCAACTCTGATTGTCATTCCTTGATGTAAAAACTTTGCTGTTTGCCCTCATACTACAATACAGGTTGCAGCCCAAACAGTACGGGATGCAAACCAACCCATGTCACCGGCCCATTCACCCTGCCCCGATTTCTGTTCCTATCACAAACTGCCTGCTGTGTGCCTTGAATTCTTTCCAGCTCTTTCCCAAACATGACACACCCTTTTAGGCCTTTTCCCTTTCCTTCCTTCTTTTCAGGCAAAGTCTTCCTTATCCCCCTGGACTTGGCTCAAGGGTCCCCTTCTCTCTGTACCCATTCCTTGAGGTTGCCTTTCTCCCTTGTCTCCAGACTGCATAAATGGCAGTGTGGCCTGTGTTGCTGTAGCACCATGTGCACCTGGGCTGTGCCCCGGCAGTGTTCTGTCTTTGGGCTCACTGGGGAGGGAGCACTGGACCATCGTCCCCAGATGCCCAGGGAGAAGCTTGGTGCTCGTTACTGACTGTAGGGTACTTTTCTGTAGCAGGCACTTGGGGCTCACTTATGGGACCCAGTAACTTCACAGTCATGAGGTACTTGATTTGAACTGAGGAGAAAATGTGTCAATACCTTTCCCAGGGAGAGTCACCCTCACAAACCTTGGTCTGGAAGGCCCATCTTAGCCCAGGGGTGAGATCTTGCGTGGATGATTCAGAAGTCACAGTATTCCTGAAAACTAGTGACTCAACAGAATTATATGGCTTTGGGAGAAAGAGTCCCTCCAGGGGCAATCCAACTACCACAGGCCAGGGGCCAAGCTTTGGTGAGCCGAGCCTGGGCCCTGCCCCTCCCTTCTCTATGGGCCTAGGGTTGCTGTGCTGTGTGTGGCATGGCCAGAGTCCTCCGCTCATCTCCTCACCATCTGTTACTTGTGCGTGTCTCCTGTGCCAGGCCTGGTGCTGACACTAGCTCAGGGAGAGAGGCAGCCGTACCTGGAGGAGCTGCTTAGTAGGACACTTGGCACATGCCACATGCTTTGCAGACTTCTCAGTCTCCCAGCCACTCAGGGATTTGTGGGACTGAGTATCTCAGATCCAAGGTGGTCAGGCGAGGGTGCAGGGAGATGGAGCCATGTGTGGGGCCAGGCTCTTTCCCATGACCTAGGTGCCCCTTCCAACCCCCACCATCCTGTTAAGACCCTGAGCAGCCAGGCTGGTTGCTCCAGCCACTCTTCCCTGGTGGCTCCCCTTTCCAGTTCTGAGGCTACTGCGAGTCACCTTCCTCCTCCAGGGAGGGAGAGAGCTGCCTGAGCATTACCTCTGCTTGCGGATGGGGGTGCTAGAGACCGAGCCTTTTCCTTGTTGTCTCTGCCAGTGAGGCTCTGGAGAGTGAGTCAGGAATACAGCTGCACAAATCGCCCTTACTTTGATACTGTGTGATTGGTCTGCAAGACAGACACAGGGCTGACATCGCATTTTCTGCCTGACTTCTTCCTGGCTGCAGTGACCCTGAGCTGTTCCTAGCCTTCCATCGTTTCTGTTGTGGACAGGCGTGTCATGCTGCCCCTGTTCCTCCTGCCCTGGCCTGGCTACTTAGGCTCTTGTGCATGTGCTCATAGGTTCTCATGAAGGTTGTTCTTAGTTTGCTTATGTCTTTTTTTTTTTTTTGAGACGGAGGCTCGCTCTGTCGCCCAGGCTGGAGTGCAGTGGCACCATCTCAGCTCACTGTAACCTCTGCCTCCTGGGTTCAAGCAATTCTCTTGCTTCAGCCTCCTGAGTAGCTGGGATTACAGGCACCAACCACCACGCCTGGCTAATTTTTGTACTTTTAGTAGAGATGTGGTTTCACCATGTTGATCAGACTGGTTTCGAACTCCTGACCTCGTGATCCACACCCCCCACTCAGCCTCCCAAAGTGCTGGGATAACAGGCATGAGCCACTGTGCCCTGCCTTCTTACGTCTTATATCCACACTGCCTGTGATTTTGTACATGATACACACAATGTCACCTAGCACTGGCCTTTCTGACTTTCATGCAACTATTGAAAGTGAAAAATTTGGCCGGGCACCGTGGCTCATGCCTGTAATCCCAGCACTTTGGGAGGCCGAGGTGGGCGGATCACGAGGTCAAGAGATGGAGACCATCCTGGCCAACACGGTGAAACCCCTTCTCTACTAAAAATACAAAAATTAGCTGGGCGTGGTGGTGCACACCTGTACAAGTCCCAGCTACTTTTGGGAGGCTGAGGCAGGAGAATTGCTTGAACCCGGGAGGTAGAGGTTGCAGTGAGCCAAGATTGTGCCACTGCACTCTAGCCTGGCGACTGAGCGAGACTCCGTCTCAAAAAAAAAAAAAAGGTGAAAAATTTGCACAACAGCACAGTAGTGCAGCCTGCCAGTCTCAGCCACAACGGTCAGGGTCTATGCTAAGGTGAGTTTATGGGACATCCCTGGGAGTTTGGGGTGGCGGTGGCGGGGGGGGGTCCTACTCACGCCACACCTACTCCGGGAGGGACCTGGCATTGGACTCAGGTTGCCAGGCAGGGGTGTGGAGTGGTCCCTACACCCACAATTCCTGTGACTCCCATTGTCTCACCTGAGACCCTGGCCTTGAAATGATGGGCTCTAAGTAAGTTCTATTTCTAGGCCGGGCGTGGTGGCTCACGCCTGTAATCCTAGCACTTTGGGAGTCCAAGGTGGGCGATCACCTGATGTCAGGAGTTTGAGACCAGTCTGGCGAACATGGGGAAACCCCATCTCTACTAAAAATACAAAAAAAATTAGCTAGGTGTGGTGGTGCACACCTGTAATCACAGCTACTTGGGAGGCTGAGGCAGGACAATTGCTTGAACTCTGGAGGCGGAGATTGCAGTGAGCCGAGATCACGCCACTGCACTCCAGCCTGGGCGACAGAACAAGACTCCATCACAAAAAAAAAAAAAAAAAAAATTTATTTCCCGTCTCCACAGGGGTCTCTCTGCGGCTTCCTGGGGCCTCGCTCCTTCCGCCTACCTCTTTCTTCCTTCTCCTGCTGTCTACCCTGTGATGTGATAGCTTTCTCGGGGAGTGTTCAGATGAACAGTGTTTAGAATTGTTGAATGCTCTGTTGGAAAACAGAAAAGGCTATTTCATGAGCAGATGATGACCTTATTAACTATAATTAGGCAATTCACAGAGGCTTCCAATATAGTCCAGCATCTTTTCTTGTTGAGATGGGGGGAAAATTCTATGGTAATGTCTTTGGAGATGTAATAGTCTTTATCACATTACTAGTTTAAATTATTCTAGAAGTTTTGGCAGCCTGGTGTTTTCATTTAGAAAGCCGAGGTATAGTTTTACAGTTAGCCACATTAATATAATAATTATAATTTTGAGCAAGTAATTTCAGACACTGACATCAAGAGTTGTTTTTATAGCAGAGAAAGATCACAGGTAGGAAGGTGGAACCTCGCGTCTAATCTATCTAATCTGTCACAAATAGGATGATGTTGTGAACACAGGCAGTTCATGCCCCTGGCCCATGCTTTATATTATGGGACAGAGATGCAAATGCTTAGAAACTCCCCCTGTATTAAATCCCCAGAGAACACGCACATTTGAAATTAATGGGAAATTGTCTTTTCTAAAGAATTTGGTATGCAGGGGCACATGATGTGGAATTTCCCCTGGGTTCTTTGTATCAGGTTGCCCCATTGCCTTGGGCTTGTGTGAGAGTGGACCTGGGAGTGAACGGGTGCTCGCAGGGCCCACCTGGTGGTCAGTCTGTAACTGTGGCTATGAGCAGCCTCCCACCCTGTAGGCCCCTCACAAGGCCTAGTTGCCTGGATCTCCAGGGGCATCTGGAAGCCTGGAAGCTACTGTCTCCTGGGCAAGGAGGCCTTCACTGCCTCCACAGCCCCCATCTGCACATGGGCCGCAGGCCCTGGCAACCCCTTCCCCCACTTCCCTCCACTGGCTTGGACCTCCAGGCCCACAGCAAGTAACTTTTGGTTTGTGTTTTACCTTTCACTTGTAAGCACATTTTTTTTTTATCGTTCTATAGGGATTTTTCATATATCATTTTGGATCCTGTTTTTAAAGCTCAGTATCCCTGTTTTTACAGCCTTCAGGATAGTCATCTTCTATCATGTGGTTGTACCACAATTTGCTAGTTGTATCCCTGTTGCTGAACATTGAGCTTTTTATTCCAGCAGGTTTTTTATTGTTGTTTTATAGGCAGTGCTGCAGTGATCATCTTTATGTACATAATATTTAGCTTCTGTGCAGTTAGTTTCTTAGACTCTATTGCTAGGGTTGGAATTGCTAGCCAAGACTAAGAATAACTTTTTAAAAATATATTAAAATCTTCTTATAGTAATAATATTTGAAGAACAGAAAAAGGTAGAAAAAGGAAAATAAAGATGCCCAGCTGTCCCATGATGTGGTGTTCACCACTGTATTAGCTAGGAGTGTATGAGGCTGCAGATAACAGGAAACCCAACTCGAGTGGCTTCAACAGGTGGAGAGAGACTCGTTTGTCTCAGGGAACAGGAGACTTGAGAGAGAGTCCAGGGCTGGACCCAGGTGAAGCCATGCTGTGAGCGACCCTGGCTGTTTGCATCTTTCTGTCCCACTGTCCTGGATGTTGCTGGCCTTTGTCTATGCTATGCTTTCCTCATCTCAGTCTTCCTTTCTTACCTCTGGCTGGATGAGTCTTTTTATTTCTGTCTGCTGAAACAGTGTATCTCCTGCATTTGGGTCATTATAAGAAGAAATATGATTATTTTTCCTGCATGTCCCTCGTCTGCAACTGCCTGTGTTTGTGACATTCCATTCGGCCAAAACTGGAATTTTAACAGTGTCCAGACAGAGAAGAGGAAGAGTAGGCATCAGGACTAGGAAAGAGCTCCTCTTTCTTATTAATGGGATAGTCTTTCATCCCTGTGTTTCAAGTTCACAGAGTCCCTTGGGTTAGAAAATATCCTTTGCTCTCTCCTTGATTCCTATGAACCAGAGAAGGGGACAGAATCTTCCTGGGCTTATTGGTCCCCCAGTCAGTCTTGCAAAGGGAGGTTTATTGAGCACTTACCATATGCAGCAGGGGGTTGTGAGCCACAGTCGTGGCCTTTGGGAAGCTCACAGAAGAGGGGAGGAAGCAGGCTGACTTACCCCTGCCCTATCACACTGTTACCCTTGTGTCAACCAAGCTTAACCTTGGCTGAGTAGAAATGAGTGATTTGTGACCTATGTTAATCCTACAGAAAAGAACAAAAAAATAAAATAAACTTCCATAGATGCACCACCAGGTTTTAGTTATTAGCATTTTTCCGTATTTATACTGGGTACCTCTTTTTTGTTTTGTAAGGAATGAAATATGGCAGATAGAGCTAAAACCCTACTTCATTCCCTTTCCATTAGTGGCCACTCCCCTGACGTTGGTGGGCATGCTTTTAAATGTTTCCTGCATATGTTATGAATGACATAAATAATATGTAATACTTTTGTATTTTAAAGGTTTATGTACATGTTATTACACTCTGTGGTTTTTTGCAATTTGCAAAACAGTCAACATTATGTTTTCTGTTATCTCTCTATCCATCCATCCATCTATCCATCTGGTTCATTCAATTTTCATTGGTGTGTGGGATTCCACTGTATAAATAAGCTCAAGTTTATTTACTCATTCTCCTACTCCTGGAAGGTTGTTTTTACTTTTTGTCTCTTGCATACAATATTGTAGTGAACATGTGTTCCAGTTTTTTATTGCTGTTTAATAAGCCACCTCTAAACTTAGTAGCTTAAAACAATAATGTTTATTTTGCTTCTGAATCTGCAGTTTGGGCAGGGCTTGGTGTGGGCAGCTCATCTCTGCTCCACTTGGTATCATGTGGGGCAGCTCAAAGGCTAGAAATGGAAGCATCTGCAGGTCTGTTCGCTCAGCATCCGATGAGTGATTCTGGCTGTCTGCTGGGACCCTGGCTGTGCTGTTTGCTGGAGTATTACATGTGGCCTCTCCATGTGGTCTGGGCTTCCTCATCCCATGGCAGCTGGGTTCTAGGGGCTAGTGTTCTGAGAGGCCCCTATACTGAAACCAGATTGCTCTGTGACCCAGCCTCAAAGGCAGGCAGCATCTGTTGACTTCATTCTGTTCTTTGGAAGCAAGTCACTGAGGCTGCCTCCCATTCAGGGCAAGGGAGATTGGACTCCACCTTCAATGGGACGAGCCTCACAGAGTTGGTAGACCTGTTTTCATACTGGCATTTATAGATGTACATCCTTGTACACCCCTGTGAAAGCTTCTGGGGCTGGGACCCCTCATGGTGACTTGACGGGCCTTCATGATGGCCCTCTTTGACGCGACCACATGTTGCCAGCTTCCCCTCCTGAGTATTTGTTCCGTGGACGCCCACCAGCGTACTGAGCGTTCCCATTTCTTCACACCCTCTCCATCATTTGCTGTTAGGGATTTTGATTTTTTGCCCCTCTGGTGGGTGTGAAATAGGATCTTATTGTTTTAATTTGCCTGCCCACTGGCGAGGCCAGGCCCTGTGCTCCATCCTGGGGGTGGTGTTTTATTTCCTTTCCCAGCTGGGTGCCCTAAAGAAGACAGAAACGTCAAAGTGCTATTTTTTGGCTTATGATGTCAATTTTTCAGGATTGAAGTGGCGAGCGTCCCACAGAGTTTATTGCAAACTATTATGAAGGTCTTGGAGTTACTGTTGGTATGACTCATTTATGAAAAAAATATGATTTCAGTAACTGCAGGCTGTATTTGTAATGTGATAGATTTTCATTTAATCTCTCACCTCTCTATAATTTGCCCAATTTAAAAATGCCCTGAAGCTTGCTTTCTCTTTGTCTGGGAGCCCTGTTCTTGGTATGTGTTATTACAATAATAGTAATAAGAAATTGTGCCAATATGTGTCTCTCTTCCAGCTCTTGCTGTCTCCTTGGTCATTTAATTACTTCTGGTACTGATTTCCCCCAGCCTGATCTCCCCTGTTATAATAGCGTGTGCATGAAGCTTCTGTGGAGAATGCCACTGAGGATGGAAGCTGTCGGTGGTTGGCAGGCCCCAGTGTGGGCATACCTGGACCCACGGGCTGGCTGTGGGCTTCCTCCTTGGGCCACATAGCACCCAATTAGTCAGACACACCTTATTCCGATCGTACTGTGAGGTTGTAGAGGAAAGTCCCTTCAGATCCTGGCACAAAGGCTGGCATTGGGGAGTGTTTAGGAAACGTGTTGAACCAAATAATTCAAAATGTTCGGTTATTATAATTATCAAGGTAACCTGCTGACGTCACTCAAAAACATCTGGAAAATAGCCATGTCAGATCAAGAATTTTATGATGAATTTCCTCGAAAACGGAACTTTTGACTACTTTTAATTTAATCTGGTTCCATCTGAACACTCTGAACACTATTTGCAGCGTGCTGGAGAACATTATCTTCTCTGCTTCCCTCCTAAGGGGTGTTTGGATTCTTATCTGTGTTGAGAACCAGAGCCTGTGCTGCGGAAATGAGATCTTGTCTGTGCACTGAGTCAGCCCAGGTCTTTTGCAGGCACTCAGGAAGCAGCATCTACATCTTGAGGGGCTACTTTTCTGGATTGTGTGGGTGCAGCGTGTCCTGAAAACATCACTGGGCACTGCTGTCCATACCTTATGATGGGGCACGGGCCACTCCAGGAGTCTCAGGTGGCACAGCTGCCCAGGATGGGCTTGGTGCTGGTCCCAGGGAGGCAGATGACACGTGTTGCCCCTCAGAACAGTGGGGACAGCCAGGTGTGCCACAGGCCATCTCGCAGGGCCTCCCTGTACCAACCAGATTGGGTATAAACAAGGCATTCATTACCTGTTGTTTTAAGGGGAGGAAGGCACCACGGGCGAGGCCTCCCAGGCTGGCTGGGTGAGTGTTCCTGAGCCCAGGCACTTCGATGCCCACACTACTTCCAGGGAGCTGAGTTTCAGAGCCTGTGGCGTTTTCACACCATGTTCTAGGTGCCAGCAGAAGTCTAACAAGGAGCAGGGCATTAGCCTCTGTTTCCATGACAGACTGTTCACAGCCTCACAGTTTGCATCCCGTGTAAACAAACATCAGCACCTGTTATCCTAATTAAACCTCAGACCTTGTTTGCATGTTAAGAGTTAGCAGGACAATCCTTTGCTACTGGGGACCCGCCACTGACCCCAGGGCTTTCTTGTATCAAGAGGAACAAAATGGCATGAGATTGGGACCTGGGAGCAGGCCCCACACCAGGTGTGACATGCCTGTGCTCAGCCAAGGGGTTTAACTGCCTGTGGAGTCTGGGGCCCAGGGCCCTGCTGCCTGTCCAGTGTTTGCGTGGGAATGTCTTGGGCCTGGGGATGTAGAGCCCAGGTTCTGGGACCAGCCCTTCCTGCCCTGGTGTCTTGGTTTCCTAGAATCTTGGTGCGATTCGGTGGTTAGGCTGATCTCAGGGTTCCTTTCAGCAGCAGTGGCAGCCGTGACCACCTACTATGGACCAGCTTCTGCCAGGCACCTTGTAGTCTAGCAGAGTAAGTTTGATCATTCCATTCCACTGACAAGGAAACTCAGGCTCAACAAGGTGATGCCTTTCCCAGGACATGTGCTCCTGTTGCCCTGCCCCTCCTGGCATAATATCCCACTTCCTGCTTGGTGGCTCAGGCCTGTCAGTCACACAGCTCGTGGCTTCCCCATGAAGCATCTCTTGGGTCTGTCTGTTTCTCTCTTCATCCACACCTTCCTGGCCCAGGCTACCATCATATCTTGCCAAGACAAGTGCAGCAGCCTCAGAAATGTTCTCCCCTGCCTCCCCTTCATGCCCCCAGGCAGCCAGGATTTTTCTAAAAACTGTGCACCTGGGTGTGTCCCTTGCTGGCCCCATGGCCTGCAGGGCTCAGGATCAAGTTCCTCTTCCTTGATGTGGGTCCTGGGTCCTTGGAGGCTGGTTGTGTCAGCCCTTCTCCATCCTACCTCCCTTAATGTGCACATCCTGTCACCCCATGGGCCTAAGCTGTAACGGGGCAGGGCTGTCACTTGCACTGACTCATTCCAGTGCCCAGCACAGGGGTGGCACACACCCAGGAGTAGCTGTTGGGTGGATATACAAATGTTGCCATAGGTTGCAGAGCTAAAAATTAGGGAGGCTAGGATTTGGACCTACATTTGCTATATTCCAAAGCCCCTGCTCTTTCTACTCCTTCCCCTAGACTGTGAAATATGTTTGATGGGGAAAGATACCCGGGACAGAACCCGACTTTTGCACGTTACAGTAGAGGTCCCTGGCAGCCCAGCTCTCCTAAACATGAAGCTCATCAGGCAGCACCGTCGGACGCTGATGGTGGGGGCTGGGCCCTGTGCTGACACAGGCTCAGCAGGCTGTTAATGAGGTCCTGACAAGCTTTCGTTTTGAAGGAGTTCTCAAAAATGACAGGTTTTATTTCAAGGGTCTTTGTTAATCTAATAGTTTTCCCTGGCTGAAATTTGTGGACTGTTTACCAAAGCTCTGGCATGTGATGACCTAGGGACAGAATTAAAGCAATTTCAGCTTGGTTTCAGGCACAGATATGCAGCCAGGGAAATCACCTGGGGCAAGCTGACCCTCAACATGAGGCAAGGGGTATTCAGTGGGGCCAGGGCGAGACCCTGGGCCTTGCGAGGACGCCGTCCTGACATTTCCACCCCAAATGGGATTTGCATAAGCCCAAATGAGTGCAGGGTTATTCTCCGCACGCCGTCATCGTGAATATGCATTCCACAGCTTCACATGGGGTAGTTTAAAAAATTAATAGATATGTCCTTTATTTCTCTCTCTACAAGCCAAAGCTTGGAATTAATTTTTTCTGGCCCACTAACTCTTGTGGTTAAAAGTACAAATTAAGTTTTCTGGGAGAATCCATCACAAAATTATTGAAAAGTCAGTGTAGAGAAGATAATGGGCTCTGTATTGGGTTATGTCTGTAGGGTTATTGTTTTCTGCAATTACACTTTTCTTTGTTTTTCTTTTTTTGTGCTTTGGGAAATCAACCTGAGAATGGGCTTCCAACTCGGAAGAGTTATTGGCTACTTTTCCCAAATGGGATTGCCCTTCCAAAGAACTGTGGGCATCTGTTTGACAACAAGTTATAAATTTGTGTTCCAAGTTCTCTGAAGAAAGCATGAATCTTCGACAATGGCACTGTGGCACTGTATTTCAGGCAGGCGTGCAGAGCTGTCAAAAGTCAATAAAGTACTCAGACGCCTGCGTGCGCCCAGCCCACATTTGTCAAGTGTTCTCCGCGTATTTTGCGCAGGATTGGAAGGCGGATTAGAGCCGAGTTCTCCAGAGCTCTTCACTCTGCCCCTTCCCTGAGCCCCACAGCTATCCTAGAATGGGATCTGTTGGAGCCTCTGGAGCAAGTTTCCTGGTCCCAGAGTCCGGCTATCCATCTTTCCCATGGAAGAGGAAGACTGCTGCCCCCCAGCCCCACCCCATTTACTGAGAACCTGCTAGGTGCCAGGCATTGTGCAAGGCAACCGGGCACAGAGAAACAAAAGATACGCCCCTGCCCCAGCAATGCCGCCTGGTATGGGTGCTGCCCTGCCATTAGCTATCCCAGCCCTAGGAAACTGCCAGCTGGGGTCCAGTGTCTATTACTTGTGTGGTGGTTTCTCTAGTGGCAGCTAGTGAAATCTCAGGCAGAGGGGTTTCATACATGAGCTGATCACTCGGGGGCTTGCTTAAAACCCTTCAGCAACTCCCCCTTGGTCTCCAGATAAAAGCCCGGTCCATCAATGTGTCTTCCAAGGCCTTCTGGAACCTGTCCCTGCCACCTTGGGGCCCTCCTCCTCCTCCTCTCTGCTGCTCTGGCTATGTGGAGCCGTGCTGTCCTTCACCCTGCCTGGCCAGCCTTCACCTGTGCCTGTCCTCTGCCTGGGACATTCCTTCCTCCTACTCTCTTCTTCAGCTTCATCCTTCCTGACTTTGTGAGACAGCCCTTTTCCCACGAAGCCCTCCATGCCCCCCAGCTGCATTAGATGCATCCACCAGTGTGCTCCCACTGCCTCTCAGTCTCCTCTCTTGCAGCACTTATCTGTCCCGCTCCAAATGTATCCCGTTCACCATGGGGCAGGGGCCTGTGTGTCTTGCTCACTGCATTGTATCCCCAGCTTGATCACAGTCAGCAGGGTGCAGTAGGCACTTTGAAACATTTGCAAAGTGACACACGGTGCCTTGGAGGAAGGTGCCATCTCTGTGAGGCAAGAGTCCTGGTGCCGAGTAGGTGCGGGCCTTGGAGGCCACCAGTGTGCTAATGGCAGGTGTCCAGGCAGGAGCCGGGGGTGACGTGTGGGTGAAGGATGTGCTGTGGGGTCCCGTCATCACTTGCTTTATTAAGCTGGTTGTATCACTTGACATCTTTCACCACTGAAGGAAATAGAGCTTGTTTTAAGGTACAAATTCAGGGGTGTCTGGGCTGTGAGAGAAATAGCTTCTGGCAGGAGTGCTGGGTTGATGGGCACCTTTGCCACCACCCCACCCATTGCCCAGGCAGGGACAGGAGGCCAGAGCTGGGGAGGGGCTGGAGCCCTGGCCTCCTGGCTCTCAGTGGCTCTCAGTGTCAGGAGATGACTCCCTCTGCACCCCTGCTGTTTCTCCTGGTGATGTGGTGCTGGAGTGGGTTTCTCTGGCCAGGACAGCCAGTGGAGGCCTTGCAGCGACTGCCGTGCCCTCAGGCTGAGGCTCCTTCTACGAGGCTGGAAGCCTTTTCCTCCTGAGACCCTAACACGCTCCCTTTCCTTTCCTTTTTGAGGGAAGCCAGGTTCCCTGCAGCAGGGCCTCATCACAGTTCCCCCTGGAGCATTCACGCAAGGTCACTTTTCCCATCTGAGGAAACGTTTGTCGTGTGCTCCGACCGAAGCGTTGGCACTGACCCGTCTAGAATTCTGTGTGCGGAGTGGAGGTGAGATGCTGAGGCTGTGCCTCAGCCTATCTTGGGTCCCCCTCTGCCTACAGGCAGTGAGTGTGGCCTGGGAGGCAGGTGGCCCTGTGGGGTGACTGAGCTGGGCGTTGTCCTTTCCTCTTCCTGGTGTGTGTAGCGAGCCTGGTCAGAGCATGGCGTCTGGAGTCAGGCGGCCTGGCTACGGGTCTTGGGTCTGCCACTCACCAGCCTGGTGTGGGCAGCCATTTTAGCCTTTCTGGGCCTCAGCGTCCTCCTCTGTGGATGGGGGACAGTGCCTGAGCGCCGGGGGCTGCACATGGTGCCTGTCTCTCTGCGTTCTTAGTGGAGGTGGCCCCTGTGGTGGTCCCTGTTGATGCCGACCTGCTAGCCTGCTCCATGCTGTCCAGGAGAGTACTGGGGCCTTGCCAGCGGAGCCCCCTCTTCCCTGGTCTTATCCCTCGGAGGTGCTCTGCTGAGAGCTGCCCCTGTGAGGAGCCATTTCACTTCTTTCTTCAAGTGGATGTATTTTTGAACATTTGATACCTTCTTTCAAAAGTGCTGTACCTTCGCTTTTATTCTACTTTGAATGTAATTTAGTTGCACATTCATATTTAAAATCTCATATGAATTAATTTCATGAAATTGGTTTGTTTTTCTTCTTCCATTTCATGAAGCAATATCACTCAAGCTCCTCTTGCGTCTTTGGCACCAGAGGCGTCATCCCCCGAGCCACTCTGAGTCATCTAATATGGTTTCCCGAGCGTGTCAGCTTCACTTCACATAAGTCATTTCAGATCCTGCACTTATTGAATCAGTGCATACTGCTGTCACTGGGAAGTTTCCACTGTGCCGTAGATACTCGTTTGTAACATTTTAGAACATTTTCTTCCATTTGGCACTTTGTGTTTTGTCCCCCGGGTTTTGATCTAGGCTGCAGAACAGGACCTGTCCTGACTCCGTGCTCAAAGTGCTGAGTGACCCTGTGCTCCACTGAAGTTGCTCCATCCACCTTCTAGAACTCTGACGCCAGCTTGTCATCAGCTTCTCGTTTCCTTGGGAGATGGGGTGGTGCAGCAGAGGCCAGCCTGCCGTGGGGAGGTGGGCTGTGTGTGCTCCCATCCCTATGAGGCTAACAGGAGACTTACCTATAAGCAGGCATGCAGGACCTGGAGTGAAAGAAAGAGGAGAAGAAGTTGCCTCCTTGGGCCAAGGGGCTAAGGTGGCTCAGGATATGTCTGTTCATCTTATATCGGAGCCCACTGTTCATCTGCCCTGAGGCCTTTAATCACCAAGACCCCAGTGGCTGGGGGAAGGCCTAGGCAGTCCTATACATACAGCTTCTGAGAACGTCAGAAAATCAAGGATTCAACCCCATAATATAGGTGACACTGCTTGTCTTAGTCTGCTTGGACTGCCATAACAAAATACCCTAGACTGAGTGGCCCACACAATAGATAGTTTATATTCTCCCAGTTCTGTAGACTGGAAGTCCAAGGTCCAGGATCAGCCAGCAGCATTGGTGTCAGGTGTGGGCTTTCCCCTTGGGTTGCACACAGCCACCTTCTCCACTATGTGCACACATGGCCTTTCCTTGGTGTGTGCGTGCTGCTGGGGTGGGGCGGTGGGGGCAGGGAATTGGGGCAGGGAGAGAGAGGGCTCTTATGTCTCTTCCTGTAAAGATAGTAATCCTGTTGAATCAGGGCCTAACTTATATGACCTCATTTAGCCTTCCTTCCTTCCTTAGAAGTCCCATCTCCAAGTGCAGCCACCTGGGGAGTTAGGGCTTCAACATATGAATTTTGGGGAAGACACATCCATGACACCCCTAGTATGCTGCCTGACACATGGCAAGTGCTCAATGAATGTTTGTTATATTTGAATCTGAAAGGTTCCAGAAAGATGAGATGGACTTGGCCCCAGAGGCTCTAGGCAAATCTTGCAGACCAAGGGGGCCTGGTGTGTGTGTGTGTGTGTGTGTGTGTGTGTGTGTTCCCGGGAAGGCACATCCTAAGCTTGGCCTGCTGGCTCTGGCTGGTATGTTGGGTATAGACTGGAGATGAGCTCCACCTCTGCCCAGCCAGTCAGAGTCACCTCCGGACCTCCTGCTTCCTGATCTCCTCAGCCCTTTGGGGAAATGGAGGAATTGTGACATTTGCCCTAGGTGATGGGGTGCTGCTACTGGGGCCATATACCATGAAGCCGAAATTCCTAGTCTGTTTATTCATAATAATACCTTATAGCTGAGTAATGAAAGCTGCATGAGAGCAAGGAGAGTGTTTTATCATCAGCACGTCAGATGGCGCCTGGCACAAAGTAGGTGCTCACTCATTGGGTGTTGGATTTAATTAAAATAACGGCTAGTCTTGATGTGCAAAATGGCTTCATGTACTGATAACCTCGTACCTTATGCCAGGCAGGACTGTGGTCCCTGTTTGCAGATGAGGACACTGAGGCACAGTGGGAACCAGCGGCTGTTATAGGTGACCCAGTGAGGGAGGCTGCATCTCGATAGGCTGTGGGGAAGGGATGGTGGAGATGCAGGAAGCCCATGCTGACGTGCGGAGTGGGCCTGCACAGATGAGGCTTGCTTCGTGCTCCCCAGCCTGGCAACGTGGACATTTCTGGCTGTCGAGAAGGGGCCTAAGAGGTGCCCACTCCCCTCCTTGTGGGTCATTTCATCCACCAACTCCTGCGGTGCCAGAGGTGTCCTCTGGCCTCAGCCTGCAGGAATAAATCGCTGGTGAAGGGCTTCCTTCTGGCCTCATCGTTGGCTTCTATGTGGCCGGCCTTCAGTAGGTGTTTCCTGAGTGAGTCGATGGAAGGACACATTAACCACACTTACAGATTGAAATCAATGCCCTTTCTGCTCAGCTAGCTAATCTATCACTCTCTTTGGCCCCTGACATTTATTATGAAGTGTGTTCTTATTTTATTAGTATGGCTAATTAATGGATGACATTAAAATATTGACATGAATTGATTTGAGTATCTGTATCCTTGGAGCTTCAGTTAATAAAATAACTTTTGATAAGACTAGTGGTTTTAGAACATTGAGACTTAATTATATTTTCTAAAGGATTTCTCTAGAATCATATAACTGCTTGGCAAGGTACTTTAATTCCCTAGTTAACCGAAAGAAATTGGTTTTTCGTTTGATTTTGCTAAATACAAATTAAAAGTAATATACATTTGATAAAAGCAGTTAAAGGATTATTTATAAAAGCCTCCTTCTTTATATATTCGGAAATAATCCATAAGAACTGAATTAATATTGAGGATGATATGCAGAGAATATGACAGTTGGAGAGCCTGTTTGGCCTAGAGAAATATGCATGCATTTCTGTTGGTAATTTCTTTTTTTTTTTTTTTGAGACAGAGTCTTGCTCTGTTGCCCAGGCTGGAGTGCAATGGGACGATCTCTGCTCACTGCAACCTCCGACTCTGGGGTTCAAGTGATTCTCCTGCCTTAGCCTCCCAAGTAGCTGGGATTACAGGTGCCTGCCACCATGCCCAACTAATTTTTTTTTTTTTTGAGATGGAGTCTTGCTCTGTTGCCCAGGCTGGAGTGCAGTGGCATGATCTCGGCTCACTGCAACCTCTGCCTCCCAAGTTCAAGTGATTCTCTTGCCTCAGCCTCCCAAGTAGCTAGGATTACAGGTGCCCGCCACCAAGCCCAGCTAATTTTTGTATTTTTAGTAGAGATGGGGTTTCACCAGATTGATCAGGCTGGTCCCGAACTACTGACCTCAGGTGATCCACCCGCCTCAGCCTCCCAAAGTGCTGGGATTACAGGCGTGAGCCACCGCACCCAGCCTTGTTGGTAATTTCTTTTGCCATTCTTCCTCAAAGATGAGTGCCTTTCTTCCTTGGGTTTCTTCTGTGCAGTTGATGTGTTACACTTGTACATCCCAGTTTCAGCATCAGCAAGTTGTGAATTATGACAATGGTTGAAATAGGAGCACTAAGGAGAATTCAGGTGTTTCATTCTCATCTTACTTAGGTTAGGAAGTCTGCCAAAGCTAGCAATTTGAAAAGAAAGAAAATAAACAAAATGAAAGGAAAGGAAGATATCTTGCAGAAACACTCACTATAAAAATATAATAAGTCAATGGGTATTATCCCACTTGTAAGAGAGTCAACTCCTTTCATTCGTTATTTTTAGAAAGCTTACTGTCACGATGCCTGAATCTTCCAAAAATGTAGCATGCTGAAAGAGACCTTGCAAATAACTCCATCAAGTTCACTAGCCTACAAAAAATCCATCTTCTCACCTTTCTTCCCCTTTTAAAAAATGTTGATGTAATTTCAGGCTTACGGAAGAGTTGCAAGAACAGTATCAAGAATCCCCAGACACCCTTCACCCAGTTTCTCCAAATGTTAACATCATTTTATAACCCATTCCACATATATAAGCATGCATATATACATATTTTTTGGTACCATGTAAGAGTAAGACTGATAGTCCTTTACTCCCAAATATTTCAGTGTGTGTTTCCTAAAACAAGAAATTCTCTTATATAGTCACAGTGTAATCATCAACATCAGGAAAATAACATTGAAGCACTAGTCATGTGTTGCTTAACAATGGAGATATGTTCTGAGAAATGCGTTGTTAGACAGTGTTGTGGTGGGAACACCATATAGTGTACCTACATGAACCTAGATGGTACAGCCTACTACACACCCAGGCTATATGGTATAACCCATTGCTCCTAGGCTACACAGCTGTACAGCATGTGGCTGTGCTGAATACTGTAGGCAATTGGAACACAATGGGGCATTTGTGTATCTACACATATCTGAACTTAGAAGAGGTACAGTAAAAATACAGTCTAATCTTATGGGACCACTGCCGTGCATGTGGATCGTCATTGACTGAAATGTTGTTATGCAGCACATGACTGTATTATCTACTGTACATACCTTATTGATATTTTGTCAACTGTCCCAAAAATATCCTTTATAGCAAAAGAGAATTCATGGTCATGTGTTCCCTTCATCATTCTATCTCTTTAGTCTCCGTTAGTTTGAAACAGTTCCTCAGTTTCACAACACTCACATTTAGAGTACAAGCCAGTTATTTTATAGACCTTCAATGTAGGTCTGTCTAGTCTTTCCTTGTGATTAGGTTCAGGTGATGCCCTTTGGCAGGAGTGTTCCGGGTGATGCTGTGTTTCTCAGTGCTTCCTACCAGGAGGCACATGTTGGTTAGTCCTGTTGCTGGCAGTGTTAACTTTGATCACTTGGCTAAGATGCCAGGTTTCTTCAGTGTAGTTAATATTTTGCCTTTTGCAATTAAAAAATATAATATGGAGAGGCACTTTGAGACAACATAAGTATCCTGTTATTCCTCAACCTCTCATCAACTCGTTTTAGCATCCATCCATGATTCTTACCTG
Organism: Homo sapiens; assembly: GCF_000001405.40. NCBI lineage: Eukaryota > Metazoa > Chordata > Mammalia > Primates > Hominidae > Homo > Homo sapiens. The sequence goes on from NC_000014.9 coordinate 100,433,595, forward strand.
AGTCAGTCCCTATGATCACGCTTGTCACGTGGGGATTTCTCATCCTAACTAGAAAGAAGAGTTTTCATTCCCCCCCCATTAGTCTGTTTATTTTGTATCCATGTGGACTCATGGACTCCTAGTTTCTTAGTTTAACAGTAAGTTATAATAATACATTTTTATCATTTGATAAGAGAAATCTCTTCACGCTAGCTGCTGTCTCCATATTCTTTGAACATGACTTGACTTTTTGGCACAGCAAGATATTCTGGGCTCACTTATTCTTTTCCTGCCCCAGTCCTAGAATCAGCCATCTCCAAGGAGCTCTGGTTCCTTTTAGTGGAGAAAGGCATTTAGAAACCAAGATTTTGGCCAGGCATAGTGGCTCATGCCTGTAATCCCAGTGTTTTGGGAGGCTGAGGCAGGGGGGTCACGTGAGGCCGGGAGTTTGAGACCAGCCTGGGCAACATAGTGAAAAGCCGTTTCTACAAAAAAAAAAGAAAAGAAAAAAAAACCAGAGAGAGAAACCAAGATTTGGGATTTGGGTATTAGATGTGCTCATTGCTTCATTGCTACTGGGGGTCACTGCTTCTCAGAAGACAGATCTTGGCGATAGATGTCTGCCTATACATGCACACATGCCTCTATTCAGTTATTTCCAGGAGAACCTGTGAGTTTACACTGATGTCTCTAATCCTGATCTAGTGCTGTGGGGTTCATTCTGCCCTTTTCCATTTCCATATTTGTCACTCCCCCCTCCAACAGTGAAACCTGGCTTCCTGGTTTTCACAATGTATTTATGTATTTGCTCAATTCTAGAATGTCAGAAAGTAGTTTCAAAATTGCTAACTTCTGCAAAAAGAGGTCTAGTGATCAGAATTCAGTATTAGAGCTCTTTTCGACTTCAGACTGAGAGCATATAGTCCACATTTCAGGTGTTTCTTGGGTTTGTTCCCTGCTGCCCCCTTTCAGTGTGGTTATGTTATTCATTTGAAATACAATTTGGTTCCTTTGTTTCTCTTTGTATTCTATTTGAGAGATTTCCCCAATCTTAGGGATTTTCTCTTCCCTCCCTTTTGTGTGAACCACGGACATTTCCAAAAGGCAGGTCTGTACAAAAAGTTCTATTCAGAGAGGTGCTCCCCCTCCTTTCCACTCCAATCCCTTTTTCCTCTCTACCCAGCTCCCACCCTGCCCTGTAGGGAACCAGTCTCATTAGTCTGTGTTTTTTCCTTCTATGTTTCTTTTTGCTTTAATGAGTAGTTTCTTATTCCGCTCTTTTTCTTCATAAAAAGTAGAATATTCTGAATCCTCTTTCACAGTTTGCCGTTTCTCATTTAACTGTGCGCCTGAGCAGGCTACATTAGTCCTGAGGGGTCCCTGATCCTTCCTTCTGCTCCTGAGGGGTCTGTTGTGGTCTCCATTTTGGCTGTTATGTAGGTGCATGAGAACTGTGCAGTGTGCGTCTAGGTGCTAATGACAGCACAGCCCCCACCAGGCGTTGTGTCTTTTCCACCTGACTCTGGAAGAGTGGTAATGTGGGCAGAGGAGGAAACTGAGGCTCAAAGTAGTCCCATGACCACACGTCACACAGATGTGAGCTGGTCCTAGAGGTTGAGGCCAGACTGTCTGGTGCCAGAACTGAAACTTGTGAATGACGGGTGTACTTGCTCCTCCTGCTGGGGTTCATTGCATGCCTGAGATGCCAAGAGCAGGGCTCGCATCACCCTGGGTGCTAAGGAAAAAGGCCCCAGGGAGGGAAGGATAACCCAGGAGAAAGGAGGAGCTATTCCCCTTATAATTGCTTTCCTTATCATTCTTTTAAAATTTGTTGTGTGTACATGTTTTGTAATGAGTATAACACATCAATAGAATAGGGTTTATGTACTCAAAGTTGTGTGCTCAGAAAAATTTTTAAAAATGATAGTGATATGTGATCAAAAAAGTTTGGAGATCACGGAAAGAGAAGCTCACTCAGCTGTCTTGAAGTGGAGAGAGCCCTGGCCTGGCCTTAACATCCAGAGATGAGGGCTTGTGATCCCACCTGCTCCTGCTATGGGGGCAACAAGACATTCATTCACTCAATCATTCGTTCATTCATTCATTCATTCATTCAGTATGGCTGAGCGGTGAGGTTAACACAGTGAGCAGGAAGGTGCTGTCCTGACTTCAGAGAGCATCTGCAAGTCCAGATGGGGATCTTCATGGCTGGAAGGACAGTGAGGCCTGTCAGGGAAGGACACAGTGCTGTGGATCACCTAGGAGGGGCTTGTAAGTGAGGTTTGGGGGTTAGATGTGACTTCCAGGGAGAAGAGTGACGCCTAAGTGTGTATGAGAGTCCTCTGGTGTGAGGCTTGGAGAGGAGGGAGTGTAGCTGCTGGCCAGCACCGTGGAAGAGTTGACTCTGAGCAAATCATTAATCTTTTTGGGCCTTAATTGTCTTCTCTGTAATGGGGAAGGATAGTACCACTGGCCTCTCCAGCAAGTTCTTTGCATCTGCTGAGGCCAGATTCAGGTGTCAAATTCTCAGCTCTGCTGTTGACTAGCCATGTGTCTTTGGGATGTGTTATGTCTGGAGCTTTGCTAACAAAGCTTTCTCACCTTATCTCATTGAGTCCTCCCATCCAGCATTTTCCATATGAGTGCTTTGAGTTTCAGAGAAGTGAAGCGCTTATGGAGGGTCCCACAAGCAGTGGGAGCCGGGACGCAGGGCTGACTACTACACCTGGGCCCGCCTTTTCACCACAGACTGTGTGTGCTTGTCATACTTAGACTTTGCTTGTACTTGGGAAAGGAGTTCAGTTTGCTTTAATGTCACTTTAATGCTTTTTAGAATTCATTTCCTTTGTTTATTTTGCAGCGGTATAATTTGCAATGAAATAGTTTCACATTGAGCTTACATGTTTTGATGGCATCTTAATGTTGGCTCCATGGATTTGCAGCCAGATACTTTTGTCATTCTAACTTTCCTATATGATGGCACTATGTGGCAGTGTGGCCATGAACTATGGCCTGGGTTTCCCTTTAGGCCGGCCAGGTAGCCTCTGAGTCAGGTGTTCGGTGTCTCTTGGGTCGTGGAGGACTCTGCACACTGGGGACAAGTGTCCTGTGTGTCAGTCTCCTGTGTAGCTTGGTTTTACTTTGCCATGTCATTGGGTCCTTCCTGGGGTTGGGTTTCACCTAGGAACATCTGGCTGGGCATCATATGTGCAGAAGAGAGCGTCTCTTCGCTCTCGCCCCCTGAGCTGTGGAGGGTACATGCGCACCCCAGAAGCAAAAGCTCTGGCTCCCAGAGGGCCTTGGTTTGCTAGGTTGGCCCTGCTTTCAGTTGCTGTCCTTGTGCCACAGCATATGCTGAGCCATCTGTTCTGCCTTTTTGTTTTGGAAAATGTGGCACAACAGTTAGAGTCTTGCCTAGAAGAGCACTGAAGGCCTTTTAGCACTGGGGCTGTGCCTTAGCCATTTGGGTCCCTTCAGTGCTTGGTGAGGGGCTGGAGCTGGAGTAAGGGCCTGGTACTTGTGTGTTGAATGCTTGTATGCATGTTTGATTATTGTGGCTGAGGGCTCAGGAGAGTGGCAGGAAAGGAGGAGGTGGAGCCCAGAGCAGGGACTTCTTTCCAGGGCCCAACCCACACGTTGGTCTTGCTCCTGGAAGAGCACCTGCCTGTAGAAAGCAGGTCCCTTCTGCCCAGCCCCCCACGGCCCAGCCTTAGCCCCATCCTCTCCTCAAGAGACCCCACAGCTTGGCTTTAGCAAGACCCAGACCCATATCTGAGATTCCAGTCTGAGCCCGCTGAGTGTTGAGTCTCACTGTTTCAGCTCTTGGGTTTCAGTGCCCAAGAAGTGGTACTATAGTGGCATAAAAAAGCCACCCGAAGCTGGGCTCATACCTTAGCTTTGGCACTTACTAGCTGTGTGGCCTTGGGCAAGGTGGGTTGCTTAACTTCTGGCAGCCTTGATTTCCTTACTGTGAAGCAGAGACATACCTCTAAGCAGAGAGTGGTTGTAGGGATTTGGGATGACATGTGTCCAGCACCCAGACACTTGGGCATTGGTTGCCATTATTATTATTAGTATTATTACTAGTATTATTAGTATTAGTAGTATTACTGTTACTGCTACTGATGTTACTGTCACCACCACTGTTAACCCCCATTCTCTCCCTCTACCTCTCCAACCCTACGTTCACCCACAGCACTGGTGTTATACGCCCCCTTAGTGAAGAAGAGAAGACAGGAGCTGGCTCAGAGCATTTATCTGCCCAGCTGCTGTGAGCCCTGAGCTGACCACCAAGGATGCTAAGGGGTTCAAGGAGGACTGCACCTCCCTCTGTCCTTGCCTTCTCATCCTTTTTTCTCCTGACACACCATTGTTTTCGCAAAAGAAAGAAGTAGTTGGAGTCTGGGAAAGAAATCCCCAGGGCCCTGTTTCAGATGATTGTCCCATTTCTAAACTTGAGTTAATAAGAGTAAACAAAGTAGTAGGTAGATTTGCACAGGAGAATATTATTATTCTCATGATTATGTAAATATTTATCTGTTCTGGCTTTCTTATTTTGTTGCTGGTGTCTAATTTCCAAGTCTTGTAATGAAGTGTAATTTGGAGAAGATTTGCAAAGACAGGCACGTAGTGAAATAATTTGATTTGTTCAGTAAACTTGGTTTCAGTTATTCCTTTCCATGAGTTGTTTTAGAACCCCTTCAATTTCTTTGTGATTTGACAACAGCTTTCAGCCCAATGAAGATATGACTCTTAGGCATTGCCAGGAATTCAGAATTGGTTTATAATATTGTCGCTTAATAAGAAAATGCGTTCATTGGCAGGATATAAAATTTATGGGCTTCAAATGGATTTCTGTTTGTAGTTTTAGCCCTCTGTGCTCCTGCCATTCTCGAGGCTATGAGTAAGGTTTTTTAATTAAGTCAAATTGAATTGAATGAGCTTTTATTGAACGCCCACTCTGTGCCAGACACCAGCTCCTTAACCCTTGCACTGCCCTGTAGGTGGCTATGGGGAGCTGAGCCAGAGGAGGTTTTGCCCCATGCTCACGATCATTCAGCTGGCAAACCTGGGAGGTGGGATTTGAAGTTAGGTTTGATTCTCTGGCTTTTTCATCCAAAGCTGATTATAGGCAGACTTGATTAAGGAGAAGAGAGAGGTTGAGTGGCTTTCATGTTATTTCATTGAATCTTGTTTAGTCTTCTCAGCCACCCTGTGAGGTTCATTACATTTTCCCTATTGTATATCTGAGGAAAGTAAGGCTCAGAGAGGTACAGTGATATGCTCAGGGTCACACAGCTGGTAAGAGGCAGAGCTGGGATTTGAACTCAGAACTGCCTGGCTGCAAGGCCAGAGTTCCTTCTAGAACCCCTCTAGGGGTCTGCACTTCCTTTAGCACATGGCCAATTGACCACCTGCCCACAAAAAATGGCCTGGCCCTGGTGGCTAGGGCACCCTCCTGCAGATGGAGGCAAGGAGCAGTAGGGAGTGGGGCTGGGCATCAGTTGCCCAGGTACTTCCTAGCTCTATGCCCTGGGCAAGTGAAGTCCTCCTTTCTGACCCTCCCTGCACCCACTGGTGACTGGTGGCAGAATACCCTCCTGGGTTATTGTTAGGATCACAGACAACATGTGTGAGGCACCTGGCACTTGGTGGGCACTCAGGAAGTGAAGGACCCTGCCCTTTGGCATCTGTTGCTTGTCAGAATGCGTGGTGGATGGCTCTGGCCTCGGTGACGAAGCTGCTGTTGCTTCAGCCCCCGGACTCCTGTGCATCACAGAGCTGATTCAGTGCAGACAGGTGACTCATCTGATGGCATTTTGTGTGGCGTTGTGCAGTTCAGCCTGGTACAGCACGGCCCGCCCACAGCAGGTATTCAAGAGCCGTTAGTGTTTATGAAGGTGATAAAATTGCCTAGATGGAGGGAAGCCGTCAAAATAAGAGCCTTTGCCTGTCTTGTGAAAGTTAACTTGCAAACCTAATGCCTGTGGGGCTGCTGAAAAAGCGTCACCTGGATTTCTCCTTGGAGACAGAACTCTCTGGAAGGACAGCTGGGCAGCCCCTGCTTGCCATGTGGGGGTGGACGCTTTTTATGTGACAGTGAGTTGGAGAAACTAACAGTGGTCTTCAAGGCATTGTGCTCAGCTTAACTCTTTGAATTGCCATAGCTTTAAAATGAATACTAGAAACAGTTATATATTTTTCACACTCTCCATATTTTCTCCATTCAATATAATAAATGTTATCTTGAATGTTTGAGGGTTTTATAGCAAAAATTCCTCCCATTTGTAAAGCATGCTGCAGTGGATGGGAGTGAACTAGCTGGCAGCGCTCTCGTGTGACGTGGCAGAGGCTGAGGGAGTTGCCCAAACCCCACTTCCAGTTGGAGGAAGCCTGGGCCCTGACTTCCAGTGCATGTTCAGGTCCACTTGTCAAGGAAAGGATCCATTGTTAAGAAACAAACATGGGAAACTGTCATGTGAGCGTCCCTAAAAGCAGCATAGTCATTTTCGAGTCACTCTCTGATAAAGATAGAACACTTCATTTAGGCACATTTCAGGATTTCAGAACATTTGGAGTAGTCCTGGGGTGGAAAGCAGCGTTTTCCTTTTTCAATTTCAACCTGACTCCATTCCTCTCTTTATGTGTGTCAGTCATAGCAGGGGAGTGTTTTCCTCTTGGATGCGTTTGCACCTGGCAAATGAATGTGCAGGAATTCTTTGATTGCAAAATAGCTACTCTCAAAATGCAGACAGGCAGCCACAGTCAGGGAGCCCTTCGGCCACGGCAGCGGGGTGGCGCCAGACACCTGGCTTTGAGTCCCGTGGAGGCATGCCACTTAGTCTGTTCTGAGCGGCTGTTTACAGGCGGATAGAAAGGGCTGTAGGATGGGACCCTCAAGGTTTTGGGGCATGGGAGGGGCTGGCCGTCATGATTCAGCATGCTAGCTCTCTGGAGGCTGTGCTGAGCACTGAGGGACACTGGGAGAAAAACACAGGCTCCTGCTTTGTCCATGTGGAAGGAGCCCAGGCTGCCCTGGCTGCTATACGCATCCTTCCAGGCAACCTTCACCTTCTGGTCTATTTAGTCTCATTCCCTGTTTTTATTCCCTTCTTTTATTTAGGGAGAGCCAGAGCAGCAATTCTCAGGTCAGGATTATTTGGGAGATCCATATTACTTCTGATTATTTACGAAGGGACAGGCCGGGGGAGGTAACCACCTCGATAAATTCGTCAGCGAGGCAGCTGGAGGGATGTGTGACAAACATACCAGGCTGTCATTTGGCCAGAGATTGTCTGCACTGGGATTGTTCCCCCAGGATAGTCCTGATGACAAATGTAATTGACATTTTTTATTAACCCTGAAATGATTAAAGATGCTGCTGCTGAATTTGTGTCAAAGTACCCGGTCCCTGGCATTTTGAGAAAGGGATTCTCTGTGGAGCCAATAAACAGCCTGTGTTTTCTTCCTGTTCATCACTTTAATCAACTAAGACATACAGAGCCCTGTCTGGTTTGGTCTTGAAACTGGGCCAGGGAGATAAGACTCTGCTTCCTGGCTTAGGTTTCCAGAACACTCTGGTATGGACATCATGAGGGACACATAGGAGGCACTCTGTTCATTTACCACACAGTCATCAAACGTTTGCTGAGCTCCTTCTGTGTGCCAGGTCCTGTGTGTGATATTGGGCGCTGTCTCCTTGAAGGGTGGTCGCTGTAGAATGGGGGCTAGAAAGATGTTTATGGGGATGATTGTGAGAACTGAGCATTGTAGGGGAAGACTGGGCCACCCTCACTGCCTAGGGGGTGGGGTGGGGCAGGGAAGGCAGTGCAGGGGGTGGTTTGCGTCTTACAGGAAGGGAGTCTCCTCTCCAGACAGGTCTTACCTCTGGAGCTCTCCAGGCAGATGCTGGAAGTGGCAGTGCCCAGAGTGTGTGGGTCTTGGAGTGCCAGAGTGTGGGAACACAGAGGGGCAGCAGGGGAGGGTGGAAGACACACAGGAGAGCTTGGCTGGGGCCTGCAGATGGGCTGGGGGCCACATGGAGCGCAGGTGGACTTTGCTGCTTCCTAGCCTGCCTGCTGAGTTACTGAAGCTCTTGGTCTTGGTTTCCTTATCTGTGAAATGGGACAATCCTACTTTCGCTTCTGTCATAGGGCTGCTGCAGGATGAAATGACAGTAGGAGGAAAGCCCCTGATTGGTGCTTGGCATACAGAGCCTAGTCAACAAGCATCGGTTCCTTCCTAGATGCAGTCTCAGTAGCAGTGGCCAGGTATTGAGCACCTACTGCATGCCAAGCGCTGGGCTGAAGGCCTTGCACTGACTCTCTGTTAGGTATTTTTATTCCCATTTTATAGCTGAGAAACTTGTTAGAGGGTAAAGCAGTTGCTCAGGGTCACACATAGAGAGAGGCAGAGAGAAGATCTGACACCAGGCTGTTGCTCCCAAGGGCTTCCTTTCAGCAGTGCAGGGGCTGGGAGGTGCCAGGAGGAGCAGGAACATGGAGAGGGCCAGCTTTGACTGTGGCCAGAGCCATGCTTGAGCTCTTCTTTTGGAGGGATGGGCTTGGGTTGCAGAGGGTCTTACAGGGAGAGTGTGCTTATCACACTGCTCCTGGATGGACTGATGAATTGAACACTTCCTGAGCACCTGTTTTGTGGCTAGCCCTCTGCTGAGGGTGCACACATTCCCTCAGCCACAAAGCCAGTATTTAGTGAGCACCTACTGCATGCCATGTGGTCCACCAGGCCTTGGGTAGATGGTGGTGTACCAGAGGCAGGGGTCTTCACCCTGGGGGAGCTCCCAGGCTGGCAGGGAAAGAAGGAAAGAAAAAGATCACACATCTAGCATTGTGGATAAGCAACATTTCAGCACTGAAATAGTGGGTCTATGTTATTAACATTTTATATGCTAGGCTCTCCCACACAAAACCAGATCAGAACCCTCTCTCTTGCCCCTGAACTGCATAGGTTTCAAAGGTGATCTGTCCCCTTGTATCTCGACCTGTTGCTCAGGAACCATTCCCATCAGTTTAATTTCTTTTTCCTTTTAATCCTGTGGCTGGCAGGATGTTGCAGGGGCAGTAATTTAATAAAAGTATGCAGTTTGTAAAGCAGCTGCTATTCTGTGTACTAAGCACATTTGCCAACCTTTTCAGGGAAACCTCCAAGCTGTTCTTGGAACTTAGCGATATTGCAGGAAAAAAAACATTCTATTTAATAACATTTCATCCTTTGGGTTCTGCAGCTAATAGAAGCATAAATGGAGGCCATGTCTGAAAGCCATTTCTTTATGTGATTCAGAGAATCAGGACATAGCAATTACACAGTGTATGGGATTTATGGAAACATTCATGCCTAACAAGAAGAAAACAGCTCAGTAAGTTATTTAATTTGAAGTCACAGGCCCGCTGACTGGTTCCCCACCCAGACCTACCGCACTGCTCGGCAGGCCCCAGGCGCTCGCACACAGGTGCCCACTGCTCCCTGTCTCTCTGAGTCCTGCCCGGCTGCAGGTGGAAACCTGGGCCTGCTCTGTGGGGTGTGTTCACACCTTAGGCCAGGGCAAGGTGGAGCTGGGTTTGAATATTGCTCTTCTGACTCCAAGCCTGTCTTTCCTCACCACTGCATATAACAGCCTCATTAGGTTTGTAATACGTGGCAGCTGCATGATCTGCTGGGTAAGAGACACACATTTAGAAAAATTTATGTGCCACATGCTTTTCCTTTCTTTATTTCTCTTTCCCCTGAACTGAGATAAAAAGGAGAGTCACACACAAGCAGATGTCAGAATGACTGCCTTGCTTCGCCCCATCTACTGGAAAAGCCACCGACTGAATTCTTCCTAACACCGTTTCTGTTTATGGCAGATATAGGGTGGGGGTGGGGGGCAGGGCCCTCCATTCTCTGCTTTCCGTGCTAGCCGAAGCCTTAATTCAAAAACAAATTGAGTCCTTCAGCTGTCACTCGATTGTTCCCTCTGATTTTGGGGGATAAATATCATTGCTGCAGCCTCATGTCTCCTCTCTCTCCTTTTCCCCAAAGCTTTTCCCCTTTTATTTTCTCTCTCTGCCCAGAACTCAACATATCTCTGACAAAAGCATGCATTATTTAGAGCCTGTCGCCTCTTGAAGTTCTTTAATTACAGAATTAAACCAAAGTAATGACAGTTTAATTTGTTCTTTCATTAATTGGGAGCGCTCCGGGCTGATGTGAAATGAGCGCATTTGGAAGGCATGAGGAATATGTACTGAGTGATTGGAGCATGAGTAATAATAATTGCTGTCGTTTAGTGCCGGGCGCTGGCTAGGTGCTCCTCATGCATATTCTCTGTTAATGCTCCCTGCAACCTTGAGGAGGAGATACCACCTTCTCTGTTTTGCGGCTTAGGATCTTGAGGCTCAGAGAGGTGAACCAACAGCCACCTGTCAGCCAGAGGAAGAGCCAGGCCTAGACACCAGGAGCCCAGCCCCAGAGCCTTATCCTGTCCATAGCCCCACTTGGCCTTGAGACCAGCAGCTGTGGCCTCAGGATTCTGCAAGGGGTGGCCCACAGGAAGATGGGCACACCTGGCGGGGCATGCCTGAGAAGGACTAAGTTGTGTCTGGCTGAATTTGAGGCTGAGAGGAAACATTTGAACCCGTGAAAATGGAAGGAAATTGGCGGTCAGAGGGAGCTGAAGCCTCACTGGTGCTGATGGAAATTTTGCTACTTCGAAGGTAGCAGTTTGTCCTCCCGGGAGCCCTGCAGCCACTGAGGGGCATGCCTGCGAGTGCATCCGTGCCACTTAGTTGTGGGTCAGGGAGGCTGCTGCAGGGAACCGCAGGATGGACATCTCTAAAGCATATAGTGAAGGGTAGAATCCAGGTGTATGGGGCCCCGTCAGGCCTGCTGGTCCCCCTTACCCTAGCTAAGGCCCATGCCAGAGCTGCTACCTTTCCATGGACACGTCTGGGTCCAGGTGACTTCCTTCTTGCACTGGCCCCAGGCCCCAGGCCCCAGGCCCCACCGTACCTGGCAGATGAAGTGCCTCTGATGCCCCTCCGTGGCCTGCAGAAGTTCTGGGTTGGGCCTTTGGTTTCAGGCCCCTGGGACTATACAGAGGGTGGATGGTTGGTGCATTCACAGTACTAGTGGCTCATCTGGAGGGCTGTGTCTAGAAGGAGGCAGCGGCGAAACAGCTCATCGTCCTCCTCACGTCCTTAGGGACTTGAGCCTGGTGTGTACCGACACTGCGCTCTCTTGGCAGCAGGCAGTGAGGGACAGGAGAAGAACCAAAGTTGATAGTGCCTTCTGTGGCACCTTCTACTTCGTCACTTTAATTCCCTTTAAGCTTCCCCACCACTCTGGAAAGTGGGAAGATTAGCCCCGTTTTCTAGCTGTTGAAATGAAAGCTCAGAGACAATGGTCATTTACCCAGGCCACATGGATTGAAGGGGCAGAACAGAGTTAGGATTCAGGGGTGTCTGACCCTGAAGTCCCCCATGGAACTGGGCCTCTGTGTTCTTGCTGTCACCCCATATCCCCACCAGGCACCCTCTCACTCACTCTGTTCACATCTCCCAGCAACCTCAGAGTTTTACCCTATGAGTTCTCAGACAAAACTTTAGAATTTATTATCAATGCATTTCTCTGCAGCAAAGTCTGGATGAATTTAAGATTAGGGGATTCGGTTACACTTTATTACTGTTTGTCATTAAAAATCATGCAAATAAGCCATGGAATAAAGTAACTTGTGTTGTTTTGGACACCAGATTTACATGTTTACTGGAAGAAAAATGATGCTGAACTCCTTCAAGGTGGTAATAAAATTTTGCCTCAGAGCCTTAGCTTTGTTGGTCTTTTTCTATAATTTACTCCACAACTTCCAAAAAATATTTTAAACTAGTTTATCATAAAACTCACACCAAGGGTTTCAAAACATCCTTTTGTAAAGGTGAAAAGAAGACTGAGAAGCTGCATAGGCTGCAGGCTGGGAGTGGAGAAGGAAAGACCTGCTGCAGCCATGTGACTCAGGGGCCTGAGAGGTGAATCAAAGCCTCCTTGTTGCCAGGGCTGAGACGGGGACAGGATGGCTTCTAGGCTTCCTGTCTTTGGATTTTAGTAGGAAGTTTCCAGGCTTTTGTTCTGAAACCCCCAGGTTGCTTCATTTAGCTTCCGACCTCCCTGTAGGAGGAGGTGGGCACAGAACGTGTTTGGAAGCGTCTGGGAGAATAAGGACCAGGCTAGAAAGAACCTTTGTTCTACCCTGACTCAGGCATCGGCCATCCTTTCAGAGCCCATTTCCACCACAGTTGGAAGAAGTAGTTGGGGTTTAGAACCCTGTGATTCCAACCCATGCTGCCCCTCCAAGAAGACACGGGGCGAGGCCCGGCCATACCAGTGTTGAGGTAAAGGATCTGAGGCTGGCCATCCTGGTAGATGAAAAGAGGGTTCAACCCAGGATGACCCCAAGCCTTTGGGTTAACTGCTGAGTTTGGTGTTTGCCCCAGATATTATACCCCCTGACTGTTTCAGTGCTGTGCTCCACCTTCCTCCTGGCGTGGTGGGGAAGGGTAGCCATGAAGCTCAGTTGGAGTATAGAGGAGGAGCCTTCTGGCTTTGTGAGCTCCTGCCCCTGGGGTCCTGCGGTGGTGGTCACAAGTGACACAGAGCCATGACAAGTAGCATTGTTGATGTTGATGATCAGAATTAGTAAAAATGGGCTGGTCGTGGTGGCTCATGCCTGTAATCCTAGCACTTTGGGAGGCCAAGGCAGGTGGATCACTTGAGGTCAGGAGTTTGAGACCAGCCTGGCCCACATGGTTAGGCCATCTACTAAAAATACAAAAATTAGCCAGGCATGGTGGTGGGTGCCTGTAATCCCAGCTACTTGGGAGGCTGTGGCAGGAGAATCACTTGAACCTGGGAGGCAGAGGTTGCAGTGAGCTGAGATCATGCCACTGCACTCTAGCCTGGGTGACAGAGGAAGACTCCATCTCAAAAAAAAAAAAAAAAAAAAAGTAAAAATGTATAAATCACAACACATGGTAAGTAACACAATACCAATCATAATTCACTTCAAAAACAGCAGCTTGAAATTAATCAGCAGTTGTGTTGTTTCTTAGAAATATCAGAAGCCACACGCTGTGTCTGAAAGCTTGTGAGTAAGAATGAGGAGGAGTGACAGGCAGATCAGCCAACGATAGAGGGGCTTCTGTGATCTGGGCAGGTGTCGCTGGTCACTCCTGGCTCTGTGGGCGTGGTTATGTCCTAACCCTGTGAGTTCTTGCTGCTGTCAGCACCGCATGGATGCAGGGATTCCTGGCTGTTAGTTACATGGCCAAGCAGCTTCTGAAAATTATCGTCTGTGGCCACAGAAATCCTTGACTAAGTGCTACGGAGTCATCATTATTATCCCATCACATGATTCTTCTTAATCCTTTAGAATCACTTGTTAAACTTTAATAGGTAAGATAATTTCATGCTCATTGAAGTAATGTAATTATACAGACTAATTCAACGCTATTAGAAAATTTCTGGGCTCCATTTATAATAACAGCTAATGCATTCTAAGTACAGTTTGTTAGGGAACCTTGCATATTCAACCCAAAAGAACCCCAGGTTTGCGCGTGAGCTTGGATGCTGAGCAGTGTTGAGTGAACTGGAGCCTACTGGAAGCTGTTCCATTTGTCCTTAGGTGACTTTTTTAGAAGTGATTAGACTTGGGGATTGTTTCTCAGAAATGGACTGGAGACCCATAAATCTACAACGATTTTAATTTTGGACACCAACCTGGAGCCCACAAAGACAACTTCCCACGAGTTAGCAGCAGTGCTGGGCAGTAGGGGGGCACGTGTGCTGAGGCGTGGGCGTGCCAGCCTTGCAGTGGAGGAGGGGCTGCTCTTTGCCACGTGTCTGCAGCTCTCTTCCGGTCTCTGGCTTGAACAGACTGGGGAGCCTGAGGTCACATTTTACTTGTCTTTTGGGAGGGAGGTTGGGGTAATCTGGGGCAAGGGGCTCAGCCAGCTGCCACCCAGACTTGAGTGCTCTGTTTGGTGGCACCAGACATGGTGAGGTGGGTGGTATTGAGCAGGGTGGGGGAGGCAGCAAAAGCCAGGCCTACAGAATTACACTTCTGTGGCCTAATGATTTTCAAAAACCATTTGCGAGATTGAGGTAATGTATTTCCCAGACTTAAGCAATTTACTCCTTCCCACCGTGCTGAATCAGGCTGTTAAATCCTCTTGCTGTGTGCGTAGAGCTATTGGCACCAGGGAAAAATGGTCAAGTTCAAGGCCCCTGCCAAATCTGTGCTCTTTTCTTTGGAAAGTGATGAGTAACTGCACTTTAAAAAAAAATGGGCTGGGCGTGGTGGCTCACGCCTGTAATCCCAGCACTTTGGGAGGCCGAGGTGGGTGAATCACCTGAGGTCGGGAGTTCGAGACCAGCCTGACCAACATGGAGAAACCTTGTCTCTGCTGAAAATACAAAAAATTAGCCAGGCGTGGTGGCATTTGCCTGTAATCCCAGCTACTCTGGAGGCTGAGGCAGGAGAATCACTTGAACCAGGGAGGTGGAGGTTGTGGTGAGCCGAGATCGTGCCATTGCACTCCAGCCTGGAAAACGAGCAAAACTCCGTCTCAAAAAAAAAAAAAAAAAAAGAAGATTTTAGGAACATTGGAAAATGTTAAGTGAAGAAAGCAGGATGCCAGATTGTACATTCAGTAGGATCTCAGGAGAAACAATGTCTGCATAGAAAAATACTGTGGAAACTGCCAGCAGGTTGCAGGGCTTACCTGTGCTTGAGTGCAAGGATTAGATCCAGTGTCCCCTCTGTTCCTTTTCAGCATCTTACCCGTTGCCCAGGGTGGTGACACCTGGGCCCCAGGTGAGAAGCGCCCCAGAAAGAGAAGCACATGCATGCTGGCCGTGAGTCATGGGCCTGCTAACTTGCTTGTCCTGTAACCTTGGGCAACTTCCTTCCTACTGGGAGCCCTAGTCTCTTCATCTGTATAGTGGCCCAGTTACACTATCTCAGAGGAGTGAGGGTCACTGCCAGGACTCCGTCACCTGCGTAAACACCTGGCAATGTGGGCATGTGGCAGTCTAGATAAACCATAGCCTTGTGGTGGTGATGGGGTCATTATAAAAATGCATTGTTTCTTTCACAACCAGGAAAACATTACACATAAAAGAACAGGGCAATGACTGGAGGTGGAAAAACAACGCAGCCTACCTAGCTGCATGGAGACCTATGGGAACATCCACTGGACCTTAACTTGGCTTATGGGAGTCAGGAGGGCTTCCTGGCGGAAGGAGTGTCTCATGGGAGACAGGAGAGAAGAGTAGGAGCCAACCAGGTGGAGACAGAGGAATGTACTTCAAACAGAGAGAAGGCATATGTAAGGCTGGAGGTTCAAGGAACAGAGTGAGTTTGGGAAACGCACCTAGAAAGTGGCGTGCAAGGACGATCGTGATGGGAGATGAGGCTGGGCAGGTGAGTGGGGCCTCCGGAGTCAGCCACTGACTTTCCCACTGTAGCTGTTTACAACCCCCTAAGCCCTTGGGATGTGCTTGGCAAGATAAGGCCTTATGGCTAGAAGGCTCGGAGAGCATCCTTTACTGGGCTTCTGGATGGAATTTTTGGAGCAAAGGGTTAGTACTCATTTTTATGCAAATTGAGAAATCTTGATGAAAACGATCACTTCCATCCCAGCCCCATCAGGGAGGGCCAGGGAGAACCGTGGCTTCGATAATGGTATGGGCCTGTTGGAGCCTGGCTACAGGGCTGCCCCGGGAGGCCTCCTTTGGGAGCAGAGACAGCCTGGCACTGGCCTGTGGCGGTTGCCATGGCAGCAGGACATGAGCAACCTGACTTTCTGAGAGTGGTCACCTCTATTCCGGGGCCCTGCCCTGGCTGGCTGTTGCATTGGGGTGGGAGAGGCTGTCTCAGCTGGGTCTCTGGAAAAGCTGAGGTCAGGAGGCCTGTGCCCTGGGACATGGCTATGTATGACAGCCAGGACACTCTGCCTCCACCCAGACTGGGCCTTCAGAAGGAATTAAGTTGGAGGCCATTAAAACTAAATCAGGTGATGCTTCCAGGAGCCCCCACTCAGTAACTGCTGAGAGCATCCCTGAGTCCCTGCACGTGCATGAAGCAGACAGAGTGATTTTAACGCAGCTCCTTGTCCTGGCTTAGGTGACGCCTCCCCTCACTTGTAGAGGTGGCACCATCATGCGGTCATAGGATGAGACGTCCCAGGTTCTGGCTCTCCCTGCCTCTGCTATGGTGTGATCAGAAGGGGGCTGTCTCCTGCTGTTACGCCATGTGCCACGACACCCTGCCTTCTCCCCTGCTCCCCTTCTGCCTCACTCCCCTCTAATCCACCTGTAAGTCCCAGTGATTCTTCTCTAAACTGGGCATTCAGTGCGTCCACAGTCCGGCGGCCCAGGCCTGCTCTCTCCCCTCTGCGCACCCTCTTCACTTGTCTCCTTGTGTTATTCTGGCCTTTCCTATAGCAGCTGGTATGCTCTTTAAAAACAAAAATCTGCTTATCACTTTGCTCCAATGCTTAAAAAACCATCCATTTTACATGGAGGGAAAAATTCCAAACTTTTGCAAGTGTCTGCTGAGCCCTGGGTGACCTGCGTTTTGCCCACTCTTGTTGCTCTCCTCCTTCACATAGGGCTCCAGCCACACTGGCCGCCAGTCCCCCAGGCTGTGTGACTATGCCTTGCTCAGGCCCTCCCCACCTCACCCCTTCCTCTGGAGAAGCCTGCTGACCTCCCCAGTGGAAATCAAGGTGAATCTGTTCCACCTGCTATTGTCATCTCCTAGAGCCAGTTCTGTTCTTCACAGCACTGATCTGAGTGAGAAGAGCTGTTTGTTGCTTAATATCTTTCTCTTCCACTAGACTCTCATGAGCTATTTTGTTCTCTAGCAGTTCCAGCAGTGAGCAAATTTCTTGGCAGATAGCAGACTGGCATAAATATCTGTTGAACAAACCCAGCGAGTGAATGAGAGTCACTCAGTCACTCTAAGCCTCTCTTTGCCCATCTGTAAAATGGAGATGACAGTTTCCCTGACAACCTTGTGGGCTTGTGTGAGGGGCACATGAATGTGGAAAGTGATGCACAAAAATAAAGGTATAACATTATTACTACTCATTCTAACCAGGTCACAACCTCTTCTTCCCCGCAGTTATTGAGAGAGGGAGTATGTCTTAGGATAAGAGAGTAGGAGCAGTCCAGAGCCCCTCTTACTGTGTGCAGATTAAGCACACTGAGGAGGGAAGAGGCCTGTGGCTTGAGGAAAGATGTGACATGCAACCCCAAAAGCACTTCACAGTCCCTACAGGTGGGGCAGGTGTGAAAGAGCACCTAACAACGTCAAAGCAGCTCAGGCTTTAGACCTCGGGTTCCAGCTGTGCGGGTCCACAAGAGAGTGCTGAGAAATTACAGAGAATGGGAGGGAGCTGGGAGACTAGAGGTGCCCAAGTGGAAAACCCATTTTCCAAGAGTGAAAAAAGGTAGTTTTGGAAGCCCCATGTACCATAGTGACTGAGTCGGGGAGGGACGCTTATACTAGAGAAAGAGAAAATAGACGCCAGGCAGGCAGTAGAATTCATGGCCTTGCAGGATTAAAAGACAGACATGCTTGCCAGGAGCCAGCGTTCATTCGCCAAAGCATTCTTTTTTTTTTTTTTTTGAGACGAGGTCTCACTTTGTCACCCAGGCTGGAGTGCAGTGGTGCAATCATGGCTTACTGCAGCCTTGACTTCCTGGGCTCAGGTGATCCTCCCACCTCAGACACCCAAGTAGCTGGGTCTAGAGTTGTGTGCCACCGTAGTAGAGACAGGGTTTCTCCATGTTGCCCCAGGCTGGTCTCGAACTCCTGGGCTCAAACGATCTGCCCGCCTCAGCCACCCAAAGTGTTGGGATTACAGGCATCAGCCACCTTGCCTGGCTCATTCATTCTTACGTGAGCTGTTAGACTTATAGGATCTGTGTGTATTGAGGCCAGAGGCTGAGTGTGTCTTGATTTGGAAAGGTGCTGACATTCAGAGCCTCAGGCCTTTAGAGCCTTGGTGATTCCATCCCATCCTTGTTTTACAGAAGAGCAGGAACCAGCCTAAGGTTCTTGTGGTGCCAGAGAGGTTCAGACTGTTCTTGAGAAGGTAAGAGAGATAAAGAGGTCATACAGTCCAACTGGATGACCTATGGCTTGTTGAACAAGAGCACTCAACTCTGAGAATTAATTATTTACTCTCAGAATAGAGGAGGTCTCTCATGACTAAAGGATACTATACTTAGCATTCTTTTCCACAGCCTAATAATAAATAAATTGGGTAATGTTACAGAAGGGAGGTCCGCTTTCCAATCTGCTGATGACCCAAAGCTAGGATAGCCATTCTTTTGTCCACATGTTTGTCCATCTGTCCTTCTATCTGTCCATCATCCATCCAACTATCCATCCTCCATTAATCACCCATCCCTTCATCTCATTCATTTATCCATCTATTTCATTCCATTCATTCATCCATCCATCCGTCCATCATCCATTCATAACCCATCCCTCCATGCCATTCATTCATTCATCCATTCCGTTCTGTTCCATTCCATTCCTTCATGTATCCATGCATTCCATCCATCCATCCATCCATTTATTCTATCTATGCCGTCACTCACTCAAGAGACATTGGGCTTCTAGTATATGCTAGACTCTGTTCAAGACACTGGGGGATATAGAAGCGAACAAAACAGATAATGAAGAGATAGTGTCCTTACCCCCATGGAACTTACATTTTAGTGGGAGAAATAAACAACAAATAAGCAAATAAATAAATATGTTAGGAAGTAACATAAAGCTTTGAAGAAAAGTAGAGCTGGCTAAGATGAAGGGGAGTGATGAGAGCAGTGTTTAGATCGTGTGGTTCAGGGAACATCTCTCTGAGTAGAGACTTGAGGGAACCCAGCAGCTGGGTAGAGAAGAGCACCTGGACAGAGGAGTAGCAGGTGCCCAGGCCTTGAGGGGGAAGATGCTGGAGTGTGAGAGGCCAGGAGGCCAGTGCTGCTACAGTGGAGTCAGGGCAGGTGACACAAGATTTATTCCAGGTGTGATGGGAAGCCACTGGATAGTTTGTGGGGTGGGGGGCTATAACTCGACTCTGATGCAGAGGTCCAGTCTGGCTGCTGTGTGGCAGTAGATTGTAGGGCAAGAGTGGAAGCTGAGATACCAGTTTTTTGTTTTTTTCTAAAATGTTTTTACTGTGGTAAAATATACATAAAATGTACCATCTTAGACATTTTCAGCATACAGTTGAGTGGTATTAGATACATTCATAGTGTTGTGTGGCCATCACCACCATCCTCTCCATAATGCTTTCATCCTGTGAAACTTGAGACATCGGTTTTGAGGCTGTTGCAGTGGTGCTGGGGAGAGAGGATGGTGCTCAGAGGATGGAGCCACAGAGGCAAGGAGAAGTGGTTGGGTTGACAGAGCTGACGAGTGAGGGGGAAGGGCATAAAGGAGGACCTCAGCACTTTGGACCATCAAATTAGGAGACAGGGATTCAGTGGGGAACTCACCACGAGACAACCTAAAGGCTGGCAGTAGGAAGAGGGGTTAGTCTGGCTTTGCATTGTATTTCTCTGGAGTGCAGGACTAGGGCAGTGGGTTGGACCTTGAGGGGTATTGCAGGTGGGAGGTAGAAGAGCATTAGTGGTGCTGAAACCTGCACACTTTCGAGCCAGAGTGCCTTGGTCCAGGTGCCTGCCCCACCTCTCACAGTATGGCCTGGGACAGGCAACCTCTCTATGCTTCAGTTTCCTCATCTGTAAAACAGACCTAATTTTCTACTTCATAGGGCTGTGGAGAGGATTGAGTTAATTCGGTTAACTCAGTTCACTCAACTAACTCAATTGTAAAGTGCTGAAAAGCATGTGTGGCATGTAGTAACATGCTCAATACATGATTATTGCTACCTGGAGGCGGTCCCAGAATAATGCCCTGGATTATGATGCTTTCAAATGTCCCGGATATGAAGTTCCAGATTATGATGCTTTCAAAAGGTGCACTGGCTCCTCCTGAGACCATTGTACTCCCACCATTGGACAGGCTCTGCACCTGCTGGGGGACTGGGCAGGCTGTGGAGGGATCTTCCCACTCTGCGAAGTGGGTGTAGCTGATGGCCCCCAGAAGCCCCAGCCTCCAGCTCTCCACACTCTCTTCAGCCCCTTCTGTGATATGTCTCGCTCTTAATCCTTTTTGCTTTAAGAAAACTCTTCTTTGCCCTTTTACATCTTCTGTTGACATTTAAAATTCCTTCCCTTTGTTCTGACCTTATTGAATAGAGAGAATAATTTCTTGGAATTCTCTGTATAATGAATGTTCAGGTACTTACAGATGCTGATCGAGTTTCTCCTCAACCTTTCCTTCGAGAGACCTTGCATCATTTGGTGTAGAAACACTTTAGGAAGCACTTAGGAAGATGGTGTAAAATGAAAATGCTGCTGCTGTTCTTGCTGTTGCTGCAAATGTGAGCCCTTTGTAACCCAGATATCAGCTTGGGTACCCTGCCCTTAGAGATGCAAATGAAATTGGCTCAAACTCCCATACCATGTATCCTACAAACCCTGAAGTGTTCCCAGGTTCTCTGCAAATTTTTGTGAAGCTGGTGGTGGTGGTGTTCAGTGGCTCACCCACAGAATAAATACTCTGATCCCCTCACTCTCCTAAACATTCCTACCAGAAGGCTGGGTGTGGAGAAGATTTTGACTGAGGTAATGGGGTAATGGAGTATGTGTATGGCAGGTGTGAGGGTGGAGGTGAGGAGGTGGGGTGAAGTGTTACTTTTTAATTACTGCAAAACAGATGCTTAAAATTGAAAATTATGTTTGGCTTCCAGTAATGAAGCAGTAGTTCTGGCAGACTAACCCTCCCACAGCTAACAACTATAAACTGTACAACAGCAACAACAACAAAACTACCTGAAGGTATTGGAGAGCAAAAAAAAGCAGGCAGAGACTGGACAGACGTCTACCCTCCAAAGAAGGAAATGGTACTGGATGAGTTTCTGACTTTTATGATTTTGTCTGTTTGTTTTGCCTAAGCATAGGCTCCAGTCTGTGCCAGACAGGCTGCTAAAAATTTGTATAGAAAATCTGTAGTGTTACTGGCTTGAAGAACCAGAGGACAGAGTTTGGGGTAACCACAGCAGCTGGAAAGTGGCTATAAACTCTACCCAAATCTTTGAATGCAGACTCTAAGCAGCTCAACTAAGGCAAAGAGAACTGAATAGAAATTTCTGCTGCTGCACACCGCAAGGGAAACAGAGTTTGAAATTTGAGTAGAGCCAGGTTAGCTGCGTGTTTTTTTTTTTAAATCAATATTCTTCAGAGGAGCATAAAAGAATTTAGAGATAACATACATTTTGTAATGTTCAGTATTCCACCCAAAATTCCTAGATAAAGCAAGAAACAGGAAGAGGGGGCCTATATTCAAGAGAAAGGCCATCAAAGGAGCTTATTGCCAAGATGATCCCAATGTTGAAATTAGCAGACAAGTATTTTAAAACAGTTATTATAGATGTGCTGAAGGACACAAAGGAAAATATCCTCGCAACAAGTAAAACAACGGGGAATCTCAGTAGAGAAATAGAAGCTACAAGAAAAACAAGTGTTAAATTCTGGAACTGAAAAATACAGTATCTGAAATGAATAATTCACCATTTCGATTCCATAACAGAGGGAAATGACAGAGCCAGTGGACTTGGAGATAGATCAACAGAAAGTATTCAGCCTTAAAACAGAGAAAAATGATGGAGGAGAAGAAGGACAGATACTCAGAGAACTGTGGACAATATCAGAAAATCTATTATACAAGTAATTGAGCTCCAGAAGAGAGGAGGGAGAGAATGGGGAAGAAAAAAATATTTTCAATAAATAATATCAGGAAATGCCCCATATTTGGTGAGTTTCTTTTTTAAAAGAAAAAAAAAAATCCCAAACATGTAAATTGCAAACAGGACAAATACAAAGAAAACCACACCTAGGCATATGGTAGTCAAACCAAAGATGAAGAGAAAATCTTGAAAGCAGTCGGAGAAAAATGAGTGTCATGTGGAGGAGAATAATCATGTGAAAAACTACTCACTCTTCACCAGAAATAGTGGAGTCTAGAGACAATGGAATGGTATCTTTAAAGATAGAAAACTAAAAATGGTATCTTTAAAGTTCATACTTATAGTGAATGAGATCAGTTTGTAGATCACTGCTGGCCTTCTTGTTATCTATGACACAGTGGCTCACCCACAAAACAAATATTTGGGTCTCCTCACTCTCCTAAATATTCCTATCAGGAGGCTGGGTGTGGGGAAGATTTGACTGAAATGGAGTAATGGAGTATGTGTATGGCAGGTATGAGGTGGAGGTGAGGAGGTGGGGTATCTTTGATGGCATCTTTAAAGATAGGAAACTAGGAACATGTCAACTCATGATTCTGTATCCTTCAAGAATGAATGTGAAGCCAGGCATGGTGGTGCATGCCTGTAATCCCAGCTACTTGCGAGGATGAGGTGGGAGGATCACTTGAAGCCAGGAGTTCAAGACCAGTCTGGGCAATGTAGTGAGACCTTGTCTCAAAAAATTAGGTAGGCATGGTGACATGCACCTGTAGTCCCAGCCACTCAGGCTGAGACGGGAGGATTGCTTGAGCCCAGGAGTTCAAGGCTGCAGTGAGCTGTGATTGTGCCACCCAGGCTGGAGTACTCAGCCTCCTGAATTTACTGTGTCTAGTATCCAAATAAAGATTACAAAACATGCAAAGAAGTAAAAAAAATATGAACCATGATGAGAAGAAAAATCAGTCAATAGATACAGATCCAGAAATGGCACAGATGATACAATGAGTAGACAAGAACTGTTCAACCAACTATTATAAACATATTACATATGTGCAAAAAGGTAGAGACTAGCATGAGCTTATTAAGAAGAGACATGGGCGATACAAAAAAGATCCAAACTGGACTTCTAGAGATGAAACAAAGTCTTCAGTGAAAAACACAGTACATGGAATTAACAGCAGATCAGAAACTATAAAAGAGGTTAGCGAACTTGAAGTCATAGAAGCTATCCAAAGTGAAATACAGGGAACAAAAAGCTTGGGGGAAAAATGAACAGATCATCAGTGAGCTGTGGGACAACTTCAGGTTCACCCAATATATGTGAAAGTGGAGTCCTCAAAGAAGGGTAGAACAGAAAAAATATTTAAAGAAATAATGGCTGAAACTTTTCTAAATTTGATGAAAATCATAAACCCATAGATTCAAGAATCTCAGTGAACCCCTGGCACAGGAAACATGAAGAAAAAAGTTCACCAAGGTATATTATAATGAAGTTTCTTTTCTTTTCTTTTCTTTTTTTTTGAGACGGAGTCGCACTCTGTCTCCCAGGCTGAAATGCAGTGGTGTGATCTCGGGTCACTGCAACCTCCGCCTCCCAGATTCAAGCGAATCTTCTGCCTAAGCCCCCAGGTAGCTGGGATTACAGTTGCCTGTCACCACGCCTAGCTAATTTGTATTTTTAATAGAGACAGGGTTTCACCATATAGGCCAGGCTGGTCTCGAACCTCTGACCTCAAGTGATACACCCACCTTGGCCTCCCAAAGTGCTGGGATTACAGGCGTGAGCCACCGCACTTGGCCTGAAATTTCTTATAACTACTGTTAAGGGGAAAAAAACTTAAAAGTAACCAGAAGGGGGAACAAGGCACATTACATACAGAGGAGCAAAGACGAGAGTGACCTGAACTTCTCATTGGAAATACTGCCAGAAGACAGTGGAACACCGTTTGAAAGCACTGAAAGGAAAAGCCAAAACCAAAACCACTGTCAACCCCAAATTTAATATCCAGTGAAATATCTTTTAAAAAAGAAAGGCAGATTACTTTTTCAGGCATTTTAAAACCGAAGTGATTTCGCCGTCAGCAAACTTGCGCTATAAGACATGTTAATAAAGGGAGTCCTTGACACAGAAGGAAAATGATGCTAGAGAGAAATCTACATTTGCAGAGAGGAATAATGAGCACTAGAAATGGTAAATATGTGGGAAAATGTAAGATGTTTTTTGTTCTTATTTAAAAATCACTTTCAATGATGATTGACTGTTTAGAGTAAAAACATAATAATGTGCCGTTTGTAACATATGTAGATGTAAAATACACAATAACAATAGCACAAAGGCTAGGATGGAGGAGATTGTGTATATTATTGTTACAGTTCTCATAGGGGAAGTGATAATATTACTTGCAAGTAGTCTGTGATAAGCTAAAGATGTATGCTGTAAACCTTAAAGCAACTAGTAATAAAACAGATTTATGGTTATAAGTCTAACAATGGGAGATAAAATAACAAAAGATATTCAATGCAAAAGAAGGCAAAAAAATTAGGAAAGAGGGAACAAGGAACAGATGGGATAAAAACAAATAACAAGATTTAAACCCAAACCATATCAATTATGGATGAAATGGTCTACCCATCCCATTTGAAAGACAAAGATTGTTAGGTTGGATAAAAAGTCAAGACTCAGTGCCTATAAGAAACCCACTTTATAAAGACACAAAAAGTTAAATATAAAGGGATAGAAAAAGATATATCATACTAATAGTAATAAAAGAAAGCTGGAGTTAACATAGACAAGAGCAGATTTCAGAGCAAAGAATAGTACCAGGATAAAGAGACTCATAACAACAAGGGGGTCAGTTCATCAAAGGACATAACATTAGGTGTGTAATGTCAGCTGCTTAAACATTAGGTGCATAAATATTTATATAAATAATAAGCGAGCTCTAAAATACATGAAGCAATACTGACAGAAGCTGAATGGAGAAATAGTAAAATCCACAATTATAGTTGGAGATTTCAACACCCCGCTCTCAATAATCAATAGATCAAGTAGACAGAAAATCAGTTAAGATTTATAAGACTGGAACAACACTGTCACCCAATTTGGCTTAATTGACATTTATGGAACACTCCATGTAACAACAGCAGAATATACATTCTTTTCAATTGCCCATGGAATGTCCACCAAGAGAGACCATATAAAACAAGTCTCAGTGTATCTAAAAAGATTGGAATCATTCAAAGTATATTCTCTGACTACTATGGGATTAAATTAAAAATCAGTAACAAAAGTATCTGGACAATTTCTAAATATTTGGAAACTAACACACTTCTAAATAGCCCGTGGGTCAATGAAGAAACAGATAGAGACATTAGAAAGTATTTGGAATGGAATGCAAATGAAAACACAATATAAAAAATTTGTGCAGTGTTACTAGAAGAGTTCTCAGATAGTAATTTATAGCACTAAATATCTATATTAGTTGGGAAGAAATTTTCAAATCTGTGATCTCAGCTTCTACCTTAAGACACCAGAAAAAGAAAAGCAAATTCAACCCAAATAAGCCAATAAAAATAAGAGCAGAAATAACTGAAATAGCAAATAGAAAAATAGTAGAGGAAAATCAGTGAAACAAAAAGTTGGTTCTTTGAGACCAATGAAAGGTATATTTAGCCTGACTCATGGGAGATAACAGAGAAAAATTGCAAATTACTAATATTAGGAATGAGAGAAGTGACCTAATTATAGATACTGCAGACATTTGAAAGACACTAAGGTAATGTTATGACCACCTTTATGCCAATGAATTCTACAACTTAGATGATATGGAAGAGTTCCTTGAAAGACGCAAACAATAAAAGCTCATTCAAGAAGAAATAGATAACCCCCAAAGCCTCATGTTTATTTAAAAAATTGAATTCATGATTAAAAACCTTCCCACAAAGAAAACTCCAGTTGAATACTCGCTAGTGAATTGTACCACTTAAGAAATTATACCAATTTATCATGGGATGAATTGTACCTACCCCAACTCCAAATTTATATTTTGAAATCTTAACCCCCAGTGCCTCAAAAGGTAGCTTTATTTGGAGATGGGGTCATGACTGAGGTAATCAAGTCAAAATGAGGTCATTAGGGGTGCATCCTATCCAATTCTCCCTCTATGCATATCTATCTCCGAATCTCCCCTTTCTATAAGGGAGAAGCTATGTGAATACAAAGACAGCCATCTACAAGTCAAGGAGAGAGGTCTGGAACAGATTCTTCCTTCAGAGCCCTCAGAAGGAACCAACCCTGCCAACAGCTTGATTTCAGACTTCTAGCTTCTGGAACTGTGAGACAACAAAATTCTGTTGTTTAAGGCACTCAGTTTATGGTACTCTAGTCATGGCAGCCCTGGGAAATGGATATATATATATATCCGTATATGTGTGTGTGTGTATATATATATATATATATATATATATATATATATATATATATATACACATACACATACACACACATATACACACAAACTCTTCTAGAATAGCAAAGAAGGGGGACACTTCCCAACTCATTCTATGAGGCCATGATTACCCTGGTATCAAACCAAGAAAAGGACATCATAAGAGAAGAAAGCAAGAGACCAATATCTCTCATGAACATAGATACAAAATTTTTTTTTTTTTTTTTTGAGACGGAGTCTCGCTCTGTCGCCCAGGCTGGAGTGCAGTGGCGCGATCTCGGCTTACTGCAAGCTCCACCTCCTGGGTTCATGCCATTCTCCTGCCTCAGCCTCCTGAGTAACTGGGACTACAGGCGCCCGCCACCACGCCCTGCTAATTTTTTGTATTTTTAGTAGAGACGGGGTTTCACTGCGTTAGCCAGGATGGTCTTGATCTCCTGACCACATGATCCGCCTGCCTCGGCCTCCCAAAGTGCTGGGATTACAGGTGTGAGCCACCGCACCCGGCTGATACAAAATTTTTAAATAAAATTTTAGCAAATCAATCCAACTACATATATGTGCATATCATGACCAAGGAGGATTTGTCCCAGGAATGTAAGCTTGCCTTAACATTTGAAAATCAATGTAACTCAGCATTAATGACTGAACTATAATGTTAATGACTAATTATGAAAGAAAAACCATATGAACATTTCAATAGATGCTGAAAGAGCTTTTGACAATATCCAACATTCATTAGTGATTAAAAAAAAACAAACTTCCAGCAAACTAGAAATAGAAGAGAACTCCTTTAAACTGATAAGAGGCACCAAAAAAAAACATTAGCTCTAATGTCGTTCTTAACTGTGTAAGACTGACCACCTTCCCAGTGAGATCAGGAATAGGCAAGGGTGTCACGGAGAGTTATTTAGCATTCTACTGGAGATTGCCAGTGTGATAAGACAAGACAAGAAAAGGATCCAGATTGGAAAGGAGGAAGTAAAACTGCCTTTATGTGCAGATAACATGATCATCTATATGCAATTCCAGGCTGCGCACAGTGGCTCATGCTGTAATCCAGCCTTTGGGAAGCTGTAGCTGGAGGATCATTTGAGGCCAGGAGTTTGAGACCAGCTTGGGCAACATAGTGAGACCCCAGCTCTACAAAAATAAAAATAAAAACATTTAGAAGGGTGATGTGTGCCTGCAGTCCCAGCTCCTCGGAAGGCTGAGGTGGGAGGATTGCTTGAGCCCAGGAGTTCAAAGTTTTACAGTGAACTGTGATCGCACCACTTCACTCCAGCCTGGGTAACAGAGCGAGACCCTGACTTGGAAAGAAAAGAAAAGAAAAGAAAATTCCACTCTGTCTATTTTAAAAAGCTTCTAGTACTAAAAAGTGAGTTTAGTAAGGTTGCAGAATCCAAGGTCAATATCCAAAATTAATTGTATTTCTACATACGAGAAATCAACAATCTGAAAATAAAAGTTAAAAATACCATTTATATTATCAAACTATGAAATAATTAGAGATAAATTTGACAAAAGACATTCAAGATCTTTTCATTTAAAAAACCACAAACTGTTCCTTAGGGAAATTAAAGAAGACCTAAATAAATGGAGAGAGACATCCTGTTCATGGATTGGGAGACTCAATATTATTAAGGTGTTTCCCCAGATATTTTAGAATCAGTGCAACTCCAGCTGTAGAACACAAACATCATGAAGGGCTTCTCAAAGATTTGGCAAATGGGCTGATCCCATCCGTTTGGTAAAGGGTTAGGCACTGGTTGCACAGGCTTGTGCTGAACTGTGTGAGTTTGAGAATGGTCTCTAAAATTATTTTCTG
The DNA here is from genome assembly GCF_000001405.40 of Homo sapiens. Taxonomy (NCBI): domain Eukaryota; kingdom Metazoa; phylum Chordata; class Mammalia; order Primates; family Hominidae; genus Homo; species Homo sapiens. The sequence goes on from NC_000014.9 coordinate 100,461,731, forward strand.
GGGCAACAGGGACTGTCAAGAGGTGGGATGAGGCCAGGAGCCAGGCCTGACTAGGAGGGTCTCCGAGATAAGAGTGAGTAGGATAGGGCCACGAGGGAGGCGAAGGCTTACCCAGAAGTTTGACAGCCAGGTGATGGGGTTATGGATGACTCTTATTTTCGTTGTATTTTTCTGTTTTTTTTTGTTTGTTTTGTTTGTTTTTTTTTTTGGGCAGAGCACACATATTTCCAATGAAATCAGAGAAACAACAATCCTATAGCTGTTTCCTTTGGGATTTTGTTTTTGCACTTCTGTATAGTTTGAATAATTTACAAGAAGACTGTATTTTTTGTAACCAAAAACGAAAGGCAGGCAGGCAGAAAGAACATGACCTGTGGCTAGATCAATACTTGTTCAATCTTTGGAGACTGTGAGGAACTCCTGGTGGGGCCATGTCTTGGTAACGAGGACACAGAAACTGTGGTAAATATGGCACCGACAAGTGACTGCACCATATTTTACTTGTCATATTCTTTTCAAATCTGTTACTTTTGTCGGACACAAAGAATGTCTCTAGTTAATACATGAAATCATCTTGGAACATTTGACAGAAGATTTAACTCCTTAATTCTATGAAGGCAGTTTGGGATCTCTAATTACTTAATTGAAAAAAGCACGCACTTCAGTCTGCTGCAATGTTGGGGAATTAATCTTTAAAACCTGACAGTGAACATTAAATTCAATTAAGGAGACCAATTGGCAAAGATTCTTCCCTCCTTCACCCTGGATAGCTTTGAGAGGTAGCTGACTGGTCTGCATTGATTCAGATGCTGTCGTTGTCTGTGCATCTACTAGGAGAGCCAAGTGTGCGTTTTTCACTTCAGGGGGAGCTTGTCAGACGATTTACAGATTGATGGATCTCCTTACATGTTTCCGTGGCTGATTTGGGAGTTCCCCTGGACAAGAATTCAAACATTCCAGTTTGCTGCTTTTGGCCTTGGACTTCATAGAGTTCAAGTTTTTTGTAATTTCTTCTTTCTTGCATGAGACCACTATGTTGCCCAAGCTGGTTCTTCCTCCTCCCTCCGTCCTCTCCTCCTCTCCATCCTCTCTTCCCCTCCCTTCTCTTCTCTTCTTCCCCCTTCCTCTCTGCACCCCCCTTCCTTTTTCCCTTCTCTTTCCCTCTCCCCGCTTCCTCTCCCCCGCTCCTTCCTTTTTCCCTTCTCCCCTTCTCTTCTCTCCCCCTTCCTCTCCCCCTTGCTCCTTCCTTTTTCCCTTCTCCCCTTCTCTTCTCTCCCCCTTCCTCTCCCCCTTGCTCCTTCCTTTTTCCCTTCTCTTCTTCTTTCACCCCTTCCTCTCCCCCTGCTCCTTCCTTCCTTTTTCCCTTCTCTTTTCCTCCCTTTCCGTTTCCCATCCTGTGTTTCTTTTTTCTCTCCTCTCCCCAATTCCTCCATCACTCCTTCTCTCCCTTCCTTTTTTCTTCTGCTCCTCCTCCTCTCCGTCTTGGTTAATTTAACTTTTTATTTTAAATATGAAATGTTTTAAACATACTCAAAATTATAGAAGGTAACAGATACCTATACACCTGTCACTGAGATTGTCAAATCCCCAGGTGTGTCTGTTCTCATTCTCAGCGGACCCACCCATCAGCATTTGACATGGTGACCAGCCTCTTTGTCAAAACACTCTCTTCTCTACGCTTCCAGGACTTTCCTCTTCTGTTTTTTTCCCACACTTCACTGGCCTCTTCTTAGACTCCTTTCTGGTTTCTCTCTCTCCTCCCCTGGTTCCCAGCCTGTGAAACTTGGAGGCCTGGGGCTGAGATGTGGGACTCCTCTCTGTCCTGTCTGCACTTGCTCCCTAGGAGAGCTCATCCAGCTCAAGGCTGCGGCACAATTTCCACAATGGCATCCACAGCTCAGCCTCTACCCTGGGCCTCTCTTTTGAACATCACACTGGTACGGGAATGAGTCTTTATACTGTCTGCTGTCTGTCATTCAAAACTGAGCTCCAGGTCCTCCTTCCCTCAAACTTACCCCTTCTGCAGGCTGACCCATCCCTGCAACTCCACCCCTTTCAGTGCTTGGGCCAGGAACTGCGAATGTGTCCTGGGCTTTTCCCTTGCCCTCATATCCTACCTCCAGTCCAGGGAAGTCCTGTTGGTTCTACCCTCCAAGGCAGGCCACTTCTCTACTGCCTCCCACTGTTCCAAGCCATTTCCTCTCTCCCTGGATTCTTGCAGAAGCCTCCTGATTGTCTTCCTTCATCTCTCTTGCCCTTCATTCTCCTCCCTGCATGGCAGCTGGAGTGGTCCTACTGCAGTGGAACCAGCCCTCATTCCCCTCCGTTCCACCTGCAGAACCCTGGGATGCCCCAACGGCTTGTGGTTTTCCGACTTCATCCCTTTCTTACCACCTCCCTGCCAACCCCCAGCCTTGCTCACTTCTCTAGCTGCAGTGGCCCTTCTTGCTGTTGCTTGACCATGCCAGGCATACTCCTGTCACTGCCTGGAAGCTTCTTCCCTCAATTTCTACATAGCTGGCTTTCTCACCCCTTCAGGACTTCCTCCAAAGTCACCTCCTCAGAGAGGTCCTCCCTGGCCACCATTTCAGCCCCTTCCCTTGACCTTATAGAGCCCTTTCCTGGTTACTTTTTAATACTTCAGTCTTCACCACTGCCTTAAGGACTGTGGATTTTTATTTGTTCAGTGTCTGTCTCCCTCACTAGAATATAAACTCTTTGAAGGCAGAGATTTTTGTCTTATTTGTTTCCTGTTACACAATGCCTGGCTAATAGCAGGTCCTCAGGAAATCTTTGTTGAATGAATGAATAAATGAATGAGTTTCAGAGGAAACATTTGGGCATGTTTTCTTCGGAGAGCATTTTCCATCTCTCCCTCTCCTCATCTCCCACACCCCATCGCATCAACCCAGTGCATTTCATCTCCCCCACCCCATCTCATCTCCCCTACCTCATCTCCCCTCCCCATCTCATCCTCCCCTACCCCATCTCATCTCCCCTACTCCATCTCATCTCATCTCATCTCATCTCATCTCATCTCATCTCATCTCATCTCATCTCATCTCATCTCATCTTCTTTTACCCCATCTGCTCTCCCCTATGCCATCTACTCTTTCCTACCCCATCTACTCTCCCCTACCCCATCTCATCTCCTTTACCTCATTTCATCTCCTCTACCCGATCTGCTCTCCTCTACCCCATCTCAAGTCCCCTACTCCATCTCCTCTCCCCTACCCCATCTCATCTCCCCTGCCTTATCTACTCTCCCCTACATGTTCCACCCTCTCTTTGGAAGAGCTGCTGCTTAGTGTTCATAGCTTTTCCCTCTAGCCCTGCCCCTTTCCCTCCCTTCCTAGGAGTGATGGCCCTCCTCATGCATGTTTTTATAGCCTGGCTACAAATTCACGTATAAATGAGATCTGCTTTTTTTTTTCTTTGTGTGTGTGTGTGTATTTTTAAAAACTGTGGCAGAATAATACACAGCATAAAATTGACCATCTTCACCGCTATTAAGCATACAGGTCAGTGGCATTAAGCACATTCACAGTGTTGTGCAGTCTGCACCCCATCTGTCTGCAGAACTCTTTATCTTGGAAAACTGAAACTCTGTCCCCATTAAACAACTCCCCATTCCCCCTCCCCCAGCCCTGGCCACCACCATTCTACTTTCTATCTATCTCTATGATTTTGACTACTCTGGGTACCTCATATAAGTGCAGTTATATAGTATTTGTCCTTATGTGTCTGGCTTATTTTACTTAGCATAATATCTTCAAGTTTCATCCATGTTGTAGCAAGTGCCAAGATTTCTTTCCATTCTAAGGCTGAATACTATTCCACTGTATGGATAGAACACATTTTTACAATTCATTCATCCATCCATAGACACTTGGATTACTCCCCTCTTTTGGCTATTATTAATAATGCTGCTATGAACATGGATGTACAGTATCTTTTTGAGACCCTGGTTTCAGCTTTTTGGGCATTTACCCAGAAGTGGAATGGCTGGATCATGTCATAATTCTACATTTAATTTTTTGAGGAACCATCATGCTGTTTTTCACAGTGGCTGCACCATTTGACATGCCCACCAGCAGTGGACAAGGGTTCCAGTTTTTCCACATCCTTGTCAATGCTTGTTATTTTCTGTTTTTTGATAGCAGCCATCCTAATGGGTACAAGGTGGTGTTTCATGTAAAAACTTAAATGGCATTGTACTTCGTATATGCAGCTTGACTTATGTACTTAATATTAACTTTTTTACCATTTAACCATGTAAGCCCTGTAGATCTCGTTTATTTTACTATTTAAATAAAATTAAACTCATATTCATACATATTTTTGGAAAACAGCAGTTCCCTGTGCCCCATCTCCCTCCCGTGAATTCTTATTCCACTTTGAAGTCTTCTGGCTGTGTCTTCTGGCTGTGTCGTGTTTCTAAATGTAAATACTGCTGTTTCTTGATTTTTTCAGTTTGAGACCCCAGCTATTGACCCTTAGTGAGGAAGAAAGGAACTGAGCTCTCTTCACATTTTTTGAAGGCTACTCTTGACCTTTTGTTTTCTTAAGTGTAGACATTTACATAATCCCAGGAAACAAGGTTTCAGAGCTCTGATCCTTTGCATTCTGAGAACATTCGGGACTTGGCAGGTTGAATTTTCTTGTCTTTAATGAGAAGGTTATCCCTGGGATCAGGTTGGTAGAAGTGCATGGGTGTACTTTGTTTGGGTTTTTCTCTTATTAAAGAAAATGAAGCTTGGTTTTCCTAATGGAACAGGTCTGGAATCCACATCCAGTTGTGTGCCAGCCATTATGCCATGTGCTGTGCAGCCATTACCTCCTCAGCCTTCACCACTGCCCTCGGGGTGGCGCTCTTCTTATTCCCACTTCAGGGAGGAGAGGACTGAGGCCCAGAGAGGCAAAGCCACTCAGCCAAGGCCCGAGGCCTGCCAGCAGCCGTATCAGGTGGGAGGCACTCCGTTCTGACTCCCACACGCTGGCTGCAAGTGCTCCTCTGCTTCTCGGGTTCAGCCTCTGAGCCACCTGGGTGGTAGGTGAGAGCACTGCCCTCATCCTGCAGTGACAAGAAGGTAGGGGACTAGCACTGCTGAGTACCTCTGTGTGTCAGGCCCTGGGCCTACCCTGACATATTCCAAACTCTCCGGCAGTTCCCCTGGGCTGCACGGTGTGTTTGGCGGCATTTGCTGGGAGAGCTGGTGGAAAGCTAAGCTCAGGGGCTCTCACGTGGTGTGGCCCTGGCTCTGGGAATGTGCAGTTTTATACTTGATATCTTAGATCATTTTTCAGAAGTCATTGAGTGTAACAGGGTTTTCTCTCATGAGCCTCATACCCTCATGAAAGGCCAGCATGGGAAGGAGGGAAAGCACCTTCTCTCCTCCAACAAAAGGACAGCTGCCCCTACGGCAGATATTTGTACTTTGACTGGTTGTAAATACGAGTGTAGCACATTCCTTTTTGGATCTCTGTCTTACAGCAGAACCCATGAAAATAGCCTGGACTTGGGCAGTGTCCATGGCAGGACAGATGCCAGGGATGCAGGCGAGCCTGGGATAAGATGCCAGGGATGCAGGCGAGCCTGGGATAAGATGCCAGGGATGCAGGCGAGCCTGGGATAAGATGCCAGGGACGCAGGTGAGCCTGGGATAGGGTTGTGAATGCTGAGGGTGCAGGACTCCCACCCGGCTGCAGGGATGAAACAGGTGTGAAGGGCTGGGTAGGTGACCGGCAGACACAGGAATGCGTTTTCTTTTTTCTTTTATTTTGAGACAGTCTCGCTGTGTCACCCAGGTTGGAGGGCAGTGGTGCAATCGTGATTCACTGCAACCTCTGCCTCCTGGGCTCAAACAATTCTCCTGCCTCAGCCTCCTGAGTAGTTGGGACTAGAGGCATGTGTCACTATGCCCAACTAATTTTATGTAGAGAAAAGGTTTCACCATGTTGCCTGGGCTGGTCTTGAACTCCTGAGCTCAAATAGTCTGCCCACCTTGGCCTCCCAAAGTGCTGGGACTACAGATGTGAGCTGCCATACCCGTCCAGAATGCAGTTTTCTTAACCCCAGAAAAAATTTGGGGAAATGATCCTCCCAACTTACCAATCCCAAGCCTTTACATTTCTGCAATGAAAAGTTTAACATCTAGATATAGATTTGATGGTAAAATAATGAGAATCTAATTCCACCGAGACCTTTTTCTTTCTACAGTGGGGTCGAGCTGAGCCCTGGAGATCAGGCCCTTGTTGTGACACCTGGTGCTGTCTGTGTTTGCCTGCAGGTATGGAACGCCGTGGACTCCGGGCACTGCCTGCAGACCTACTCCCTGCACACAGAGGCAGTGCGGGCCGCCCGGTGGGCTCCCTGTGGCCGGCGCATCCTCAGTGGTGGCTTTGACTTCGCGCTGCACCTAACAGACCTTGAAACAGGTGCGTTTCTTGTGTCACCTCCCTGAGGTGAGCTGGCAGCTCTCTCCCTGGGGAAGGTTCTCTGGTGGGCACGCAGCCACAAGCTGTATACGCTTGCGTGGCAGAGGGAGAGGGGCCTCAGGGTGGGCTCGTGCTCGGTGAGAGGGCTTCCAGACTGCTTGCCCATTGGAACTGCGACTCCCCACAGAGGATGGGCCTCTGCCAGCCAACACAGAGGACAGAGCCCCAAGGTTGTCTCAGCCTCAAGCCATGGGGCTGGATAAAGAGGTGGCTTTTTAATCTACTTCTGACATGCAATTTGTGCTGAAATAGATTTAACTTTATCATTGTGTCCTTTGGTTGGAATCAGGTTAGAATTCCTGTCAATTCATTATCGTTGAAAGTCTGTGAGAAATGATTCCAGCTCATAAGGAAAGTCTTCAAACGAGTTCTGCTTTAATGCCCACACTGAAAAGGCACTTGGGTAGGATGGATTCGTGCCGGGTAAATCCTGAGAGGGCTCTTGACAAGCAGGGCGAGAAGGAGAGAGAAGTCAGTGGAAGGAACTTTCCTTACTCAGCGCTCCTGTGCAACAGGCACTGTCAATACCCACCGCAGCCACAGCCCCCAGGTGGGCTCTCTCCGGGGTTTACAGTGAGGACTGCCAGGGAGTGACAGAGCTGGGATTCGCACCTCTGCCATCTGCCTCCCAGTCCGAGCTCCTTCCTCTCTTTCTCCTTTCCCCTCCCCTCCCCTTTTCTTTCCTTTCCTTTCCCTCTATGTTCTCTTTCTTTTCTTTCTTTCCTTTTTAAAAATGTTTTATCCCCCTCCATGAGCAGGATCCAGCTTCTTTCAGCACCACACTACCTCCTCCCCAGAGCTCCTCGGTCTCATTTCTGCTGGGCTCCACTGCCAGGAGCCCAGGGAGAGGCCAGACTTCACACCAGTCCCTGGGGCTCCCCTTGAACCCTCAGGCCAGCATCTTGCCTGCCTAGCCCCGCAGTGGTGGTGGCTCTGGGCCCTGCCTCTCCTAGGGTCTGGCAAGAAGGAGATGATAACTTGCTGGTCCAACCCCTGCCACTCATGCCCAGCAGCCCCCAGGAGACGCAGAGGGAAAATGGAGAAGGTGGTTTGTTTCCACCTTGAGTGTGGGCGGCCTTGCAGCTCCTTGCATGCTCAGTAGGGGAGGGGACAGTACTAATGGTCACAGGGCCCCTGCCACGTGCTATAGGCTTTGCACACAGCATGTCTAATCCTCACTGCAGCTGCCAGCAGTGATTATTTCCATTTTAAAGGAGAGGAAACTGAGGCTCAGAGGGGCAAAGCAGCTTGCTCAGTGCCTCCCAGTGGTGCATAGCCAGCAGGGATTTGAAGCCATGTCTGTACAACTACAGATTCTGTGCCCTTCCCACCGTGCCGTGTGTGGCAGTTTCTTCTCACAAAGCACTTCCCTGGTCTTACTGATTCTCTTAACCCCTTGCAGAGTGGCCAGACTCAGGGAGTTTGATGCCACTTGATGATGGTGATGACTGGGCTGATGATGGCAGCACTTACTACTGAGCACTGTGTGCTGGGCATTCTTCCACAGCCTCTATACAGCATCTTATTTAGGCCCCACTCACCCTTTGAGACAGGCGCCATCAGAATCAGCTGTACACACACTGGCCAGGGGCACAAACCAGCAAGTGACAGAGCCAGGATGCACGCAGGTCTGCTAGGCCCCAAAGCCTGCTGCCTGACTGTTACACTCTGTTGTCTGCATGTCCCATAAGATATGCTTGATAGGCGAGACAGAGCTGAACAAGACCCAGTGCCTACCCTGGAGAAGCTCCTGTCTGCTGGAGAAGACAGAAGTGCAGAGTCAATCCCAAATTGCAGTGATGGAGAAAGACACAGGAATTGCAAGAACATCTAGATTGGAAAATCAAGGAAGACTTCCTGGAGGAAGTGAAACCTGAGCTGAGCCACAGATTAGGTGGACAGAGAATTAGGATGGAGGAGGTATGGTTGATGAGGAGGAAAGTAGGTTCTTGCAGATGGAACAAGGACAGAGCTGACACAGGAACAGGGTTCCATGTAGTATGCATGGAAACCAAAGCAGGATGTAATATGGGGTGCAGGGGCTGGGGCAGATGAGTCTGAGGAGTGCAGGAGGGGAAACCCCAGCCTGTGGGTCAGGTGAGCACATGTGGGTAGCACACCGCTCACAGAGTGACAAGCTCACTCACACACACCGTCGGATTACTCAAATCAAATTCATTTGATGGCATTGATGGGTTCATAGTGGCCCTTAAGCATTATTCTCTCAATCAACAGAAGTTAAACAAATGCATGCAATTGTATGTGTGGGTGGGTGTGAGTGGGGTGTCTTGACAGGGGGTTCTGAAATTTTTAGACATTCAAAGAGGGTCCTCCTGTCTGATGAGTCAGGGACTGCCATAGCAGCTGGCGGGCAGAGGCCATTGCTGAGTTTGAAGCAGGCAAGAGTCAGGGCTTGGTCTGTGCTTTGAGTAGTCCTCCTTGGTAGCTCCCACTGGTCCTGTGTGACCTGCAGCCCCTGGTGGAGAGTTGGAGGAGTGGGAGGTAGAATGCCTTGCCTGGTTGGTGATAGGACTGCGTTTGGAGAACAGCTTGTCTGGCCCCAGGCCCAATGTGCCCCTCTAGCTGTGGTGTGTTGGGTGTGTAAAGAAAAGCATGGCCCTGCCCCCAGGGCATTACCATCCAGTGGGGGAGGTGATTGAGGACTTCTTCACTCCATCCCTCTGCTAGGAATGGCGCTCACCACTGGGTTCATTCAACTGTTGAATGAACTGTTGAATTCAACTCTTGAAGGCCCCGTTTCGTTCACTCCGCAGTTGCTTATTGTGCACCCACTGCGTGTAGGACTTGGTGCTGAGGCCACAGTGGAGAGTGTGGTGGGCCCCTGGGAGAGAATGGTTGAGGGATTTGGACCTCACCCTTGGGGAAGCGCTGCACACACAGACAGGGTCTCTGCTGCTGAGGGTGGTTGGTTTCCATGTCCCTCTCCCTGGCTGGCTTGGGAGCTCCATGAGGATGGGAGCCTGTCCTGGTGGTCTTTGTGTCTCTATCCTCTGGCCAGGGCTGGCTTGGAGCAGCTGCTCAGTACCTGTGTGGGTAAGATGTGCTGAGTTTGTCCTTGCCAGGTCCTCCTATCTGGGCAGTGAAGCCCATCAGGGACTGCCAGGGCTGGTCGGGGGGCCTCCACCTATGTCTCCCCCTATGTCTCCTACCTTATCTCTGCACATCCCACCTCCAGCTTTTGGTAAGTGCTCTCTTTAGCCATTGGGGTGGGCTCTGCAGGCCCTGTGGCTTTCGTCCCGCTTTGACTTGTCTTGTCCTTTCTCTTCGCTGAGTCTGATCTCCCTTTCTACTGGATCTGCCTTTTTCCGCCCTTGGTGATTTGGCTTTTTCATTTCAATCTAATTAGGGCTCCCTGCCAGGAGAAGGCAGTGCAGGGCGTTCTCACCGCAGCGCTTTGGGAATTAGTCACTTGGTGCCCATTGTCATTAATTTGGCGCCAAGGCCATTTATCCTGGTGTCCTCAATCAATACAGTTAAAAATCTGTGGATTCTGTAATGTCAATACCTGGCCTGAAATACGGAGGGCCAGCACCATTTTATCTCATTAATTTATAGTTCTGACAGGTTGTTGGCTTATAGAACAACCATGAATCAACACTTAAATAAAACTTGCTCACAATTATTTTTGGTGCTCTTGTTTCAGTCTGTAATCTTCCTAACAAAACGTCTGTGGCACGTTAGGCTGAGGTGGCCTCAGGGAACGCTGGCCGACTCCACCAGGGCCCTGAGTGTCACCTGTCTTATGAGTCAGCTGTGCCACACGCCAGCTCAGCCAGTCTCCTCAGAATCCCCCGGAGAGCTCCCTCAGTTCTAAGCGGTCCTGTCATGTTTCTTGCAGACTCCAGGCCCTGAGGCAGGTGTCCCAGCCTGACCCTCGAGGCTGCAGCTGTAGAGGCATGCAGGGCCTCTGTCCTTTACCTTTGATGGCTGCAAAGGAGATTCCTCTTCCTGGAGCCCTGGAGCCCCGGCTGGGCAGGGAACCCTGTCCTCCTTCCTGTGCATGGGCCGGCTCTCCTGATGTGCGCTGGCTCCTCTGAGCCATCTGTGCAGTGCCACCTGGGTCTACCTCCCAGATCCTGGAGGCAGCACGCGTGAGAGGGCACATAGACAGGGTACAGGTGTTGGCTCTTCTGCCTCCCCGAACCAGGCCTCTTCACCTGTTTCTACCACACCACCTGGTGCTGGGGCTGTTGAAGGGAGCAGCTGTGATAACACATATAGGGTGCTTTGCAGAATGCCTGGCGTGTGGTAGGTCCTCAGCAAGGAACTCCTCTCCTCCTCCGTCATGGCCCATGAGGCCCTTGTTCCTGCTAAGCTGTCCAGATGGCCCTTGTTGGCAGGCCATTTCCCCACATGGGGCCACTTTTCGATCATCATCCAGAGGCCCCTGCTGGTCCCCTCAGTGAGCTTACAGATGTGCTGTTGGTCCCCTGCGTGGGTCTTGGGGGCAGACTGGGAGGAGGCCTTGGGCCATCATGGGTTCTCCCAGCATCTCCTCCACATTCCCCTTCCTCCTGGTAATGGGACAACACGCACTCTTTATTAGGGCTCTCGAGTGGGTATACAGACCCCCAGCCTGCCCGGCCTGACCCTCTCCAGAGCCCCAGGCACTCATGGCTGCAGGAGGCCTATGGCCCTCTTCCTTCAGATGCCCACAGCCTGCAGCTCTGCTGTCCCCAGCTTTTGGCTGGCTCCTCCTGCCCTGGGTGTCCCAGTGTCTTTTGGTGGGAGTCATGTTGTGTGGAAGTGAGCAGCCAACTGGGACTGGGCTCATAAATGACCATTTCTCCTTGCTTTCCAAGAGGTGTCTTCTTGTCTCTCCCTTGTTTTCAATCTATGACTGGGGCTTCCATTCACAGAAATGCTACAAGGAAAAAGAGAATGACAGGTTATCGAGCCCTTGCTGTGGGCTGGGCCCTGGGCTATGTGCCCTGGGTTCCAGCACGCTGCCTGGCCTGTGTGGAGGTGAAATGAGTGAGTGGATGGTAGACTCTTTGCTTATGTGACTCCTCCTGTGAGAGGAGTGTTTTTAATCCCATTTCATGGACCCAGAAACTGAGGCTTAGCATGGTCAGTGACTTTCTTGAGGTGACAGAGGTGGGATCCAGTGCTGGCATGTGACTAGTAGAGCTCCTGCTGTTGAGGTATGGTGTGGCATGCCCTCCCCACGTCTGTTTCCCTGCTGTGAACAAACAGGGAAACAATGGGGAACCCAACTTAACCTGACTCCTGGGGAGCCTGCTGGGCAGCAGCTGGCCACCTGCAGAGGATAACATGGGGCCTCTGGGAAGAAGGAGTGCTCCAGACTCATGGGGACTGATCCCTCTGATTAAGTGGGCCACTGAGGGAAAGATGCCTCTTCAGTGATGGATGGCCACGCTCCAATGACGACTTTAGACCACTTGGCATGGGAAGGGTGAGAAGTGTCCAAATGAAAACCATGGCAAAGAGCCCCAAGAGCTCCTGGGCTTTGGAGAAGGGGCCACAGAAGGAGGCTCCTTGTTGTGCTAAGCCTTTGAGGTGGTGCTGGCTCCTGCCGGTCCTTGGAAGAAGTGCCGTGGAGGGGCCTGGGCTTCTCCGTTCTTTGGCTTTCTGGCACTGTGGCTGGAGTTTCGCTAGCGTAGCTTAGGAGGACTTGATTAGGTATCCCTCAGGTGCCCACAGACCCAAAGGAAGTAGAAGAAAGCTTGTGGGCACATTTACAAAGCATCTGATACTTACATGTACATGCTCCTTGAGTCCTAGGGACTGTTGCCACTGATCCAGAAGTGAAGGCTCAGAGGGGCTCCACAGCCTAGCGAGGTCTGAGCTGATGAGGGTTCCCTGGCTGCCGCCCTTTATGTGCCTCCTTGTCCAGTTAGCAGCCGCCTACTTTCTTGCCCACTTGTGAGTGGGTCTATTTTCCAAGGCCAGTCTCTGTTGCCACGAATATCCTTCGTTTCTCACTCTGAAAGTGCTTCTCCTCTGGCTCAATCTTGTTTTCTCTTTCCTTACTTCTTTGGAGTGAGAAGCTGACCCTAGTTACGGATATTAAATCAAATGTTATTAAACTTCATTACAACACCATGCCAGCCCTTAACTGCCACTTGGAAAAGTGCCTAGAGATCCTTCACATCTCCACAAACACAGCTCACGCCAGCCCTCTAGGCAAAGAAAAGATGGTTTCTAATTCAAATTCTTGTTTTGTTCATGACCGTGACTGCACAGTAGTGATGTCTGGCGTGTGTGTGTTTGGTTGCAGCTGCATCACAGTTTGGTGCCCTTGTTAGGTAAGGCTGCCATTATTGACTGACTCTGGAGCCCAAACGTGTTTACGGCATGTCTGCTATTGGAATGGCGAGTTCCGAGTTTCAGAAAACCAACTTACTAGTAAAGCACTGGGATACACCTTGTTTGAAAGTTGAGAACTCTTATTATTATTTTTTAAATTTTGGAACATTCGGTCTTGTCCAGAGAATTAAAAGCAGTGGCTGACAATGGTCTGGGCAATGATTTTTTGGATAGGACTTAAAGCACTGGCAGCAAAAGCAAATATAGGCAAAAGAATTGCATCAAACTAAAAAGCTTCTGCACAGCAAAGGAAACAGTTAACAGAGTGAAGAGACAGCCCGTGGATTGGAAGAGAAAGTTTGCAAATCATACATCTTGTGAGGGGCTAATATGGAAAATGCATGAGGAACTTAACTCAACAGCAAGAAGCCAAATAACCTGATTTTTAAAATGAGCAAAGGATCTGAACAGACTTTTCTCAAAAGAAGAGATATGAATGGCCAACAGATATTAGAAAAAATGCTCAACATCTGTAATCATGGGGAAATGCAAATTAAAACCACAATGAGATATCACCTCAAACCTGTTGGAATGCCTATTTTCAAAAAGACAAATGATAGCAAGTATTGGTGAGGATGTGGAGAAAAGGGAATCCTTGTACAATGTAAATGAGTACAGCTATTTTGGAAAATAGTGTGGAGGTTCTTCAAAAGACTAAAAATAGAATTACCGTATGATCCTGCAATCCCACTTCTGGGTGTATCTCCAAAGGAATTGAAATCGGTGTGTGGAAGGGATCTCTGCACCCCCGTATTCATTGCAGCACTGTTCACAGTAGCCAAGATATGGAAGCCACCTCGGTGTCCATCAGCAGATGAGTGGATAAAGAAAATGCGGTGAATATTCACAATGGAATACTCTACAGCCTTAAAAAAGAAGAATATTCTGTCATTTTTGACAACATGGGTGAACCTGGAGGACATTACAATAAGTGGGATAAGCGAAGGCACAGAAAGACAAATACTGCATGATCTCACTTATATGTGGAAGCTAAAAAAGTTGATCTCGTAGAAGCGTTGAGTAGAAAGGTGTTACCAGGGGTTTGGGGGTAGGGGTGGATATGGAAAGTGGAGATGTTGATGAAAGGGTATAAAGTTTCAGTTAGAATGAAGGAATAAGTTTTGGTGATCTATTGCACTGCATGATGACCACAGTTAATAATGTGTATTTCATAACTGCTAAAAGAATGCACTTTTAACATTCTGTCCACAAAAAATAAATTAGTGAGGTGATAGATATGTTAATTATCTTGATTAAATCTTTCTACAATGTATATACAGATCAAAACATCACATTGTACCCCCAAATATATATATATATAAAATTATTTATCAATTAAAATTAATTTAAAATGAAACAAAAAAGAATGGGAAGGAAAGAGCTGGTGTAAGTATGTTATTAGAAGACAAATTTTAAAAAATGACTGCAACTACTACTATTTCTTCTGTTACTACTATTATTACAATGCTACAGCTACTGTTTATTGGGCCCTATCAGTTGTCTGGGGCTTAGCTCTCCTACATACATTATTGCTAATTCTCACAACCACCTTTTGTGGTCCTGAGTCTACAGATGAGGATACCAGGGCTGGAGAGGATTGCTGGCCGATGCAGGGCCACAGCTGATGGGGAATGTTCAGATGCAGGCCCAGCTGGCTCTCAGGCCAGACCCTTCCCAGGCCTTTGCCCGGATTGCTAAGATGGCCCCTGTTTCTGATGCATAAAGTTTGATTTGAAAGTTAGTAAGTTTCTTTTCTCGTTAACTTTGAGTCAGGATGGCTAAATTTATAGCTGGCTGAATACTTCCCAGAGGATGAGTGTAACGATATTGATTTTAGCGAAGTGAGTCATATGCCTACTGCCTGGAAACACAAGCTCAATTACCACAAGCCAACAGCATAAGCTTTCCCTTGTCAACATTTTTCCTACATGTTCATGAGTCTGTGGATGTGAACAAAGCACTAGGAGAAGCAAAGGTCACGAATAACTGGCGGCGATGCAAGGTAGGGTGCCGAGAGCTGGCCTTGAGATTAGACAGGGCCAGTCTCCGTCTCAGTGTGGCTGACTCATGTGGCTCTGAGCGAGTCTCTCACCTCGCTGAGCTTCCATTTCCCTGGCTGTGAGAGATGGGTTAATTACACCTACCACCCAGGGTGCCGTGTGATGCGTGCAAGCTCCAGACAGGCCTGGAGGTAACAGGCTCCTGATAAATGTTGTTCCCCTTCCTTGACTGTGAACTGCTTTGCCAGGGCTGCCTCTGAGCTCCCTGGAGAGGGGGGCATGAGCTTCTCTTTTCTCTCCTGGAGACCCATACTTGGGTTTCATGTGGCCTGGACGAAATACCTATTATGTGCCAGGAACTAGGCTGGGAGTCAGTCATGCTGAATGGAAGAGGAAGGCCCTCACAGGCCTGGAGCCCTGCATGATGATAGGATTCCTAGTATAGACGTTTGCAACTTCTATGTTAACTAAGAACTTCTTAGTTAGCAAGATGGACAGGTGGTGCTGCCCCGGCCACATGGTTGGTCACTTTGGGAAGCTGGATATCTCCACCTGAGAAAGGAAGAGGGGCAGCTTGGAGGAGCCACTATTCCAGAGTTCCCAGATGCCTTATCACAGTCATACGGGGGTGGAAGCACTGGTCATAGAGTCAGTAGAACAAATGGAATTTCTGCATTGTGTTTTAAACTTGTTTTTGCTTTAACAATTTTTTTATTTGTATCATTATTGATTCAAGGAGAAAATAAGTGATTTTTCCTAGCTCCAAGAAGATCCAAACAGTTTTTACACTGGTTTAGCTCATTATAATGAGATCAATAAAGTCAGTGCTAGTGGATTAAATATTTTAAAACTCAGTTTCCTATAATAAGCATACAGTGAATAAACAGAATTTTCTATAACAAACAGGTAAACAAGCAAGATGGTCTTAAGGTTAAAGGTTATATAACAGCTAACCATTGCGCTGAAAGTAACATTGCCCAGGAGAACAAGCTCCTTGATTTATGAAAAGGTAGAGAGGAAGAGCCCGTCTGACAAGTTAAGACCTTCTCCTCTGGCACAGCTAGTGTTCATGTTCAAGATATTTCACTGATGAATATTTTCCAGACTTTACCCATATCTCTTTAACAAATGTAAAGGGCAGCCCAGGGCGTTGTATTTTCAAAGCCTCATGAGAAAAGCTGAAAAAGCATTAATCTGTGGAGGTTATTGCTATTTAAAAACCTGTATCCCAGCCGGGCGCCGTGGCTCACGCCTGAAATCCCAGCAATTTGGGAGGCCGAGGTGGGTGGATCACAAGGTCAGGAGATTGAGACCATCCTGGCTAACACGGTGAAACCCCATCTCTACTAAAAATACAAAAAAATTAGCTGGGTGTGGTAGCAGGCACCTGTAGTCCCAGCTACTAGGGAGGCTGAGGCAGGAGAATGGCGTGAATCTGGGAGACAGAGCTTGCAGTGAGCCGGATAGCACCACTGCACTCCAGCCTGGGCGACAGAGCGAGACTCTGTCTCAAAAAAACAAAACAAAACAAAACAAAAACAAACAAAAAAACCTGTATCCCTTGGTTTTAGTTTGTAAATGAACCAATTGTGAATTCAATAATTTGGGGTTTAATTTTGTAAACTATAATAGCTCCCTTTTGTTGATTGCTGTTTGCCATGCTCTTTGGAAGGCTTCATGCACCGCGTTACATTTAGCTCTCATGACGACCTTACATTTGTAAGAGTGTGAGACAGAGCAGTGCAAGGTCCTGCCCAAGGCCCCTCCACTGGAAGTGACAGAGCTGGGATGGGATCTGGGTCTGCGTGGCTCTGAACTCCTCAGCTATACCATCTCCTGCTTCCAACATTGTGCCAGATAATGATGGCTATGGCCCTAATTTCTGAAACAAAGTCTTATTTGAGAACTTCTTAGTTAGCGAGATTTCTACCTTAGTCTTTTCACTAGGTATCCAGAAACTTACTAAAAAATTTAAAAATCTTGTAGTTTTGAACCCTTTTAACAAAGAAAAGCAGTAAGGGCCTAGTTATTATAAGTACAAATAGGAAAAATGTATAAACTACAGCTTATCTTCTAAATGGAAATACTTAAAAGACAGATTTTCAATCTCTTTAGGGGGTTGAGGAAAAAATAACATTCAGATTTTTTGTTTGTTTGTTTTAGCAGAAAAAGTTCGATCATCGTCTTTTAGCAATTCAGCTTTCACATTTTCTCTCATCTTTCTTCCCCATTGTTGGCAAGACTGTATCACTGCACTTTTGAAAAAAACATATGGATAATTCACTGCCATTTCTGAAATTAAGCATATGGTTATATGCTATGGTCTAAAAAATAAGGAACATTTTTTCTCCAGGCAGAGAGAGTTTGTGTTTCCTTTTGGATTTAAGGATTGGCAATGAATTCCAAGTGAGCAAGAAGCCGGCCACTGAATGTTCTCAGCAATAAGCGCAGTTGTCCTTGTGGGGAGAAAGAGTTTGGCAGTCCTGGGCCTTCTCGGTGGTGTGGGGACTGCAGTGGTATCCGTGTCCTCCTTTTCTGTCTAGGGGTTGTGATGGTGGTCCCTGCCTGCAGTCTCCAGATGACCCCCAGCCGCTTGGCTGAAGCGAGTGTCCTGGGGCCTCTGTGCTGCCACATTGCTGCTCTGAGTCCCTGGCATAGGCACATGGAGACCAAGGGGACAGCCCTCTGCCTGTGCTCCCTGAGCAGGGGGACTTGCTAGTTGGTCATATCACGGTTGGTTTCTGATCACCAATTGTAGCTTAAAAGGTGGGGTTTGTCATGCTCTGTAGAAGGCTTTATGTACCACCTTGAGTTCCAGGAAAGGAAAAGAAGAGTACATTTTTTTTTTTTAGGAATACCAGATTTCCAATTAGATCAATTCACCAAGAAGCAGTTTTTTGGTTTACTTGAGAGAGTCGTTTGTCTGCTGATCTAATGAGAGGGACATAGCACAAAGACCATCATCTTACAAGTCTGCTCATCTCCTTGATGACTTAAAAAATCTTTATTTATTAGAAAAACAGTATTACAACAAATCTGTTAGTATAATTTAAAAAGTTATCTTACTACCCCTAGAACAATTCATTTCATTTCAGTGAATCTCTTCCCAGTCTTTGTCCATATCAACAGGGATCCCCAACCCCTGGGCCACGGACTGGTACCTGTCCATAGCCTGTTAGGAACCAGACCACACAGCAGGAGGTGAGCAGTGGGTGAGTGAACATTCCCGCCTGAGCTCCTTCTCCTGTCAGATCAGCAGCAGCATCAGATTCTCATACGAACGGAGCCCTATTGTGAACTGCGCATACGAGGGATCTAGGTTGTGCTCTTCTTATGAGAATCTAACTAATGCCTGGTGATCTGAGGTGGGACAGTTTCATCCCGAAAGCACCCCCATCGCAACCCCTGGTTCATGGAAGAATTGTCTTCCACAAAACCTGTCCCTGGTGCCAAAAAGGTCGGGGACTGCTTCGTATCAATTCCCATTTTATACTCTTGTAGTTGAAGAATAGGAATCAAGCATTGTCCATCTTGCCAAAGACTGCTGTTTGTGATTCCAGTTTTCAGTGGCTTTTCAGCATCCCATCAGGCAGAAAACCACATTTGTCTTCACTACTCCCCTCAGGCTGGACCGTTAGGGTGTTGTTTACAGTCCCTTCTCCATACGGGTTGGATGGCCTAAAGCAGCCAGTTCTTGACAACATTGTGCTGACACAAGAGTGACCATGAAAATCTCTTGTGCTATCTGCACTGCATCTTGTAGCAAAATAGTCAAGGGGCTTGTGGAGCTCAAAGAGGTATAGATTCTTCATTTACAGAAAAGCAAGTATTTCTAAAATTTTCTCTGTTGATAAGTGACTACCAGTTTTAGGCCCCTAGAAGATACTAGAAAAAAAAGATCAACACACTTTATTATCCATCATGGCAAATGTGATGCTTGAACAAAGGGTGAAAGAGTAACTACTTTCTAAAAAATTTCTACTATGGAGAGAACATTTTGAAAACAGATGTTTTTGTTTCCATTGTTATGTGATTTTTGTTGCCAAAAATGATCTGTCACCTATTAAAATCTTGAATATCTTCACCCTTAACCTGGGAACAGTGTTTTTCTAATCTGTTTTAAAATCCTTTAAGTGAAAATTTCAGTGGATTTTGAGCTGGGTGGTTACAAATATGATAATGCAATTATTAACCTGATTAGTTGCAGGAGCCATTATTTGACATTAGGGAAATGGGGCTTTACTAGCAAAATGTTCACAAAATCCTTTGCTTCGATGGTGGATAAAAGTGGAAAATGTCCGGGCAGCCCAGCTTTGCAAAGGCTCTCGTGGCTCTGCAGGCACCTGGCATGCACCCTCCCCATTGCCAGGATACCCAAGAGGAAGGTCAGCTCTGCTGAAGGGGCCACCAAGGAAGAGCCCAAGAGGAGACTGGTGCAGTTGTCAGCTAAACCTGCTCCTGCAAAAGTGGAATTGAAGCTGAAAAAGGCAGCAGCGAAGGATAAATCTTCAGACAAAAAAGTGCAAAAAAAAAAAAAAAAAAAAAAAAAAAAAGGGAAAAGGGGAGCAAAGGGAAAACAGGCCAAAGTGGTTAACCAAGAAACTAAAGTAGAGTTACCTGCAGAAAATGGGGAAATGAAAACTGAGGAGAGTCCAGCCTCTGATGAAGCAGGAGAGAAAGAAACCAAGTCTGATAGAATACCATATACCATGTCTTATCAGTGGTCCCTGTCTCCCTTCTTGTACAATCCAGAGGAATATTTTTATCAACTATTTTGTAAATGCAAGTTTTTTAGTAGCTCTAGAAACATTTTTAAGAAGGAGGGAATCCCACCTCATCCCATTTTTTAAGTGTAAATGCTTTTTTTTTTTTTTTAAGAGGTGAAATCATTTGCTGGTTGTTTATTTTTTGGTACAACCAGAAAATAGTGTGGGATATTGAATTATGGGAGGCTTTGACTGTCTCGGGTGTCAGCTTAACATTCCATACATGGGGGGTTAGTTTTTATATCCTATAATACAAAGCATGTTAAATGGCCATATGGAGTCAGTCCTGCATTTAACGTCTTGAATGTTTTAAATTACTTCTATTCCCTTGTTTTTTAGTAGAATTGTTTCCTAAAGAAAACCACTCCTTGGTCATTGCTCTCCCTGTCAGAATTGTGTGGACTCTGTAAATCTTTGGTTGTGGTAGTCCTGTTTTCCTAATAACTTTGTTACTGTGCTGTGAAAGATTACAGATTGGAATATGTAGTGTAGGTGCTCTTCAGTTGTGAGCTGGTGGGACGTCTGTAACAGCTGATCAGCATGTGAAGATACTGGTACTTGATAGCCTCTTAAGGACAATTTGCTTCCAAATTTTGACCTGGAAAGTCACTGGAATAACTTTCAAAAATAATTACAATACATGGCTTTTTAGATTTTTGTTACATGTGTTAAGAATTGTGTACAAATTGAAATGTCTGCACGATCCTCAACCAATAAAATCTCAATTATGAAAGAGAAAAAAAAAAAAAGAAGTGGAAAATGTCTCCCATGTGGCCAGTGGTGAATATCTTCCATCTAGGTCCGGGCATCTCTGCGTGCAAGAAACTTTGTCGGCTTTGATAGAGTTCAGTGGATAAACTGAACCTACTTGCAACCAGACTACATTCAAATAACTGAATCACAAAAAGTTCCCTACATTAAGAAAAATGGAAGCATATTCAATTCTGTTGCTCTCACTAAAAATAGTATTACATAACTCAGATGATTTCAGAGAGGTTCATTGATTCTCTTAATAAGGGTATATTAAAATATATTTTAAAATATTGACTTTTATCCTTGCATCATCCTTTAAAGAGTTCTATTTTTGGTTTTTAAAAAATGTTTATAATATGTTGGTACAGAGGCACATTATTCAACTTAACACAGATATCTATATATTGGTGGTATGTGCCTTAGGTTTTTCATGGATGGGGCGTACTGTCAAACTATAATAGCTTGGAGACCATGGATCTAGGCAGATTGGGTCTGTGAAAGCCTTCTGCTGGGACTGTCATGAGTACTCATGTGACTGTCATGAGTACTTTCATTTCCACACCTGGTGAGCTGGTAGAGCCCTTCACTAATGTGTGGGGGTCACAGAACACAAAGCAGGGCAACCTTTTGTGCTTTCTGAATTGAATGAGCAAGTGCTGCTTCCTGGGTTCCCGTGAGTGGAAATGATGCTTGAGACCTCGGTGTCTTCATGGTCTTCTTCGCCACCAGCTTCCCGTGTCCCTAAGTAGCCCACTGCTCAGTCCCATGGGGGAGTTTCTACGGGTACAAGGCAGTCAAGGTTCTTCCTCCTGCGCTGTGGGAGCCCTTGTGGCACCTCTGAGCGAAGCCTCCTCCATGTTTCTGGCTGGGTGGCGTGGGGCAGCTGCTGTGCCTGGTGTGTGAGCCCTGCCTGTGGGGGACATATACGGGGGTGGCACTCAGAGACTCCCACAGTGAGAACACCTCCCCAAGGCCAGTCTGCCTTCTTGATGCAGTTTCAGATGGATGAGGTGTGGACAGACAAGAATGACAGCCAGTGCTCTGGGACATGGGGGCTGCACTGGGCAGTGGAAGGAGGACCAGCTTTGACCTGCTCCAAATGATTGATGTTTTTGAAGTTTATATAGCTTACCTCTAAAAGATCATAGTGATAAAAAAGACGTTTTCCACACCATACGTATATATATGTACATACACAGACACTTACCTAATGCACATAAATGCTTGACAACAGTTTATGATGTATTTATAAAGGACAAGGACTGCGTTGTGTCCTGTAGAGCCAGTGAGACCCCCAATGGCCCACACCACCCTGTCCAATCTGTGCTTGGGCCACCATGATGGCCACTCTCATTTATCGCCCAGCATCTCAGGCCACCCCACCTGCCATGCTCCATAGCAAACCATTCATCCATTATTATAAAGTGGCTGATTCTGAAAAGTATCACCTTAGAACAATCCTGTTTTTGGTTTTTAGACTCCCAGATAAATAATCTACTGTATTAACTGTAGAGCCTTGGAAATGTTCCATGACCTCCCTGGGCTTGGTTTTTGGCTGTTAGGTGGGCATAGGGTCGTTGCATGGTTTATATGAGCTAATGCATGTCATGCTTACAGCAAATGTGAAAGGTGCACTCATCAATCCACCCATCTAAGCTCAGCCCAGGGGGAGGGGATGTTCAGCTAGTCAAGGGTGGGCTGGCCAGAGAAACAGAGAATAAGGGCAAATCTTGCTGCCACCGCTGTCATATTTCCAAAAAGTGTCCATTGGGCTACATCGGGCCCAGGGGAGCTGTGTTTGCTATGAGCCCCATACCAGATGGCATCTTAGTTTTAAGATATTTGTTTTGTGACCTAAGTACTTTCTAACCCTCTCTTCTCTTTTTGTGTTGTAGGAACCCAGCTATTTAGTGGTCGAAGTGACTTTAGAATCACTACCTTGAAATTCCATCCAAAAGACCACAACATCTTTTTATGTGGAGGCTTCAGCTCTGAAATGAAAGCTTGGGATATAAGGACTGGCAAGGTAATAGCCATATTCCTAACTTGGCCTTTCCACAGGAGAGCTTGTTTCGACAATTTGAATAATTGGGGGCAGGTCAGCATCTATATATAGGACCCTTGAGGTGGAATAATTACCACTTAATATTTAATCAGTGCTAAGCATAATTTTTAGATGTTTTGAAAGAACATTCTTGAGTTGTCAGACTTAAAATATCAAAGGTGCAATTTTATGCAGCATATTACTAAAAATATTTGTTGAACACCTACTGTGCACAAATGCTTCCAGATGATATAAAATGAATCTGCTGGGTTACTCAAGGGAATAATGTGCGGGTACAGATGACTTTGGTACAGAGAATTGGTGTGTGTGTGTGTGTGTGTGCGTGTGTGTGTGTGCGCACTTGTTTGCATGCTTGCGAGAGGAAGGGAGGGGGTAAGTGCTTTTAGCTTGCTGTGGGAAGACTTCTTAGAGGAATCACTTTTCCTCAGTCTTAAAGGCTGGTTGTGATTTCCATCCCCATCCTTTATTACAACCTGCTGTGCCTTTTACCATCACCACTTACTAGATGGCAGCTCCACCCTAGTTGTTCAGGCCAAAAACATCAGAATTAGCCCTGTCTCTGCTCTTTGCATCACATTCCCATACCCAAACCATTAGCAAATTCTCCAAAACTTGGACATTTTTCCCCACATCAGCTGTTGTAGCTCTGCTATTGTCTCTCGCTGGGATGGTTGCAGGAGTTTCCCATCTGATCTCTCACTTTCCCCCTTGCCCCTTGGAGGCTGTTCTCAACACAGCCGCTAGACTGGTCTGTTACAGTGTGACTCAGACATGTCACTCCTCTCATCAGAATCCTCCAGGCTCTGATCTTACAGTAAAAGCCAATGTCTCTGATGATCCACAAGGCCTAAATGATCCTCCTTGGCCTGGGGGTAGGTCAGCATTTCTCATCAGTGCCAGCCCCACTAGGCTCCTTGCCTTCCCTGAACATACCAGCACATTCCTGTCTCAGGGCCTTTGCACCTGCTGCTCCCTCTGCCTGGAAGGCTCTTCTGCCTGTTTCCTAAGTAGAGGCTTGCTGCCCCCTGTCATGGGGCTCTGCTCACATATTACCTCTCGGTGAGGTGCCCCCTGCCCAAAACCCACTAGCATCCGCTAGTCCCCTCTGCTATCTCATTTCTCTCCATAGCATTTACCATCACCTGACATATTATGGATTTTATGTGTTCATTCATCTGCCTGTTTCCCTCCTCTAGAATGTAAGCTCTTTGAAGGCAGAGAGTTTTGTTTGCTGCTGACATCTAGCTTCTAAAACAGTGCCTGGCACATAGTTGGCACTGTGTGAATCATGATTGACTGAGTAAATGCCAGAGGAAGGCAGTCATGCAGACAGGGCAGATACAGGAGGTGGGAACACAGGATGTCTATGGGGACTTGGCTAGGCGTGGGCTTCACACAGCGAGGTGGCCTGGGCAGAGAGTCTTTCAACGCTGTGTGTCTTGGTCTCAACAGTGGGGAGCCACGGGAGGTTTGTGAACATCTGCCTTGGTCCTAGACAGGTGCAGCGTCCAAGCAGATATGTCCTGAGTAGAGGCTGTCCATGTGTTCCAGAGGGAGGAGGGTGAGACAGAGCCCCCAAGGCCTAGATTCCAAATTTGCCTTCTTGCTTCAGACTGGCTGGCACCGGAAGACCCTTTCCTGACAGGCAGTTGGAAGGGGCTGCTGGTTTGTTGAGGAGAGCCTAAATGCAGAGACTTTTCTTGACAGAGAATGGGAAGTTTTGTCTGTACATGAGATCTTGCTTAAAGTACTCACAAGTGGGAGCATAGATAGATGTAGTCTTTAAAAAAAAATCACACATTTTTCTTTTACAAAGGAACTTTCTTATAAAAATATTTGGAAAAGGGAGGAAATTACCCATAAAGAAGTGGACACAGTGGCATTAAAAAAAAAAAACCGCCAAAACACGTTATATTTAGGATCTAAATACATGACAAGTGAAAGAAAACATTTGAACGTGCCTTGTGAACTGGAAACTCTTAGTCATACCGTTTGAAGTGGGACCTCCTGAGCACCCAGCCACTCCTGACAACCACGTCCCTTATGGGTGCGCTTACTGTTTTTAGCCTCAAAGACCAAACACGTAAGAAATTACTCACCAAGGACGCCATCTGATTTAAGCATTTGTTAAAAATACCGGATTTTTTCCCAGGGCAGATGCCAGCTGACGAGCTCTGAAAATGCTGGGGGAGAAGCAATTAGAAGCAGATGTTGCTGTGACTGGTGTTGGCATGTTTGCGAGTCTCTCCCAAGATAGTAATGTGGCTAAGGGATCTGTGCAGTATTTGTTTTTACTTCCTTTCTACCAACAATCCTCCCCCACTGGGTCACGGGGCTCGTTCCGTTTGCATCAGTTGGGCTCAGGGGACAACACTCTTTCCTGCTTAGACAGGTGTTGCCCATGTGTCTCAAATGGACTCGGCAGGAGGACCAGGGAGGAGGCACAGCCCCCTGCCCTCCAGGGACTCCCGCCTGGGGCTGCTCACTTCTTATCCCTGTGGGCTCCTGTGGCGCTGTCCCAGGTGCTGAACCTTCTGGCTCAGCCTGGGCGTGTATGTGAACATCCAGAAGTGAGCAGCTTGGCTTTTTCCAGCTGCTTTCAGGGACCGCGGTGGGAATCGCAGGTGTAAGTAGGAGGGACACAGACCTTAGCTTAAACCAAGACAGGCCTTCCCTTTTAAATACAGTAGGGAAGGAATGTTTTGTTGTAAAAGTAATACAGAATCATATGATAACATTGGGAAATTCAGGTAAAGAGAGGAGGGGGAGTCCAAGCAGCCAAAGGTAAACATTAGCAACATTTTGATATTCTTCTTTCTGTTTTTTTTTCCTCTTGTGGTTTTTAAAAAAATTATAAAAGCACTATTTGGTTTTATTTGTATACGCAATTTTGTGTTTTGCTTTTCATGTAGCATTAGAAGGATATTCTTTGTTAGTGCAGACCCTCGTAAGGTCGTCAGTCATATTCCTTTGACTCAGGGTGTTCCTGACTCACTGCCTTGCTTCTCCCCAGGACTCAGAACAATGTCTGGCATAGGCAGGAACTCAGTAAGTATCTATGGATCAAATGAATCAGATGAATGCTTTAACATATTAAACCATTTCCCTGCATTAGACATGTAGGAGATTTAAAAAACTTTTGCCATTTAAAATTAATAGATGTGAGGACAGAGACCAGCAGTCAGCAAACTATAGCCTAAGGCTAGTCCAGCTTGCTGCCAGTTTTTGTAAATAAAGGTTTATTGGAACACAGCTATACTCATTTATGTATCATCTGTGGCTGCTTTTATACTACAGTAGCAGAGTGGACTCATTGCAACAGAGACCACATAGCCCACAAAACCAAAGATATTTAAGATCTGGCTGACCTTGGTAAAGAGAGATGTGATTCTGACATCTGTCACCCTATTGATTGTCAGGACTAATCCTCCTGAGCTGGCTGACAAGTTGGGTGTCTTACCCCATTCTGTGTTCCTTGCAGAAACCAGGTGCTCAGAGAATGTGTTTTCCAAGTGGGAACTGTTCCTTCAGTCAGGGGTGTATAAGTTGTTTCTCTCTCTTGTTACAATCTCCAAACAAACTATCAAGGTTGACTTTATTACACATTCCACTGTAAGAAACATCTTTTTGCATATAGCTTTTTCCACATTTGGGATTTATTTCCTTAAGCTTGAATCTCAGAATGAAAATTTCTGGGTCAAAGCAAGCCTACATTGTGAAGGTAAGGAGTAGGTTTCTGCCAACAGAACTGAGGGGAGTGAGGCCAGACAACCTCTCCCTGGGATCTTAGGGCACAGTGAGTAGTTGGAACATACAACTTTTTAGTTACTTTCCAGTCATGAGATTTTATGATTCCTTAAACGTAGCCAAGTGCTAAGTGTCAAGATTCTGGACTTCTCTAGTCTAGCCCAATTCATTACAGCAAATGGGCTGTTTGGCTCCCTGTCTCCTCTTCTTGGTGATCTTGGGTGATCTCTCCGCCTCGGGTTTGATGTTTGTAGCACATCTCATTAGTGCAAAGTGCCTGACTTCATCTCCAGAGGTCGGCAGGATGTGTTCTGCACAAGCCAGCTGTGCGTACTTACTTGAAACTGGCTTCCTGCCGCTGCTGCAGCATCCTCTGACCCCTCTTCCTCCCAGCAGTCTGCTTGAACATGGGTGTGGTCTGGAACCCAGGATGCCTGTGGTCTGACCTTTATAGTATTGTGAGGGTCAATTTCTGCAGAAGCCCCTGAGCCTCTAGTGCCGTTGGCCTGAGCTGCAGGAGACCTGGGCTCACGTCCTCCCTCTGCTACTTGCTTGGCTGGGTGATTTCGGCCACATTCCTTAAGCAAAAGCCTCTCTGATTCACAATTTTTAAATTGGTATCGTAAAGTGGCAGGCCAAGCCACGCCTCCAAAGTAGCGTTTCTCAAACTCACCTGTGTAGGAGAGCACCTGGGCTCTTGTTAGGATGCAGATTCTGTTTCAGCAGGTCCAGGTTGGGATAAGATCCTGCATTTCTAACAAGCTCCCAGGAAATGAAGGGGAGGATAGTATATGGACCACATTTTGAGAAGCTAGGGACCAAAGGGCCTCTGAAGTTAAAAGTCCCTTGCTTCTCTCATTTGAACCTTATCCTCAATTAGCCTGCACCATCTGTGACCTATCTCAGGGACAACGATCACTCTTGATCTGTGGGCACTTTTATCCACAGGTGTTTATTTACAGCCGCTTGGTGTGGGAGCCTGAGTCACCTCTGTGCCTGGCATCCCCGACAGGGCCTGGACCAGAGCAGGTGTTCAGGATAACCTGGAGTGAGCTGATGGGGTCAGCCGCCACTGTCATTGTGATAGAGGCCTGCAGGAGCACCCACCTGCCCACAACCTCAGGGGCAGTGGCCACCCTGGGATCGACATAGAGGGCATGGCCCCTCTGACAAATGGGATATGAAGGCTAGCTGGAATTCAGCTGTAGTGAGTCATTCCAGAAGTGTGGACAGAGGCAGGAGGACTTGGGAGACCCTGTGTCAGATGAGATATGGTGTGGCCATCAAAGCACTGTAGTTCTCCACTGAGGCTGAGCTCCTCTGCTCCCCGGTGTTTGGTGGATAACAGAGTTATGAGTCTCTTGCATTTCCAGCTTTGCGGTGCTGTGGCTCTGTGCCCAGCACAGAATGGAAGCTGTAGAATTGCAGGAGAAGCCTGTGACACGGACTCAGCTGTACTGGGCCCTCTAGCAGTGTGGGGAATGTTCCAAGGTAGAGCCACTTTCAAGTTCACTTTAAGATGACTATGTATTTTGAACCAAAAGTTAGGATAAGTAATAAAAATAAATTCTCCTTTTGTAATATGAATCAGATTTGTTAAGAAAGCTTATATAGCAAATTTGGTGAATCACCTTTTTTGCAGGACTACATTATGGAACCCCAACCTCAGCAAATTACCTCTCAGTTAAGGCAAGATTGAACACTGGAAATTGGAGCAGCCCTGGAAAATCTAGGACATGTGGCTCCTGCAGCTGGCAGCCTGGACTCTGCCCCAGTTCCTCCTCTCTTTCTATGTGCAGGGTGACATTGGGCAGGCTAGGGGTCGAGTGGTTCTTTTGTTGTCTAGCTCCTACTCTGCGCCTGAGAAAAAGAGTTGCAGATGCATTCAGATCTGCCAACTTTACTCCTCCAGAGAAGGCTGCACCTCTAAAACCCCGATTCTCTGCTCGCTCTGGGACTCTCATGATAAAACCAGCTCTGACAGGCCAGCTCACTTTCTCCAGCATACCCTGGTGTCACATTGACACTAATCGTCAATATTTCATGCTTGTTCTACATCTTTTCTTCCTACTTTTATTATTATTTTTAAATTTGTAAAGGGACATTTTGACTTCCAGATCTTGACTTGGTTTCTTGACCTCCTTCTCTAGCTTTGTCCCACACCCTCTGCAGGCACGTGTCCTAACATGCAGGTGACAGGGGAGTGGGTGGCTCACCCTTGGGCCTGTGTGGGCCCTCAGCTCAGCTTCCTATGATCCTAGCCCATCACTAGTATGCTGTAGCATTCTGGTAGCATGTGGACTCCCTGAGGGAAAGAGTTGTGCCTCATTTACCATGGTATTCCCAGCATCCAGCATAGTGCTAAGCACATAGTAGGGAGGGAGGGGAGGCAGGAAGGGCGCAAACTGTCGCATGAATGACTGATAGCTCTAATCAAGACCAGTTCTTAAAATCACAAGCAATTATCCTGGCCAGTTGAACGGAGGCTGAGCCACTGTCATTAATTTGCTTATCTCCTTCCCCTCCTGTGGGCATCCTTCCTTGGATGGGAGTGATCTCAGGATGATAGTAATAGGAACTGGTAAAGCAGCAGGTGGTGGCTGGGCTGGCCTGACCTGACTGATCTAGGGCACGGGCCAGAGCTACCCAGGGAGCATTAGAAACTATTGCTGCCCAGGGTGGCCTAGGCCTCCAGGTTTTTGAAAACTCTGCAGGTGATTCTAATGTATAGCCAGATTTGGGGGCCATGGTATGGGTGCCTAGTGAAAATTCAGAGTGGTTTCTGTGGGGCTTCTGCCCCAGTGGGTGAGACTGTCTTTGAGATTTGCACTCCTGTGATGGTGGCCATCTGAGAGATGGCTTCGTCTACTTGGCTCAAAGTGCCATCAGTTTTGTGGCATTGTAGGCAAGTTGCTTATTTGCCTTAATGAGATTTTGATTACTCTCCATTTGTCTCTTTCATCTGTTTTATATTAAAAAGGCTTTTTATTTGGACTTTTTGTGCTTTCCACAGTCCTGACTAAGCTTTGCTGCAAGCTAAACTTTGAATGCAGATGAGAGTAGGAGCCTAATGGAGGCAAAGATGTAGGACCCGAGGCTGTTCCTTGTCTTTCTTGGCTCCCATTTCCTCATCTGTCAACTGGGGACGTGGTGGAGCCCCTGATGATCTCGAGAGCCCCTTTCAGCAGCCAGTGCTGACCACAGTGTGCCTCCTGCAGGCATCACGCTGTGCACGCTGTGTGCGCCATGGCTCATTTCCTCGTGGCCTCTTGGGAGGTGGACTGGGTGCTGCCACCATCCCCTTCCTCTGTCAGGGCCCTGAGGCTCGGAAGGGCTCAGTTACACACCACAAGCACACGGCCAGTTGGTAGTGGGGCAAGACTGTGAACTGGGGGTGGTTTGATGCCCAAACCCTCACAGATCCTCTTGTTCACAGTGTGAATTCAGCTTTAGTCTTGAATGAACATACAGTCATGCACCACATAATGACGTTTCGGTCAATGTCAGACCATATATAGGACAATGGTCCTGTAAGATTATAGTGAAGCTGAAAAATTCCTGTCACCTAGTGATCACCTGCAGTGTTCAGTACAATCACATGCTGTCCAAATGTATAGCCTAGGAGCCATAGGCTAGACCTCTAGCTTAGATGTGTCGCAGGCTATACCGTCGAGGTTCGTGTAAGCGCATGATGTTCACGCAATGACAAAATCGCCTGATGACGCATTTCCCAGACTGTATCCCTGTCGTTAAGCAACACATGACTAAATATTTATCAGTGAGGGCTGTGCGTTTTGTTCTTGGAGAAGCCTGCATGGACAGCCCTGGCATTCACATGCTCACTGAGCACTGCCATGTGCAGCTCCGTGCCTGGTGTCAGGACCTGGCCATGGATGGGACAGTGGTGGGTTTTGTTCTGAGGGACCACAGCCCTGTAACCTCAGGCCTGAAAACAGAACCCAACGTATCTGTGAGAGCAGCCTTCCTGCCCCCAAAATATTGGCAAGGAAACTGGTTCTGAAAGGTTCAGCTGTCTGTGCAGGGTAGGCAGCCATTGACGGGATTGGATCTGAACCCAGGTCTTCCTCTAATTTCTGCTTCTCCCTATTGCAGGAAGAGGACGCATTTCATTTATCCATGTCACAAACATTTTCTGAGCCCCCACCAGAAACCAGGCATTGTCCCAGGGCATGGGGCAACAAAATCCAGTTAGATGGCGCATGCCCTAAAGCTGTAGAAGGGACTGCTGAAAACATCTGTTTCTCTCAATATTCAGTGGATCCATCAGCTTCACTGGCTGCCTTCACAATTGGCTGGGGAGTCCCTGTGTGTTCCCTGGGTTGTCTAAAGTCTTAGGCAGAAGTGGGCAATTGGTTCCCAGAATCTGGAACCTCAGAGACCTGCCCTGCAACCCAGTCCTCCTCTTCAGCCTCCCTCTGCACCACTTTCACTGGGACTGTGTAAGAAGACCCCTGTTTAAAACCCATGAGCTGCCAACAAGCTCAGTGGATGACAGTGGGAGGCCCATGGCACTCAAGAGGGCGATGTTCCAAGACTTTCATTAACACCCACCCCACTTGATAATTTTTGCCCTTAAAAATGCAGCAGGCAGTTTCAGAAAATATAAAGCAGGTTCTTTGGACCTGTGCTGATTCTATAAATATGATGTTTCTGTAATTCTAATTTATAAATCTTCTATAATACATATTGCCACTAAAATAAGCTCTGTGCTGCACTGAACATGCTTCTTCTTAAGGTTTTTAAAAATTTATTTATTTTTTTTTACTATTGATTTACAATTCTTGTACTTGAAAACTTATTTTAGCCTTGCCATAACTAATAGTGTCCAAAAAAGTCATGGGCTTGATGCCTTAGTTATTTTTTTGTCTTAATATACTTTAACTAAAAAAATTTCTTTAGAGACATGGTCTCATTCTGTCACCCAGGCTGGAGTGCAGTGGCATTATCATATCTCACTGCATCCTCGAACTCCTGGGCTCAAGGTATCCTCCAGCCTCAGCTTCTCTAGTAGCTGGGACTACAGGCGCCTGCCACCATGCCTGGCTAATTTTTAAATTTTCTGTAGAGAAGGGTCTCACTATGTTGCGCAGGCTGGTCTTGAACTCCTGGCCTCAAGCGATTCTCCTGCGTCAGCCCAAAGTGCTGGGATTACAAGTGTGAGCCACCACATTGGGCCTAAAGTAAATACTCATTAAATGTTTTTTGGTAACAGATTTATTCTGTATTGTACAACTCACTCATTCACTCATTCACTCAGTTCTTAGTGTGTTTGCAGGGTTATGCAGCCACAGCAGTCGGTTGAGAACATTTTCCTCACCCCAAAAAGAAACCACGTTTTTTAGCAGCCATGCCTATCCCCCCAGTGCCCCAGCCCCTGGCAACCATAAATCTACTCTGTCTGTATAGATTTGTCTGTTATGAACATTTTATATAAATGGTCTTTTGTAACTGGCTTCTTTCGCTTAACATAATGTTTTCAAGATTCATTCACATTGTAGCCTATATCAGGACTTCACTCCTTTATGTTTTTTTTAAAATTAGACTTTATTTTTTAGAGGAGTTTTATGTTCACAGAAAAAATTTAGCAGAAGGGCTAGAGATTTCCCACTTGCCCTCTGCCCATTCTTATGCACAACCTCCCCATAATCATTCTGCATCAGAGTGGCCCATCTGTTACAGATGGTGAACCCACAGTGACACATCGTTGTCACTCAGAGTTTATAGTTTACGTTAGGGTTCACTTTTGATGTTGTACATTCTATGGGTTTGGACAAATGTTTAATGACATGTACAATAGACTGACTGTTTGTGTCCTCCCCAAAATTCATATGTTGAGGCCCTAATCCCTAATGTGATGATATTAGGAGGCGGAGTCATTGGGTGGTAATTAGGACATGAGGGTGGAGCCCATAGAACTGGGGATAGTACCCCTGTAAGAAGAGACACGAGAGAGATGAATCTCTCTCCACCACGTGAGGATATGGTGAGAAGACAGATGACTGTTTGCAAACCTGCAAGAGTGCCTTCACCAGACACCAGATCTGTCTCTGTTGAGATATCCTCAAGCTCAAAGATTCTTTCCTCAGCTGTATCCATGCTACTAAACTCATAAAAAGCATTCTTCAATTTTTATTTCTTGTTTTTGGAGACAGGGTCTCACACTCTCTCCCAGGCTGGAATGCAATGCTGTGATCACAGCTTACTGCAGCCTCAATGTCCTGGGCTCAAGGGATCCTCCCACCTTGGCCTCCTAAAAGTGTTAGGATTATAGGCGTGAGCCACTACACCTAGCAGTGCAGTGTTCTTTATTTTTGTTACAGTGCTTTTGATCTCAAGCAGTTATTTTTGGTCTTTTCTTAGAATTTCTATCTGTTTGCTTACAGTGCCCTTCTGTTTTTGCGTATTGTCTACTTTTTCCATTAGAGCCCTTAGCATGTTGATTATAGTTGTTTTAAATTTGCAGCCTGATAATTCCGTCATCACTGCCATATTTGAGTCTAGTTCTGATACTTGCTCTTCAAGCTATGTTTTTTGCCTTTTATTATGCCTTACAATTCTTTCTTGCTAGCCAGACAAGATGAGCTAGGTAAAAGGAACTGCTATAAAAAGGACTTTAGTAATGTGGTGTAGTGTCAGGGTGGTGGGGAAGTGTCTTGTGGCTAGGTTAGTCTTTTAGAGAGTCTGCTTCTGGACTGTGAGCTCACATGTACTTCTTAGTCCCCTCTCCCCTTTAAATAGGACAGGACAGCTAGAATGGGCTGGACCTGGGTGTTTTCTTCCTCCACATAGAAGGCTAGAGGGGAAGGAATTGGGCGTTTCCCTTCTCCCATGTGGAAGGCGGGAGCCAGTGGCGGTTGGGTATTCCCCTTCCCCAAGGTCAGCTAGGCTGTGATAAACCCAGCAGGTTAGACTCTGGCTAACTAGTTTCTCTGCAGTACAGACCTCATTAAGAGCAGAATGCACTTTAGGAGGCTGAGGCAGGAGGATTGCTTGAGGCCAGGAGTTAGAGAGCAGCCTGGGCAACATAGCGAGATCATGACTCTACAAAAACAAACAAACAAACAACATAGCAAGATCCTGACTCTACAAAGATAAATACATAAAAGAAGAACAGAATGCTCTGTTATATTTTAAAGTAGTTCTGGCTGGGCGTGGTGGCTCACGCCTGTAATCCCAGCACTTTGGGAGGCCGAGGAGGGCGGATCACAAGGTCAGGAGTTTGAGACCAGCCTGGTCAACATGGTGAAACTCTGTCTCTCTACTAAAAATATGAAAATTAGCTGGGAGTGGTGGCAGGCACCTATAATCCCAGCTACTTGGGAGGCTGAGGCAGGATAATGGTTTGAACCCTGGAAGCGGAGGTTGCAGTGAGCTGAGACCGTGTCATTGTATCCAGTCTGGGTGACAGGGTGAGACTCCGTCTCAAAAACAAACAAACAAACAAAAAAACCAAAAAACCCAAAGTAGTTCTTTTTCTCCTTCTGCTGGAAACATAAGGGGATTTTCTCCAGTCTTCACTGTGAGAACCTGGTAGCTCCTGGAGGTAAAATGCACAAAATTTTGGGGGCCACTGATGATCAGGTCTTCCAGAGTTTTTAATCTCTCTGACTTGTCCACAATGAGCCTCTAGCAATTTGTCAATTATAATTCAGTTTTCTGGCCCTGGTTCCTGTGGAAATTTCTGCTCCAATGCATTGTGATTGTTTATTCACCTATCTATGTCTCCAGTTTTGGGGGCAGTGGTTTGCCTTACGATCTCACTTCTTTTGTGGATCTGAGAAGAGTTTTCCAGTTTGTTCAGCTTTTTACTTGCTAGGACAGAGTTTTGATTTATAAGCTCCTTACCTGCCAGACCATTAACAGGAAGTCTTCTGCTTCTTTTTATGACCAAATAATATTCCATTGTATGGATATACACATTTTGTTTCTCCATTCTCTAGGTGATGGACGTTTGCATTGTTTCCATTTTTGGACATTTGTTTGTAAGTCTTTGTGTGGATATATGTTTTCATTTCTCATGGTTCTTCCTAGAAGTAGAATTGCAAAGTCATATGGTTGGTAGCTGTTTTTATGTGTAATCTTTTGAGAAACTGCTAGACTGTTTTCCAAAGTGGTTGCACCATTTTATATTCCCACCAACAATGTGTGAGGGTTCTGATTTTTCCATATCCTCACCAGCACTTGTTCTTACTTGTCTTTTATATTATACGTATCCTAGTGGGTACAAAGTGGTCTCGTTTGATCTCTTTGAGGTTTGATATAGAACTATTCAGATTGTATATGTCTTCATGAGTGAGACTTGGTAGTTGCATGCCTCAAAGAATTGGTTCATTTTATCTAAGTTGTGAAACTTAATGTACATACACTGATTTGTAATATTCTCTTTTTCTTTTGATATTTTTAGAGCCTGTAGTGATGTCTCCTCTTTCATTCCTGATAATGGTATTTGTGTCTTTTTACTCAGTCATTGTGACTAGAGTTTTATCAATCTTACTGATCATTTCAAAGAAATACTGATTTTCTCTATTGTTTTTCTACTTCCTTAATTTCTGCTCCAATTTTTATTTTCTTCTGTCTGCTTGCTTTGGATTTAATTTGCCCTTCTTTTTCTGATTTCTTAAGGAGGCAAGTTAGGCCATTGATTTGAGATCTTTTTTAATATAAACATTTTAATGCTACACATTTTCCTCTCAGCACTACTTCATCTATATCCCACAAATTTTAGTTATAATATACTGGCTGTATTTTAATTTTAATCCAATTACAAATACTTTCTAATTTTCTTTAGACTTTCTCTTTGACATGTGGGCTATTTAGAAGTGTATTGTTCAGTTTCCAAGCATGTGGAAACATCTGGAGATTTGCCAGATTTTTCTTTTTCTTTTTTTCTTTAATTCTTTTTTTTTTTTTTTTTTTTTTTTGGAGACAGAGTCTTGCTCTGTCCCTTAGGCTGGAGTGTAGTGGTATGATTTTGGCTTACTGCAAAGTCTGCCTCCTGGATTCAAGCAATTCTCATGCCTCAGTCTCCAGAATAGCTGGGACTACAGGCATGTGCCACCACGCCTGGCTAATTTTTGTATTTAATAGAGATGGGGTTTCACCGTATTGGTCAGGCTGGAAGATAGCTTTCTATCATTAATTTCTAGTTTAATCCTGTTGTAGTCAGAAAACATACTTTGTATTTCAGTTCTTCTAAATTTGCCAAGGTTAGCTTTATGGCCCAGAATATAGCCTGCAGTGTTGAATGTTCCATATGCTCCGTGCATTTTGCTGTTGTTGGGTGGAGTGTTGTATAAATGGCAATTTGGTCAATTGGTTGATGACGGTGTCTGTTCTTTTACATCCTTGCTGTTTTTTAATCTACTTGTTCTTTCAGTGACTGAGAGAGGAGTGTTGACATCTCCAGCTATAGTTGTGAATTTGTGTATTTTTCTCTTCAGTTCTGTGACTTTTTTTGCTTCATATACTTTGAAGCTGCCAGCACAGCTCTACTACAGTCCTCCTCTCAGGTCAAAGCTGTTAGAAAAAATAAGAAAAAAGAAACAAAACAAAAACAAAAACAAACAAACAAAAAAAGAAATCAAGTTCCCACCTCTGTACTAGTCACTTCTCTGAGTTTCTGTCTCTCTCTCACAAGCCACCTGCTCTTGTTTACTTTTCGAGTCCTCAGGGAGTTGCTTTTTGTATTTTGTCCAGAATTTCAGTTGTCATCAGTGGAGAGGTGGGCTGCAGGAGGTGTGCTCCAATTTAGCCTCAGGTCGATTTTGAACATATTTTTCTTTTTCCCTTGAATTTCCCTTCTTTTTGGCTAAATGTCACCTGTCCTCCAACTCTCTAGTGATGTCTCCTCTCCAGGAAATTTTCCCAAGCCCGACTGGATTGTGTGTCCCCCTCCCCCCGCCAGGTGATGCTGCTTCCACAGCTCGATAGCCTGGGTTGTAGCCCCTGGTTGTCCCCCGGTGGGATGCGAGCCCTGTGAGGGCTGGGAGACATGATGGTCTTTTCCAACCTGGTATCCCCAGACTGTGTGTGTGCTGGCATCTGGTCAGCAGTTCATTCACTGTTTCTTGAATAAGTGATTGTGCCAACCTCCATGGACCTGCAGTATAACTCTGCAAAGATTGTATGACTTTAGGAAAGTTTGTGCAATTCAATTTGTGCCCCAACAAATAGATTCCCAGTTTCAGGAGTGTGTTGATGGCTGTGTGATTTTAAGCACACGGATGTTCCATGTACCCTGTCAGTGGGCAGGCTTTCCTGGCAGCCACAGCCTTTTCTCACACCCCTGAGGGAAGACTGCTTGGTGCTTCTCTGCAAATCTGGCGCGGAGGCTGCGGAGGGAGATGGATGTGCTGAGAGGAGACTGAGGGCCACGTTCCGTAACAAGCGGGCCATTGCCACGCCCAGTTCAGAAGGGAGATGAGGAGTGGATAGCTCTCTTTCCCCTCTGCATGCCCCTTTTCCACCAAACAGATTTCTTGGTTTTTAATTACAGTCTTTGTCTTGAATTTTTTCTTTTTTTTCAAAAAGGTCGGTTTTCTGGCTCACCTCACTCATTTGCTCATTGAACACTGCGGAGCACCTGCTGTTTATAGGGTGTCTTCCTAGTTTAGAGGATTCAGAGAAGCTGCAGGAAATGTCTCTTGCCCTGCTGCTGGCACCACCTCCACCCAGTTGGTGGCCCAGCCAGAAACCTCTGCAGCAGCTTTAGGGTCTCCCTTCTCCACCACCTCAGTCCCTGCGTCCTCCTCTTCCAGGGCCAACATGTGAGGTTGTGCAGTCTGTACAGTGCAGAGAGGCACCTTGCTGAGGGATAGGTGGGGTCTGTATTCCATTCCAAGCCCTGCTGGCCAGGCCACGCCCCTGATTTGGAATGGTTTCTACTCGAAGGGGTATCTTTCTCTAATAGGAACCAAGGTGCCATGCGGGCCAGTGGCAGCCCTGTCCCTCCCCTTCTGTCTCTTACTTGGCCTGAGTGGGGCTGTGAGCCGATGAGAGGGCTTGTCGTGGGGTCCCCCTGTGACTTGGGTGCAAGCAGGGTGTAGGGGTAGAGGCAAAAAAGGGCCTTGGAGACCTGGAGACCCAAGTGCTGCCCATGACTTCAGAATGGAGGGTGAGGTGGTTGTTCTCTAGATGTTCGTTTTGATTAGAAAAGGAATACATGGTCTTTGTTGGCTACTTGGGAAATGGAAAAATATAAAGAAGATAACCCATTAAACTTCAACCCAGCCATAACCACCACTGACAGTTGGTATCCTTCATTCAATTGTTTTATGCATATGTATTTACATTTTTATATAATTGTCTTTCAGCTTATTATAATATCATTAGAATTTCCCATATTGTTAAAAGGTTTTTGGATGCTATAATTTTTAATAATTACTCAATATATTATACCAAGATGTATTTAACCAGCCCTCTATTGTTGGGTGTTTATAAGATTTCCAGTGGTTCCCTTATTACAACACTAAGGCAAACTTCTCTGCACAATAATTCTTAAACGCAGAATTAGTCGAAAGGTAAGCATGGTTTTTAGGTTCCGGAAACCACTGCCTGCTTCCTTCCAGAAGTGGAAGTGCCAGCTAACCCTGAAGAATGGGTTCATTTGTTAGTTTGCTTGTTTTCAGTGTAGGTGAGACTTATGCATGTTCACCTGCATCCTGGAGGAAGGCACTGGTGCAGAGAGATGGGCTGGAGGTGGGGTGGTGGCTGAGGGAGCAGGGTGGGTATAGGGAAGAAAGCCACCTCCTTCTTGAGACAGGAAGGAAGTGGGGCTGGGAGATAGAGCAGACGGGCCACAAGAGGCCTCCTTCCTTCCAGAGCTCCTGTCCTGGGCTGTGGAATGGGTCCCAGGGGGTGAAGTTCGCTGTGTTCTGCTTTGCTCCCAGTCCTTGCTAATCAGCCCAGCCAAGCACCTCAGAACTCAAAGGGGTGGCCAGGATTCACTGCACACCTGGTGAATGTAGAATTCAGTGTTTGGAGTCAGGTGGGATACAAGGACTGGAAATTGACACCAGATAGCTCTGTCTGGTGGGGAGACAGAGCTGTCCCTGAGATGGGGGATGGTACAAGCATTGGGAAATGGTCTTGCAGCCTGCCTGGCCCCGCTCCACCCAGAGGTTCCCTGGGACCTGGTTGCTGTCTTCCTAGAGGTGCCACAACCCTCCTCCCCTACTTCTCTCTTACCTGCTGCATCCTCTCTGTGCACCAAGGAGGAGGGCCAGCCTGACTGGATGGGGCGGCTCCCTCCTAGTGCATTGTGTGTGCCCCTGGTGTGGACACTGGAGGGGCCCGAGAGTGGGGTGGCTTGCTCACTCTTACTTCTCTCCTGCTGCGGTTCTGGGTGGTTCAGGACCTGCGGGGGCTGCGGGGAAGGCCCTGCCCTAATTCAGTGGCCTAGAGGCAGGCCAGCTCGTCTCTTCTGCTCCTTCTTCCAGGGACCCGAGGAGGGTGAAGTGGCTCTGGCTGTGGAGGGTGGAGAAGGAGGGGTGGGGATGGTCAGATGGAGGCATGCCGGGCACGGGGCATTCTCTGTGGCCCAGCCCAAGGCCAGTGCACCACAAAGTGGCCTTTTTTGGTCCCTGTTGACCCTGTGCCTCATTAGAGAGATAGACCCCTCCCCTCAGTGCCCTAGTTAGTTTCTCTGGGGCTAGGCAGGGCCTGGGGTTTTGGGGCCCCCCACAGTTTTGACGCTGGCTCAGCCAAGCGAGCCTCACCATCTCCATCTCTGTTCAGAGTAGGCCTGAGCCTCTGTCCATTGTCCTACGTGGCTTCTTTGGGGTTGAGGGTGCGTGGAGGAGGCAGCTGCAGGTGGTACTGCGAGGCAGGGGCCTGGGCTTTTCAGAGTTGGGCTGCTCTTGGGGGTGGCTGCATTGTTAGAGCCTAGTTTTAATTTGTGCCTCCGCTATAAAGTAAGGGAAACCAATTTTTCACTTGAGAGGATCAACACACAAATACATGTGTAATTGTCTATTTCTGCTTTTCTTCCTTTCCCATGTGTTTTGTATCTGTAATTTAAAATTTCACAGTCTTCAACATGACAGTTTCTCTGTGGGTATGTTTAGATTCAATTAGATTCAATTCAAATTCAGCAAACACTAATTGAGCAGCTACTGTGTGCACCGGGCGACCTGGTGTAGTGCATGGTACAGAGGGGTCCGGCTTGAATGTCAGGCCATGGAGTAGGTGTGACAGTGGCTCTGCCTGCACCTCGCTTCATGATTGTGGGCAGGGCACTTCACCTGTCTGACCTCAGTGTCCTCAACTGTACAGTGCAGCTGGCGAGCCCAACTTTCCCAAAGTGGTCACGAGGATTAAGGAGGTCACATGTAAGGCACCTAGCAAGACAGATGGCACTTAGAGTGTTCAATAAATGCTCCTGGCCATCTTGATGTCTTCAGATGATGATCACAACAGGGTTGTGCCCTCCACGAGCTCATGATAATTGGCCATCATGAGCTGTCTTCAGTTTTGCTAAAAGTGGAGCAGAGATTGTACCTTCCCCCCAGCCAGACAGCATACCTGGCCAAAACATCAAGTGCCTGTGCTTTCGGCTGAAGATGTTCTAACCCAGTGCGATAACACCGGTCATCTCAGGCTGATCAGAAGCTCAGATACACATTCTCCCATGTCTTTGATTAATTTTTTAAAGGGAGAAGTGAATTAATTATTGCTGAATAAGTGTGGACACTCAGGATGTGGGGGAAAGAACCTAAAATGGGAACTTAGGAGCTGTCACTGTGGGAACCCCTGTGTAAGCCACCCCAGGAGCTGTCAGAGGCCCTGTGATTCCCACATGGCAACAAGCCAGTAAATACCCTCCAAGACAGAGGAAGGTACAGCTCAGCCCTTCCTGATGGATGGAGAACTTGAGGACCAGAGAATGGGGGCACTGAATGTGGGGGCTCACAAAGGCCATTTGGGCCTTTTCCTTGGAGGAGGATGCTGGGAAATGGTCCCTCAGGCAATGCAGAGAGGAGGATGGTGCAGTCTGCCTGGAGCTGTGCAGCAGACAAGGGCCAGCTTCATCTCACTCTCCAGGAGCCCCAGGGAGCCCTCCTTCCCTGTCCGCTCCTACCACCCTTTGGTGGATCCTATTCCCCATCCCTCCCCGGGTCCCGTGACCTGTCCCCAGACAGCTCTTTGGGCTGTTTGATGGGGCTCACACCTAGGAAGGCTGTCCTTGGAGGATATGTTCTGCTTCTGTTGGAAGTGCCTCAGGCATGGCCCCTTGATAGTTGTGGGAGGTGCAGGCAGAGCCCCCCACTGTGGTGGCCCTTGCCCTCCCACTCAGCTCTGAGCCTGATGTCATCCACCTCTGTACATTGTCCGAGGGACAGTTTCATAACTTCCCTGCTTAAGGGGAAAGGCCTTAAGGCTCTCATGAGCCCCCCACATTCAGTGCCCTCATTCCCTGGTCCTCAGTTTCCCCATCTGCCAGGAATAGGCTGAACTCCATGACCTAGCCTGTGTAGAGCACAACCCCCAGTTGTTAGCTGGGAATGGCTCTGACGAGGCCTTCCTGCTGCGAGTAGTCAGCTCCCTCTCCTGGAGCTGGGGGAGCTGGGGGACCCAAGACACTCACAGGCTGCTCCCCACCTGCCAGCTCCAGTTCCACCAGTGTCCTGGAGCTGCTCACTTTAGAGTTCTTCATTAGGGGTCCTATAGACACTTGCTGAATTAACCACTGCATGGCCAAGTGGCCACGGCGTGGGGGAACATGAGGTCCCTCCCTGCATGGCGAGGGGAGGAGTCAGTCTCCACAGAGTACATCGTGATGGGAACTGCTTGGGGGCTAATGAAAGACTCACAGAAGAAGGAGCTAATGATTTTGCTTGCCACATTGGGAGGCTTGGCTGGCAGAGGGTTTCAAAGGATACATAGGAGTTTTCTAGGCAGCAAGTCAAGGTAGGGTATTTTAGGCATAAGGAATGTATAAAGGCACGTAGGCACTAAAGGGCACAACATATGAGGGAATGGTGAGGGTTTTTTGTTGCTGGAGAACACGCAGTGTGTGTCTGTGAGTGTGTGTGTCTGTATGTGTGTCGGTGCATGTGTGTGTGTCCATCCATGCATGTGTGTGTCCATCCATGCATGTGTGTGTGTCTGTGTCCGTGTGTGTGTGTGCGTGTGTGTGTGTGTGTGTGCATGCGCATTCAGAGGAGAGTTAGGAAACAAGGTCAGCTTGGCTGCCCATGGTGGCCAGTGCAGGGCCTCCACCCTGGCCATTTTTAGGTTGTGACCCAGAGCTGAACACCCCAAGGGAGGCTTTAGAGATAAGGGAGACCTCCCCAGTCACGCCCAGCATGCTGTCACCATTGCCTTTAAAGCGTGTCCCCTGGGAGCCTGAGCCAGCTCATCAGTTACACCTGAATATAAAAGGGAAAGGTGTCCTCCCCCTGCCCCCCGCATGTGGTTATTAAAGCGCGCCATCTTTAAGCCTCATTAAGGAGTGTTAAATGCTAATGAATTTAGAGAGAGGGGTGTCTTGGGGCCTCTGTTTCCTTGGAAACATTTGAAAGCAGGTGCTTTATAATGAGCTGTACCTATTTAAAAGTGAGCCGTGAGGGCCACTTTGATAAGCTGGATCTCAGCTGCAGATGGGCAAGTGTGAACAAAGCCAGTGGAGGCCAGTGGAGACGCTTTGTGCTCTGTGAAATATCATTTCTCTGGTGGTTTCTATAGAAACCACTGGCACCTAGGTAGGAGAATTGCCGGGCTCCCCGGCTTCACTTACACATCACAACCTTGTCCCCAGCCCTGGCCACCTCAGCCCCCGTCCCCGAAGACTGCTGGATTCCCGTTGGCAGAGCGGGGTTGGGTTCTGGACAGATGGGACAGATGCATGCTACCGCAGGTGTAATTCGCTTTAATTATGTCTGTTCTGTACGCACTGCTTGATTTCAGTTGGTCCCACCTCTGCTTATGATTTCAGGCCCAGCTGATAAGAAGAACTAACATTTGTGGAGCTAATTCCTCCCCTCAGAGCACTTTAAAGAAACTTTTTATTATTGAAAAATGTAAATATATACCAAAGTAGAAAGACTAATTAATGAACCTTTATGCAACCAGCATCCTGTTTTAACAATTATAAAATTATGGCCATGCTTATTTTATCCATAATCCTACCCATTTCCCAATAGTCTCCACCCTCCTCACCCTCACCACTGATTATTTTGAAGCAAATCCCAGACATCCTGTCATTTTATTTGTAAATACTTTTGTTTCTTTAAAAGGTGTGGGCTTAAAAAACTGTTATCCCATCTAGTAATTTGGCAATAATTCCTTAATATCATCCACTCTCTAATCCATGTTCAGATTTCCCTGGTTGTCTCATAATTTGCTTTAAACAGTGCCTTGTTCAAATCAGGACCCTAACATTTGATTTCTAAGTCTCTTAAGTCTATAGATTTCTTTCCTACTTTCTTTTTCTTATAACTTATTTATTGGGTAATAAATCAGTTATTTTTCCTGTATCTTTCTTACTGTATCCCTCTGATGTAATTTAACACATTCCTCTGTTCCTTCTGTATGTCTTATGAACTGGTGGTTTCATCTTAAAGCAGGTCACTGGGGGAGCTTGTGAGTCTGCTGCTGCTTCCAAGGCTCATCCCTATTGTATGTATCAGCATTCCTTGTTGCTGAGTCATAGTCCATTGTATGGACATACCGCAGTTTGTTTATCCAGTCACCTGTGGATGGACGTTTTGAGTTGTCTCCAGTTTTTGGCTGTTATGAGTAAAGCTGCTGAGAACGTTCATGAACAGGTCTGTATGTGAATATACATTTTCCTTTCTTTGGGTAAATAACTGAGAGTGGAATTGCTAAGTGGTGTAGTATATATATATTTAAATTTTTAATAAGTCACCAAACTGTTTCCAAAGTGGTTGTACCATTTTGCATTTCCATCAGCAGTGTGGGAAAGTGTCAGTTGCCTCACATTCTCACCAACACTTGGTGTTGTCAGTCTTTTTCATTTTAGTTATTTTAGTGGGTGTGTAGTAGTATCTGATTGTGGCTTTAATTTCTTCTCCCTGATGACTAATGATGGTGAACATCTTTTTGTGGGCCTATTGACCATTTGAATGTCTTGTTTTGTGAAGGATCTGTTCAAAGTATTTGCCTATATAAATTTATTATTATTGAGTTCTAAGAGTCTTTCTATATTCTGGAATTATTTTCTCCTATTACATAGGTTTTTGTGTTCTAAGAAATCTTTACCTATCCTAATGTTGCAAAGATTTTCTCCTATGTCTTCTTCTAGAAGTTTCATAGTTTTTGCCATACATTTATTCAGGGCTATGGTATATTTTCAGTTAATTTTTGTTTATGGTGTGAGGTAAGGTCAACAGTTATTTATTTCTTTTGCTATGTGGGATACCCAGTTGTTTTGGCAGCATTTGTTGAAACGACATTATTTTCCTCATT
Organism: Homo sapiens; assembly: GCF_000001405.40. Lineage (NCBI taxonomy): Eukaryota > Metazoa > Chordata > Mammalia > Primates > Hominidae > Homo > Homo sapiens. Next base: position 100,505,359 of record NC_000014.9, read on the forward strand.
AGATTGTTTTTGGAGCCTTGGTGGAAAATCAATTTGCCACATGAGGTTCTCTTTCTGGCTTGTCAGTTCTGTTCTATTGATTGATGTGTCTATCATTTTACCAATATCATACTCTTTTGGTTACTGTAGCTTTATAATAATTTTTGAGATTGAGAAGTTTAAGCCTCAAACTTTGCTTTTCTTTTTCAAGATTTTTCTGGCTATTCTAGGTTCTTTACATTCGTATTTCAATTTTACAATCAACTTATCTTTTTCTACAAAGATATCTATTGGGTCCAATCTGTAGATCAGTTTGGGGATAATTGACATCTTAATAATGTTGCATCTTCTTATCCATGAACATAGCACATCTCTTCATTTATTTAGCTCTTCTTTAGTTTCTGTCAGCTGTGTTTTGTAGTTTTCAGTGTTTGATGTTACACATGTTGTATTAATTTATTCCTCAGTTTCTCATGTTTTTGGATACTAATGTGAGTGGAATTTTATATTTTATTTCATTTTCCAGTTGTTTGGTATTAGTATATAGAAATACTATTAACTTTCTTTTTAAAAAAATAATTTCAACTTTTATTTTAGATCCAGGGGATACACGTGCAGGTTTGTTACCTGGGTATAATGCGTGATGTTGAGGTTTCGGGTATGATTGATCCCTTCACCCAGTTACTGAGCATAGTACTCAACAGTTAGTTTTTCAACCCTTGCCCGCTCCCTCCCTCCACCCTCTAGACCACAGTGTCTATTGTGCCATCTTTATTTCCACAAGTACCCAAAGTTTAGCTTCCACTTATAAGTGAAAACATGGAGTATTTTTGTTTTCTGTTCCTGCATTAATTTGCTTAGGAAAATGGTCTCCAACTTCATCCGTGTTGCTGCAAAGGACATGATTTCATCCTTTTTTATGGCTGCATAGTATTCCATGGTGTATATTTGCCACATTTTCTGTATTCAATCTACTGTTGATGGGCACCTAGATTGATTCCATGTCTTTGCTATTGTGAATAGTGCTGTGATGAACACGTGAGTGCATGTGTCTCTTTGGTAGAATAACATTTTCTTTTGGATATATACCCAGTAATGGGATTGCTGGGATAAATGGTAGTACTGTTTTATGTTCTTTGAGAAACCTCCAAACTGCTTTCCACAATGGCTGAAATAACTTACATTCCCACCAACAGAGTATAAGTGTTCTTTTTTCTCTGCAGCCTTGCTAGCACCTGTTATTTTTTTGACTTTTTAGTAATAGCCATGCTGTCTGGTGTGAGAAGTTATCTCATTGTGATTTTGATTTGCATTTCTCTGCTGACTAGTGATGTTGAACATTTTTTCATATTTGCTGGCTGCCTGTATGTCTTCTTTTGAGAAGTGTCTATTCATGTCTTTGGCCCATTTTTTAATAGGGTTATTTGTTTTTTTGCTTGTTCAATTGTTTAAGTTTCTTATAGATTCTGGATATTACAGCTTTGTCAGATGCGTAGTTTGCAAATATTTCTCCTATTCTGTAGGTTGTCTGTTTACTCTCTGGATAGTTTATTTTGCTGTGCAGAAGCTCTTTGGTTTAATTAGGTCCTGCTTGTTAATTTTTGTTTTTATTGCAGTTGCTTTTGAGGACTTAGCAATAAATTCTTTCCTAAGGCTGATGTCCAAAATGATGTTTCCTAGGTTTTATTTTTATAGGATTCTTAAAGTTTGAGGTCTTACATTTAAATGTTGAGTTAATTTTTGTATATGGTGAAAGGCAGGGGCCAGTTTCATTTTTTTGTATATGGCTAGCCATCTATCCCAGCACCATTTATTGCAAAGGGAATCTTTTCCCCATTGCTTATTTTGGTTGACTTTGTTGAAGATCAGATGGCTGCAGGTGTGCAGCTTTATTCTGGGTTCTCTATTCTGTTTGATTGGGCTATGTGTCTGTGTTTGTACAGTACTATGTTGTTTTGGTTACTGTAGCCTTATAGTATAGTTTGAGGTCAAGTAATAGGATGTCTCCAGCTTTGTTCTTTTTGCTTAAGATTGCTTTGGCTATTTGGGCTCTTTTTGGGTTTCATATGAATTTTAGAGCAGTTTTTTCTAGTTCTGTGAAAAATGATATTGGTAGTTTGATAGGAATAGCATTGGATCTATAGAGTGCTTTGGGCAGTATGGTCATTTTAATGATATTGATTCTTCGAATCCATGAGCACGGAATGGTTTTCTATTTGTTTGTGTCGTTTATGATTTCTTTCAGCAGTATTTTGTAGTTCTCCTTGTAGAGATCTTTCACCTTCTTGGTTAGATGTATTCCTAGGTATTTGTGTTTTTTTTTTTTTTTATGGCTGTTGCAAATGGTATTGCAAATGGGATTGTATTCTTGATTTGTTCTCAGCTTGAATGTTATTGGTGTATAGAAATGCTACAGATTTTTACACATTGAATTTTTATCTTGAAACTTTACTGAAGTCATTTATTAGTTCCAGGAGCCCTTTGGCATAGTCTTTAGGGTTTTCTAAATATTGAATAATATCATCTGTGAAGAGAGATAGTTTGACTTATTTTTTCCTATCTCAATGCCCTTTATTTCTCTTGCCTGACTCATTCTACAAAGCCAACATTTCATACCAAAACTTGGCAAGAAAAAAAGAAAACTACAAGCCAATATCCCTGATGAACATAGATGCAGAAATCCTCAACAAAATACTAGTGAACCAAATCCAGCAGCACATCAAAAAGTTAATTCACCATGATCAAGTAGGCTTCATTCCTCGGATGCAAAGTTGGTTCATTATATGTGAATCAACAAATGTGATTCACCACATAAACAGAATTGAAAACAAAAATAATATGATTATCTCAATAAACACAGAAAAAGCTTTCAATAAAATCCAACATCCTTTCGTGATAAAAACCCTCAAGAAACTAGGCCTTGAAGGAACATACCTTAAAATAAAAAGAGCTGTCTATGACAAACCCACAGCCAACTTCATACTGAATGGGCAAAAACTGGAAGCATTCCCCTTGAGAACTGGAATAAGACAAGGGTGCCTACTCTCACCATTCCTAATTCAATGTAGTACTGGAAGTCCTAGCCAGAACAATCAGGCAAGATACAGGACTCTTTTATATGGACTGTGTATCATGTGACCTTACTAAAATTCACTTCTTAGTTCTTGTAGCTTTTTCCTAGATTACTTAGAAATTTTAATTTACATGATCATGTAGTCTGTATTATTTTACAGCTTTCTTTCTAATGCATGTGCAATTATTTATTTTTCTTGCTGTATTACAATGACTAGAACTTTCGGTACAATACTGAATAGAAATTGTGAAAATGGACATTTTTGTCTTGTTTCTCATTTTGTAGGGAAAACAATCAGTCTTTTACCATTAAGTATGATGTTAGATGTTGGTTTTTCATAGATACCTTAAGTCAGTTTAAGAAAGCTACCTTCTATTCTTAGTTGTATGAATTTTTTAAAAATCATATATTGGTGTTGAATTTTGTCAAAAATGATTTTACTACATCTATATGTTTTCCTATGTTCTGCTAATATGTTGAATTACATTGATTTTTTTTAAAGTTAAACCATATCTTTCCTATTTGGTTTTATGATATATTGTCCTTATATAGAGTTTAATTCAAGTTGCTAATAATTTGTTAAGGATTTTTAAAATCTATGTTAATGAGGATTATTGATCGATACATTTTTTCCTATATTCTTTGTCTCATTTTGATGTGAGATTAATATTGACCTCAGAAAAGTGAACTGAGAAATGTTCTCTACTTATGTTTTTGAATGTTTGTATAAGATTGGTATTATTTCTTCCTTAAATGTTTGATAGAATTCAGCAGTGAAGACATCTGGACACAAGACTTTCTTTGTAGGTAGATATTGAATCACAAAAAAAATTAACTATGTGTAACGTGGGCCATTCAGGTGTCCTATTTCTCCTTTAGTTGTTTTTGTTATCTTTTATCTTCTAAGGAATTTTTCCATTTTATCTAAATTGTCAAATTTATTGCTCTAAAATTGTTTTTAACTTTATTTTTTAATGGCTGGGGTGTCTTCATTTCTTCTTGTTGATCTGAGTGCCAATCTGGTATCACTACCCCCCAGGCTGCAGAACTTCCTTTAGCATTTCTTATAATACAGGTTTGTGGTGGGGAATTCTCTGTTTTTGTTTATCAAAAATGTCTTTATTTTTCCTTCATTTTTGTCGTGTCCTGCCCTTTTTATACTTTTATGGAAATATAACTGACATACAATAAGCTGCACATATTCAAAATGTACAGTTTAAGTTTTCATATATGTATACATCCATGAAATAGTTACCACAATCAAGATAAATAATGCATCCATTACCTTCAAAAGTTTTTGTGCCCCTGTGTTTACTTCTAGAAGTTGTATAGTTTTGGGCTTCATATTAAAGTCTGTGATCTATTTAGTATTAATTTTTTGTGTATGGTACAGGTATGGATGTAGTTTCATGTTTTTGCCTGTGGATAATCAAATTTCTGCAGCATTTGTTGAAAACAATATCTGTGCCTTTACCTCTCTGTGGAAATCAATTGGCTAAATAGATTTAGGTCTATTGTTGTACTCTCTCTTCTGTTCCATTGATTTCTTTTTTTTTTTAATTAAAAAAATTTTTTGTAGGCTGGTTATGGTGGCTCACACCTGTAACCCCAGCACTTTGGGAGGCTGAGGTGGGTGGATCACTTGAGGTCAGGAGGTCGAGACCAGCCTGGCCAACATGGCAAAACCTGTCTCTACTAGAAGTACACAAAATAGCTGGGCGTGGTGGCGTGTGTCTGTAGTCCTAGCTACTCAGGAGGCTGAGGCAAGAGAATTGCTTGAACCCGGGAGGCGGAGGTTGCAGTGAGCTGAGATTGCACCACTGCACTCCAGCCTGGGTGACAGAACGAGACTCCATGTCAAAAAAAAAAAAAATTAATTTTTAGAGACAAGGGTTTCACTGTGTCATCCAGGCAGTGGCACGATCATGGCTCCTGCAGCCTGGAACTTCTGGGCTCAAGCGATCCTTCTGCCTCAATCTCCTGAGTAGCTGGCACTATAGATGTGCACCACCACACTCGGCTAATTTAAAAAAAATTTCTTTTGGCCGGGCACAGTGGTTCACGCCTGTAATCCCAGCACTTTGGGAGGTCAAGGTGGGCGGATCACCTGAGGTCAGGAGTTCAAGACCAGCCTGGCCAACATGGTGAAACCCCGTCTCTACTAAAAATACAAAAATTAGCTGGGCATGATGGTGGGTGCCTGTAATCCCAGCTACTCGGGAGGCTGAGGCAGGAGAATCACTTGAACCCGGGAGCCGGAGGTTGCAGTGAGCCGAGATCGCGTCATTGCACTCCAGCCTGGGTGACAGAGCGAGACACCATCTCAAAATAATAATAATAATAATAATAATAATGTAAATTTTTTTTTTTTTTGTAGAGACAGGGTCTCGCCATGTTGCCCAGGCTGATCTCAAACTCCTGGCTTCAAGTGATCCTCTTTCTTTGGCCTCCCAAAGAGTTGGGATTACTGGTGTGAGCCACTGCACTGGCCCCATTGATTTATTTGTCTATCTTTATACCATTGTTTTCATCATTGTAATATTATAATGAATCTTGAAATCAGCTCGTATAAGTCTTCCACCTTTGTTCTGACTACTGTAGGTTCTTTGCATTTACATTTCAGTTTTACAATTGCTTTGCCAATTTATGCAAAAAAAAACTGGCTTGAACTTTAAATGGTATTGCATCTCATCTGTAGAGCAATTTGGGAAAGAATTGTACTGCCAACAATTTTGTTTCTTTCAACCCATAAGCATAGTATACTTCTCTATTTACTGAAGTCTTTAATTTTTCTCACCAATGTTTTGTAGTTTTCATAGTGTAGGTCTTTCACATTTTTTTGTCAGAATTTATCCCCAAGTATTTATATTTTGATGCTATTGTAAGTGATATTTTAAAATTTCAGCTTCTGGTTGCTCATGGTTAGTATATAGAAAAATTGTGGCTATGTGAATTTTCACCTTGAATTCTGTAACTCTTCTAAACTCATTTATTAGTTCTGGTTGTTTCTTTGTAGATTCTATTGGATTTTCTATATAGATAATCATGTTGTCTGTTAATAAAGTCAGGTTTAGTTATTCTTTTCCAATCTGGACACTATCTGTCTATCTCTATCCTCTCTCTCTCTCATCTATTTTCTCTCTTCCTCCCTCCCTCCCTTCCTCCTTTTCTCCTTCCCTTCCTTCCTTCCTTTCTTGTTTCCTTATTGCACTGGCTCAAACCTCTAGAACAGTGTTGTCTAGAAGTGGTGAGAGTGTGCATCCTTGCCTTATTTCTGATCATAGAGGGAAAGTATTCTCTTTCAGTTACATATGATGTCAACTAGTTGTTTTGTACATGTCCCTATCAGTTTGAATGTACTCCCTTTTATTCATAGTTTGCTGAGAGTTTTTTAAAAATCATGAATGAATGTTAGATTTTGTTAAATGCCTTTTCCCATTTATTGAAATGATCATGTGTGGTTTTTTTATTCTGTTAATATGGTGGATTTTGTCAGTTGATTTTCAAATATTAGAACAGCCTTGCATTCCTGGGATAAACTTCACTTGATCATAATATATTATTCCCTTTGTATAATTTGGAATTATATCAGCTAAAGTTGTGTTAGGAATTTTTGCATCTATGTTTATGAGGGTTATTGATCTGAACTTTTTTTATTATAATATCTTTGTATGGGTTTGGTATCAGGGTAATTCTGGCTTCATAGAACAAATTGGGAAATGTTCATTTCTCATCAATTTTCTGGAAGACTTCGTGTAAAAATTGACATTATTCCTTAAATGTTTGCTAGAATTGACTAGTGAAGCTGTCTTGGCCTGAAATTTTCTTTGTGGGAAGATTTGAAATTTTAAATAAAATCTACTTAGTAAATATAGGGCTATTCTGATTTTCTATTAATCTTTGAGTGACTTTTGATAGCTTGTGCCTTTCAAGAAATTTGTCCATTTCATCAAAGTTGTCCAATTTTTTGGCATAAAGTTTTTTGTAATGTTATTTTTAAAAATCTGTATAATCTGTGGTGATACCACCTCATTTCTCTCAGTGCTGATATTGGTGATTTTTGTCTTCTCTGTTTTTTACTCTGATCAGTCTAGCTAGAGGCTTATAAATTTTATTGATCAAGTATCAGATTTTCATTTTATTGTCTTTTACTCTTTCTTTTCTTTTTACAGAACTCATTGATTTCTTTTCCTATCTTATTTCCTTTCTTTCACAAAAACCTTGAATTTAATTTTCTTTTTCTAGTTTCTTAAAGTGTAAGCTGAGGTCATAGTTTTGAGACTTTTATTCTTTTCCGATTATAGATGTTCAATACTATTGATTTTTCTCTAGGTATTTCAGCTGCACTACCCAAGCTGTTGATATATTGCATTTTCATTTTCATTCAGTTCAAAATACTTTCTGATTTCCTTTTGGTTTCTTCCTGATCCATGATTTATTTAGAAGTGTGCTCGTTAGGTTCCAAACACTTGGGAACTTTTCAGATGCCTCTTTGTTATTTTTTCTAATTCAATTCCATTGTGGTCACAGTACATACATTGTATATTTGAATTCTTTTAAATTTATTTAGATTTTTTTGATGTTTTAAAATATGGTCTATCTTGGTAAATGTTCTGTGTGCACTGAAAAGAACGTGTGTTCTGTGGTTGTTGGGTGCAGTGTTCTATAAATGTCAATTACGTCAAGTTGGTTGATAGTGTTATTTAAATTTTCTATATCCTTTCTGTTTTTTCTGTCTATTCTATAAGAGCTGTGCTATACTTTGAACGTATGTATCCCTCCAAAATTTATATGTTGGAACTTAAACCCCAAAGGGATGGTATTAGGGGGTGGGGGCACATAAGGGGTAGATTACGTCATGAGGGCTCCACCTTTGTTAGTGTAGTTAATGCCTTTATAAAAGGGCTGGAGGGAACAAGGTGGGCCCTTTTTTACTCTTCCATCTCTTCTGCCATGTGAGGACAAGCAAGAAGGTGCAAGCCCTCACCAGACACTGAATCTGCTGGCACCTCAATCTTGGACTTCCCACCATCCAGAAATGGGAGAAGTAAATATCTATTATTTATAAATTGCCCAGTCTAAGGTATTTTGTCCTAGCAGCAGGAATGCACTAAGACAAGGCTTGCAATTTGTGTCTCTAAGAGTGGATTTGTCTACTTCCTTTTTCAGTTCTGTTAGTTTTCCTGCATTTATTTTGAAGTTGTTACCAGGTGCATACACAGTTAGGATTATCATGTTCTCCTAATGAATTGATTCTTTTATCATTGTGAAAGGACCCTCTTTTTTTTTTTTCTTTTTTTTGAAACAGAGTCTCACTGGGTTGCCCAGGCTGGTCTCAAATTCCTGAGCTCAAGTGATCCTCCTGCCTCGGCCTCCTAAAGTGCTAGGATTACAGGCATGAGCCACTGTGCCCAGCCATGAAAAGACCCTCTTTATCCCTTTATTCTTTACTCTGAAATCTACTTTGGTATTAATATAGACATTCCTGGCTTATTTTAATTATTGTTAGCATGGCATATCTTTTTTACTTTTTTTTTTTTTTTGAGACAGAGTCTCGCTCTGTGGCCCAGGCAGGAGTGCAGTGGCGCAATCTCGGCTCACTGCAAGCTCCGCCTCCCGGGTTCACGCCATTCTCCTGCCTCAGCCTCCCAAGTAGCTGGGACTACAGGCGCCCGCCACCACGCCCGGCTAATTTTTTTGTATTTTTAGTAGAGATGGGGTTTCACCGTGTTAGCCAGGATGGTCTCGATCTCCTGACCTCGTGATCCGCCCGCCTCGGCCTCCCAAAGTGCTGGGATTACAAGCGTGAGCCACCGCGCCCGGCCCTTTTTTACTTTTAACCTATTTGTATCTTTATATTTAAAGTTTGTTTATTTTAGGCAGCATATAGCTGGATCTTGCTTCTTTATTTTAAACCTGTCTAACAATCTCTTCTTTCGAACTAGGTTATTTGTCCTGTTTTAATTTATTATGATTATTGATATGGTTGGGTTTAAATCTGCTACCTTGCTATTTTTTTTTATTTGTTCCATCTCTTCTCCCCCATCCATTTTTTTCACTTGGATTAATTTAGTATTTTTATGATTTCATCTTAATCTTTTTTGTTGCTTTATCATCTGTGGCATTGTGCTGTGGGGTTTGTTTTTTTAAAATGATTGTCTGCATTTAAGTCACATTATATCTCTTTTTCTGTAAGAACCTTAGAGCAGTATTCAGATTTTCAGTTTCTCCCCTCAGGGTCTTTGTGCTATTACTGTCATACATTTTTCACTCTTACTTATGTTACAATCTCCAACATTGTTATTATTTTTGCTGGAAGTAGCCAATAATTTTAAAAATATTTTAATAATAAAAAGATATTATCTATTTTCCTACATATGTATTATTTCTATTGCTTTTCATTTTTGGGTGTAAATTTAGATCTGGTATCATTTTCTTTGTGCCTTAAGGACTTCCTTTAACATTTCCTGTATTTTTGGTCTGCTAGTGATAAATTATTTCAGCTTTTATTTGCCCAAAAAAATCTTTAGTTTGTCTTTTGTCTAAAAGATATTTATGCTAGGTAAAGAATTTGGGGTTGATGATTTTTTTCTCTTCCAGTACTTTAAACATGTCACTCAATTGTCACTAGTTTGCTCTGTTTCCAATGAGAAGTCTGCTGTATTTCTCATCTTTGCTTTTCTGTATATAATGCATCTTTTCTCTGTCTGCTTTTTAAGATTTTTCTCTTTACCATTGGCTTCAAGCAATTTAAACAATGGGCCTTGGTGTAATTTTTCTCTATGTTTCTTAGGCTTTGTTTAGTTTCTTTTATCTGTGAGTTTATAGTTTTAATCAATGTATTATAGTCTTTTATCTGTGGGTTTACAGTTTAATCAAATTTGGAAAATTTTTGCTCGTAGTTTTTTCAATTTTGTTTGTCCCCGAAACCCCACCCCTCATCTCCCTGTCTCACTTACATTCATATTCAGGGTTTTTGGATTTATTCCATAGCTCACTGATCCTCTGTTCTTCCATATCTTCAAATTTAGTAATCATATCTTATGCAATTTTTAATCTATTAATAGCGGGGCATTGTTTTATATCACTTCTACATGTTTGATTTGGGTCTTTAAAAGATATCTTTCATGTGTATTATCCTTAACATTCTCATACTGTCCGCTACCTTCTTGAGCATACAGTATATAGTCATAACTGATTTATTGTTCTTTTCTATTTATTATTAGTATTATTTTTGAGACTGAGTCTCACTCTGTCACCCAGGCTGGAGTGCAGTGGCCTAATCTTGGCTCACTGCAACCTCTGCCTCCTGGGTTCAAGCAATTTTGCCTCAGCATCCTTAGTAGCTGGAATTACAGGCGCATGCCACCACACCTTGCTTTTTTTTTTTTTTTTTTTTGTATTTTTAGTAGAAATGGGGCTTCATCATGTTTGCCAGGCTGTTCTTGAGCTTCTGACCTCAGGTGATCCACCTGCCTCAGCCTCCCAAAGTTCCGGTATTACAGATGTGAGCCACCACGCCCAACCTCTTTTCTATTTATTCTATCATTTGTGTCACTCATGGGTCTGTTTCTATTGACAGATTTTTTTTTTTTCATTATGGGAAGCATTTTCTTACCTCTTTCCAGGTCTGGTAACTTTTGATTGGATGCCAGACATTGTGAATTTTACTTTTTGGGTATTCAGTATTTTGTTGTGCTTTACATATTTTGAGAGATTTTTTGGATGCGGTTGTATTGCTTGATAACGGTTTGATTTTTCAGAGGCTTGCTGTTAGGCTTTGTTTGGTGGAACAAAAACAGCCTTTAGACTAGGGCCAATTTTGCCTCATTTCTGAGGTTATACTCTTGTGAGTACTCTATCCAATGCCATGTGTATTTCAAGGTTTTCCCCCTCTGACTGGTGGGAAAATGAATGATTCCTAGCTCTGTGTGAAACTTGGCAATTGTTTTGCTTATTCTCTTTTGGTGGTTCCTTTCCCGGTTTGTGTAGTTTCCTCACATGAATGCACTGATTAATATTTGTGTTACTTATTATAAAGAAAGGAGTGTTAATATCTCCAGGTAAAATCGTGGACTTGTATGGTTTCTCCTTTCAATTCCATCAGTTTTTGCTTCATGTATTTTGAAAGTCTGTTATTAGGTATATACATATTTAAGGTTGTTATGTCTGCTAGATGAATTGACACTTGTACGTTTTCATTGTATTCCTCTTATTCCTGGCGGTTTTCCTTGTTCTGAAGTCTACTTTGCCTGCTATTAATATGGTCACTTCAGCCCTCATTTGGTTATTTTTAATATGGTATATTTTTTTATCCTTTTACTTATAAGCTATGTATTTTATTATATTTAAGGTGGCTGTCTTGTAGACTAGATACAGTTGGATCTTTTTAAATGTTAATCTGAAAGCCAATTGGACAATCTGTCTTTTAGTTGGAGATTTTAGACAATTTATATTTAATGTAATTACTGCTATGGTTGACTTTGGCCTGTCATGTTATTATTTTATTATTTGTCTCTGTTTTTTTTTTTTTTAAAGGAGATGGGATCTCACTCTGTCACCCAGGCTGAAGTGCAGTTGTATGATCATAGATCACTGCAGCCTTGACCTTCTGGGCTCAAGCAGTCCTCCCACTTCAGCTTCCCAAGTAGCCAGGACCACAGGCATGAGCCACTGCACCTGACATATCTCCTCTGTTTTTTTTTTTTTTTTTTTTTTTTTTTGAGACGGAGTCTCGCTCTGTCGCCCAGGCTGGAGTGCAGTGGCACAATCTCGGCTCACTGCAAGTCCCGCCTCCAGGGTTCACGCCATTCTCCTGCCTCACGCCTGGCTAATTTTTTGTATTTTTAGTAGAGATGGGGTTTCACCGTGTTAGCCAGGATGGTCTGGATCTCTTGACCTCATGATCCACCCGCCTCGGCCTCCCAAAGCTCCTCTGTTTTTATTCCACTTGCTCTTTTCCTGCCTTCTTTGGATTATTTTAACATTTTTATTATATCATATTATTTTATCTATTAGCTTTTTGGTTATGTCTCTTTGTATTATACCTTTAAATTGTTGCTGTAAGGACTACAATATACATGCCTAATTTTTCACAATTCTACTTATTGTTAATATTTTACCACTTCAAGTAAAACATATGATTCTTCTAGGCCAGGTGTGGTGGCTCACGCCTGTAATCCTAGCACTTTGGGAGGCCAAGGCAGGAGGATCACCTGAGGTCAGAAGTTCGAGAGCAGCCTGACCAACATGGAGAAACCCCATCTCTACTAAAAATACAAAAATTAGCCGGGCGTGGTGGCACGCGCCTGTAGTCCCAGCTGCTCCTGGGGCTGAGGCAGGAGAATCACTTGGACCCAGGAAGGGGAGGTTGCAGTGAGCTGAGGTTGCACCACTGCACTGCAGCCTGGGCAACAGAGCAAGACGCCGTCTCAAACAAACAAACAAAACAAACAAAACAAACATGATTCTTCTAACCAGATAAGCCTTTTTACCCCCTACCCTGTAAGTTAAAATTGTGTTATGGATTACATCTACATACATTGAAGATCCCCTTCCCAGACAATGCTATATATTTTTTTCAAGAGTCATACGTATTTCATATAACTTAAGTGAAAAAATGATTTTTTATATCTACCTAATCATTTACCGTTTTTTGCTGCTGTTCCTTCATCCCTGAAGCTCCAAGTTTTCCTCTGGCATTATTTCCTGTCAGCCTGAGGAACTTCCTTTAGCATTTGTTTTAGATAGATCAGGTCTGTTCATGACAAATTCACTTAGTTCTTCTTCATTTGTAAAGGCCTTCATTTCCTCTTTATTCCTGAAAGATATTTTTGCTGTCTGTAAAATTTTGGATTGATGCTAATTTACCACTTTCAGTATGTTCCGCTGTTTTCTGGTCTCCATAGTTTCTGATGATACATTTATGGTATTTCAAATTGTTCTCCTCTGTGTAATTCTTCATTTTTTTTTTTCCTGGGCACTGTCAAGGTTTTTTCTTTGAGGTTTTTAGCAGTTTGATTGGGATATGCAGAACATGGTTTGTATTGTGTTTTTTCTTTTTAATTTATCCTCTTTGTGGTTGCAGAGTCTCTTGACTTTTTAACCAAATTTGGGAACAGTTTACTCAATATTTCCTTAAATATTCTTTCTTTTGGGTACTGCTGTCTTCACCTTCTCCTTTAAGAACTCTGTTGATGGCCAGCTGCGGTGGCTCACACCTGTAATCCTAGCACTTTGGGAGGCCAAGGCGGGCAGATTGTCTGAGCTCAGGAGTTCAAGACCAGCCTGGGCAACATGGTGACACCCCGTCTCTACTAAAATACAAAAAATTAGCCAGGCATTGCAACGTGTGCCTGTAGTCCCAGCTAGAGGACGGGAGGCTGAGGCAGAAGAATCGCTTGAACCTGGGAGGCGGAAGTTGCAGTGAGCCAAGATCGTGCCACTGCATGCCAGCCTGGGGGACAGAGCGAGACTTCATCTCTAAAAAAAAAAAAAAGGACTCTGTTGACAAAAATATTTAAGCTTTTGATATTATCTCATAGATCCCCAAAGCTCTGTTTATTTTTTTCTTCAGCTTGATCATTTGGGCAGAATGAGGGATTTATTTCAGAATGTTTGGTGTCCATGCCCACTATGTACTGCCTTAATCCAGTCAGTCTTTGGGTCAACAGCAGGAGTTAAAACACAAAAGTGAATACCAACTGGGAACCTCATCTGCCATACTGGTCTTTATTCAAATTTTGACTTCCTTTCCCAACCCACCTGCTATTATTGACTTTTCAGAGTCTTCAGGTAGTTGCTTTTAAAATTTTGTCCAGAGTTTTTTTGTGTGTGTGTGTGTAATTTATAGGGGGGAGAGAGAGAGAGAGAGAGAGAGATGCATAGTGGGTTTACTCCATTTCAGGTTTACATTAGATTTGTTCATTTTAAAATTTAGAATTTTTTTCTATCTGGTACATGTTGCATAATTTTAATTGCTATGTCTTCTAGTTTACTAACGGTTTCTTTTGCAGTGTCTCATCTGCTGTTAATCCCATCTAATGTATTTTTCATCTCAAACATTGCATACTTCATCTCTTGAAGTGTGATTTGGATCATATATGTATATATGATTCATTAAAAGTTATTATAACTCCATAACATATGTTTAAGAAGGTAGAGGAGAGACTGACCATGGTAAGTAGAGATATGGAAGACTATCTCTATATCTATATATAGTCTTTGTATCATATATGTAGTCTATATATATACACATATAGTCTATATATAACATATAATCATCTATATATAGTATATATAGTGTATATATACTATATATAGTGTATATATAGTATATATATAGTGTGTATATATAGTATATATATAGTATATATACTATACTATATGTATATATGTATATATGTATACTATATGTATATATAGTATATATACTATATATGCTATATATATACTATATATACACTATATGTATATATGTATATATGTATACTAGATGTATATATAGTATATATACTATATATACACTATAGTATAAATACAGTGTGTATATAGTATATATATGGTATATATAGTATATATAGTGTGTATATATATGTACACTATATATATACACATTGATCATTTGGGCGTGTACATATATATGTACATATGTGTGTGTGTGTGTGTGCATATATATATATAGTGTATATATATATATAGTCTTGGTCTATTATCTATGTCACTTCTGGCCAGTTTAGCTGGGTTTAAGAACTATAATCCAGGTGTTGAGTTTGCTGATTGTTTCCACACTCCTTCTGTGGACAGAGCTGGGAAATATTTTTCTTGTGGAGACAAAATATATTATTGTTTATACTGATTTTTCCAATTCAAATTTAGGATTACAGAATTTTCTTTACTTTTTTGTTTTTATATTTTAAAAATCTCTTTTATGCTAACATTTTTAAACTTCCATCTGCCTTACCTTAACACATTTCTTTTATATATATTGACACTAACAATGAAACGACTGAAAACACTTTAAGATTTCTTGCAGTTCTCTTTGTTCACAGTGTATATCTAATTAGGATTTACCACCATATTGCCAGTTTTCTATTAATAATGTATATTCAACTAAGGATTGACCATGTAAATGTCAGCTGCTTTTGATAGCCACCATCCTATGTGATTGGCGACTTCTGCTTTTGCGACTTTAAACCAAAGCAGTGGGCCCTGTGCTACCTTTCCACTTTGCCTTGCATCTTGGCACTGGAAGAAGACAATGCATTTATTACTGAGAGTTGCCCAAGAACTCACAGCTCCATC